>NC_000011.10:59979619-60282649 GCF_000001405.40 Homo sapiens | reverse complement strand
GACATCTGCATATATTGAAACCATTTGCAGGAATGTTCCACCCCTCTTGTGACCACCTTGTAAGAACAAAAACAAACCCACCACATCATCTAATCTTCTCACACATGAACAGCATTTTATAGTCTCTATCTTCTCTCAGACACTATTCCCCCACTTCCCCACCATTGCCCACATGTGGATTAGTCAGCCTATGACGGTAAATAAGGGTTTAAGAAATGTGTTATGTTCCTTCTACATTGCAAAAGTCAAAGTTATTTGGAAAGTGACTAAAGATGATTCTTCTTAGTCCATCTAAATGTGTACTTTATTCTTCTTTAATGTAAAAGAACCTCTGCCTCAATCTCTCAGGCACACCTTCAGACTGAGAATTTAGGACATGTTGGGTCTGTCTTATCAAACGCACTGGTGGTTCTCTCTCTGTGTTTAGTGCCTCTCTGGTAAGACTGTAAGCTTCCTCGAGGGCAGAGCAATTATATCAAAATAAAGCTTGTAACTGACTCCTATGCTTTCCCATAATTCTTTGGTAACATAGGTCAGGTTCTGGTCATTCAAGGCTGGTGCTTTGTCATTCTAAGAAACTCTGGCCATAAATTCATATAACTGCCTCCTCTTTTTCCACCACAGAAATCCTTGTGTTAATTATCTACGGCACATGAAGTCCCCAAGAACAAAAACGTGTTTACCATCCAGGGCTTGACTTCTCTATATTCAATTTTTTTTTTAACTGCTGAGAATATTGGATGCATATGAGGGACATTTCTTCCAGGTTGGAGAAGAATTTAAACCTTGGTTTTGCCACATCACCTATATGCATCAGGCTCTTAAGAAATACAATGTCTTTCCCCCACACCCCTGATAAAGAGGTGGGGAAACCCAGACCACCCTTCCCTCTTCTATTGGCCCCAGTCACCTTGTGGATCAGCAGCACCACCAGTCTCTTATTTCCTCATTTTTATGTCACCATCCTCCTCATGGGTCACAATTGCAAGGAGAGAGCATGAGGAGAGTGGTACAAACAGCCATCCGTTTTTCTTGGCAAAGTTGTCAAATAGACTAGAAACCCAAAATGAGGCCTGAATCTGGATGGTTTTAGAAGGATGATGGGGATGCAGAAGTGGTGGCATGGGAAGGGAAAAGGGGGAAAGGCCCGGGCTAGGAACCAAGAATTCTGTTTTTGTTTTTGTTTTTGTTTTTCTCCCAGCCCTTTTGTTAACTTGTGTGATTCTGGGTACATTATTTCCCTTTTATTGGCTTCTTTTACTTCATCTGGGGAAAGATTACAATGGCCACGACCACTTACAAGCTTCTTTCTTATCCTAAGAATGCTAAAAGTCTACAAGGTGTTTTTCATTAGCAGATTTTATCATGAGCAGCCTCAGTTTACTGCCTGGGTGCCCCATGAATAGTGCCAAAGACCACTGGAGAACTAGGTCAGGCCACAGCCCATCTAAATGTACAAGGCTGGGGACCCTGCCTGTGCCCTACTCCATGTACACCAAATTCTGCATGTGATACATCTGTTCTTAAATCCTGAGTTATAAAAATAACCAGTCAGACACAGAGAATAAAGACCACAGAAGAAGGGCATTAACAGTAGATGAGGTAACTAGTCAAAGGTTTAAAATGTTGCTTTCAGTGTTTTGATATCCTGAAGACTCAGGGGACAAAAGTAACTAAACAACCTTATCCAGCCTCCAATGTCAGCCTTTAGGAGGCTTTTCTAACTCCTATCGACTGTAGCAAAAACTGTTCCTCATCCCCCCACCGAATGCACATTTAAAGGTGCACTCAACCCACCCCAACCCTGAATACCAGCTTGGGTCATGGGAAGTGGCCTCATTATTCTTCTCATTCCCCTCCCAGAAATTCTTAACCCAGGAAGTGAAACAAGCCATCAGCCCGAAAGCCTAGGAAGGCAAGTCCCTGGACCTACCTTTCTTCAGGCCTGCAATGTCTGCTGTAGGTCTGATGCATGCAGGGCTCTGGGCAAGTTCCTCAAAGTTCTTTGGTCTAGACCCAATCAACTTCCCCCACTCCACACCTCACTCAGTTTAAATCTGCATTCCTCTTCTAGCAGATGTTTGGAACCTTAAAGGCTGTGCTGAGAATTTCTGAGACGCACAGCTAGTTCCTCTTTTATATCGGAAGCATTAACTGATTTTGTGTTCCCAATATGGGTGTGGATGTCTATTTTGAAATTTGCTGAAAAAGCAGGGGCTGCCTGATACAGTCTTTCCTATGAAAATAATACTGCTAATTACTGTGGATATCAGTGGTAGAGGATTTACTGTATGCCAGACTCTCTTCAAAAGTCGTTATATAAACAAGTAAATGGTATTTTGTAAATACCCCCTTTCACAGGGTCACACATTTCCACAGTACTCTTGTCTTCCTGGAGCACTACTATTACTATTTTATTAGGTTGGTGCAAAAGTAATTGCAGTTTTTGCCATTATTTTATGGCCAAAATCACAATTAACTTTTGCACCAACCTTAATATACACAACTTAAATGTTTTATTTACATGAAATTCCACCTTTAGAGATTCATCAGGAGTGGCCATAAAATGGCAACAAGTTGGTTGTATGGCAATAAAACAACACCTTTCTAAGTGAAGGAAGCAGCTGGTATCATAGAACGAGCTGGTCTTTGACTAAGATCAAACCAATGGCAAACATTTCTTGCATGGCCCTGTTAATCTCCTGAACCTAAGATTCATTTGTAAAATAAAATAATGCCTACTTTACATGGAGGAGGAAAGCAAAGTGGTGTGCAGTTTTCATTCATTCAGCATTTTCTTTAGAAAAACTACTATAAGCCAAGCAGTGTGCCGTGTGCTTCTGAAAAAATGGTAAAAAATAATTTTCACTCAAAGAGTTTATAGACTACTTGGAAAAACAGACCAGTAAATAAATCACTACAATCCATTACTATCAGTTATCTGCAAGGTAAAGTGGCAATACAGATGAGTAAATACATCATTACAACCCATTGTAATCAGTGATCTGCAAGGTAAAGTAGGATATCCTAAGAGAGCTCATAGGAGGATCAATGAACCCAACATTGGGTAGGCAGAGGAGACTTCCTAGATAAGGGGACATCTAATTGGAGACCTGATGAATGAGCAAAAGACACACAAATGGAAAGGGAATGAAGGAAGGTAATATTATTATTTCTATTTTTCAGAAGAAGAAACTGAAACTCAGAGATATTCGTATAGCTGGTATAGATGAGATTGAAATCCAGTTTTACTTAATTCCAAAAACTATGTGGTCTATAATCTGAAATTACGATTCTCAAAATTAAAATAGATTATATTTCAGAAATATTGTCCTGGTTTCAGACAACAGGAATAAATAATAATAAAATCAGAGAATTAGGCTCAAGGTAGAGGCAGTTCTCTAGGGAAGGGATGATGGTTACTGAACTACCTGTGATGCTAGTGAAGTTGGAGAGAATGAATGGATTTGAAAGATGCTTAGGAACAAGAAATGACAGTACTTGTTGGTATAATGGATGTGTAAATCAGGAGAAAAAACAGGAAAGGATGACACTCAGATTCTGGGTTAGGAAACTGAATGAGTGATAGAGCCATTCAGTAAGGCAATAGACATGGACCAGGACAGAACTGCAGGAACAAATAGTAAAATTTTGAACGTATTTGATCAGAGTTGTGTAGGGACCTTCAAATAAAGTTGACAAGAAGTGGATAACTGGCAGGAGCTAGGGAATGAGAACATGGCTATAGAGGTAAACCCAACAGCTCTTCGCCCAGAGGGATGAGGTCACCCAGGCTTGTGGGTGGAGGCAGAAAACGTCAAACCCTTTTTCTAGAGGATAGAGACAGTATAATCAGAAATAAGATTTCCCAGAGGATTATGAAAAAGAGGGTAAGGAAGATAGCAGGCAAACTCGGAAAATGTGGCATTGCAGAAGACAAGGGTACAGAGTTTCATGACTTCCTAAGAGAGGTTGAAATTCTGGACTAAGGACAGGCATCAGTCTCTCCTCCCACTCCATATGGTATGAAATGAGACAGTATCAGGTTATTATTAGCAGATAACAATTTCAAGAGAACAATAACATGAAATTTGACAGAGAAATATATATATTCTATATATATAGAATATATATCCTATTATATATAATAGAATATCTATATATTATATATAATTATATATCATATACAGATATATTATATATAATAGATATAATATATAATATATATTATATAATAGAATATATATTATATTATAATAGAATATATTATATATATAATAGAATGTATCTCTATATAATATGTTATATTATATATTAACAGAGACTGGGTTTCACCATTTTGGCCAGGCTGTTCTCGAACTCCAGATCTCAAGTAATATACCCTCCTCAGCCTCCCAAAGTGCTGGGATTACAGGCGTGAGCCACTGCACCCGGCCTTGAGCTGGATTTTGAATCCTATGCCCTATGTGAGCTGGAGCAAGTTGCTTAGGCTTTCTGCACCTCAGTTTACTCATCTGTAAAATATAGATAGTAATATGTCATAGCGTTGTTGAAAGGGTTATATTAGGTAATATAAATAAATTACTTATCATTTTTTGAGCACAGAAATATTTCAGTAGGAAGAAATCATTCAATTATTATTAAATACTTCAGAGAGACAAGCTAACAACAGTAAAATGTTCACTGGATTTAGCCTGAAAGAAATCATTAGTGCCCCCTTCCCCAGTTCCCAATCAATTTTCTTTCTCCAGAAGCAAGTATTTAAATTTTAATTGTTTCTTTTTGTGTTGACTCCATATTTCTAAGTGAATGATTTTAAATACTGTTCTAATTTTTGGTTTTATATATTATGCACTAACCTCCTACTACTGAAGACAATAGACTAACCCCTATATCCTTCATTTTTACCCTGGACACACCTTCCCACCATAACACTTCCTTTTCCCTCATTCTCCCATATAGTTTTATCACGATTTTTTAGTTAACTCAATTTATAGTATTTAAATCATTAATGGCTAATTCATTATGAGTGTTATGATTACGCTTCCTTTTGACCATTTTTCTCTCTGAAGTTAGTAACTGCCTCATGTTTCATATGCTGTTTTCTACATACCTGAAAATAAGTTGTTTTAAATACTCCACCATAAATGTAAATCTCAGTGTCTATAGACCCACAGGTAATTGATCTGTTTCATTAGTATTTTTCTGTATACACTCTCCCTTCCTGGCGCCTTATATTCTCCTATTCCAGTTAGGACTGGTTATACTCTAGGCCTTCAGGGATCTTAATTCACTATTCTCAGGGAATTCACTTACTTAAGTATTCACTATTGATATGGTTTGGCAGTGTCCCCACCAAATTTCATCTTGAATTGTAGCTACCATCATTCCCACATGTTGTGGGAGGGAACCACTGGGAGATAATTGAATCATGGGGGCGTGTTCCCCCATACTTTTCTCGTGGTAATGAATAAGTCTCACCAGATCTGATGATTTTATAAGTGGTTTTCCCTTTTGCTTGGCTCTCAATCTCTCTTGTCTGCCGCCATGTAAGATGTGCATTTTGCCTTCCACCATGATTCTGAGGCCTCCCCAACCATGTGGAACTGTGAGTCCATTAAACCTCTTTTTCTTTGTAAATTACCCAGTCTTGGTTATGTCTTTTTTAGCAATGTGAGAACATACTAATACAACTACCTTCTCAGACAATTAGCTGTGTCCCCAGACATATTCAACTGAAAGCACTTATAATTCTTGAGACTTACTGGGGTTCTACAAAGAGAATCAAATTTTTTCTAAGCTTCCAATTCCGTCAGTCAGGTTTTCACTTTCCGGAGGCTGCTAAGTCATTTATTGCTTGTCTAGCTGGTTTCTAACATTTAAAAAAATGATCCAATTTCTCTCATATTATTTTTGAATTTTTGGATTTATGACTTTCTCCCAGACCCTTTATAGTCATTTAGTTGGGTTTCATGAGGAAATAGATGTGTTTAATCCACCAAGATTAGCCATTATTTGAAAATTATATTTTTATAAGTGTTTTTCTTACCAGTTCATTGTATCTCTGAGGACAGATAATGTATCTTATTTATCTTTTTGATTTCAACATTTCTCAATGTCTGACACCAGGTAGGAACATTTCTGTTGAATGCTATTGGGTGGGTAAAATAGAAACAATGCAGAGAATGGATGTAGGTGGCACATCAGTCAGCAGTGAACTGAGATACAGTATCAGAGAAAATTATATTACAATCTCAGCTAAAGAGATTGGTAAAAGCCTTAGAGATATCTGGAATAAAAGATTAGAACAGAGGGAAAATGTGAAAACAAATATATTAGGAAGTAGGAGTCATGTAAAGTTGAGGTGATAGATCTAAGCACTGTAATTCCTCATTTTGAATCTAGAAAAAATATTATTTTGTATCCTTTTAATAAAAATATTTTTCCAGTGCCTATATAATTCTAAATTAAAAGCACAAAATGTTTTTTTTTCCCATATGGGTTTCCTTTGTGCTTAAGAAATGGTTCTTCAAATAGTACATATGTAGCAAAGAAAGGTATTATTCTTAAGAAAACACTCTTAAAATTCTTAACACTTAACCTCAGATACTGGTGCCTATGTATATTAATATGCAAAATAAATGCCAGTGTCCCCTAAGGACAGGGTCTGTTTAATGACAATAGCCCAACTCGTCTATGCTGACACCAAAGTAGTGTATACAAATCACATTCTTCTCTTCTTTATCATTACAAGATCTCTTAGCTCTGACCAATTTACTGCTCTGCAACCATTTTTGCCAACTAATGAAATTAAGTTTTAATCTGAAACTCTTAGAAAATGACTTACAGCCAATCAAGTCAGTCAAATTGAACAAATATATAAGTTATCAAAGGAAACAAAAGCTTTCTTTTTTTTATTTCATCACATGCCTTCTAAAGGCCCACAATTATAGAGATGTCTAATCTCACTTCCCTTGAACATTGAGTTTCACAGAGGATAATAATCACCAACTATCTCTGGCAAGTAATTTCCCAACATTTTCATTTCATCAAGTGTCCTAAAGTCATGTTTCTAATACACCGGATTTTATCTTGTGAATTTGAGGCAGTTAAAATAAATTCCACAAAAAGCTAAAAAAATGCCAGTAGTTATTCAAAACCAGCTTTAGTGTTTTGATATATTTTTTACAGTCTCTCCTTTGAATTATGAACACAGATTCCTTAGCTATTCCAGGCTACCTGTACTATATTCAGAAATCCAAGCAAATACTATTCTCCAGCAGTCACTCATTATAATTTGCTTTAATGAAACAGTGGATGAATTAAAACTATGTTATAAACATTTTGATAGGCCAACGGACTTTGATTCAACAAGATTATGGCTCTTGTTATGGTTTCTAGGAAAAAAGTATTAAAACCATAAGATTAAGAGCTAAGAGGGAGCACGGATGATCAATGATACTAAGGGAAAACCAGGACACAGAGAATACATGAAGTCTCCTCACATGTGCAAGAAATATTTACTGTGAAGAATGTCTGAGAAAGAAAGTGGCTGAAGACAGTAAGGTACATCGCTGGGAGTGAGATGATCCAAGTTTTAATCTCAACTCAGAAACTAAACTCAATGCGATGTAGAGTAATATTTGTTTCTTCATCCTCAGAGTTAGAATAGGTACGTTCTAAGGACCAGCCGGCCTGATCTCCAGTGATTCTACACCTGGTTCGTTCTTCCCATCTGATTATCTCATTGCCAATATGAACCAGCTTTTTTAAGCACCACCCTTGCCATAAATACTGCCTACCATGTGTATCTCATCACCACCACATTTCATGAGTATTTTTCTTCCAATATGAGGATATTAATTCACAAATCCCAGGCCTTGAGATATACTGAGCTCTATGGAACATGCTGGCACTCTTAAAATGGAAGAGTTTGAGTTGACCTGTGTACAACATAGCAACACACATAGGCAGAACTCCAGGGCTGAAAGACCTAACATCTCAACCAGTGTCTACTGTAACAAGGAAGTGTGACTGGTGCCTGAACCTTTAACCTCCAACATTTTAAATACTTCATTTCACCCCCTTCTTGTTTGCATAGTTTCTGAAAAGAAGACTAATGTAATACTTATCCTTGTTCCTCTCTAGTTAAGTTTCCTTTTCTCCTTTATTGCTTCTTTCAAAATTTTCTCTGTCTTTGATTTTCTGTTTTTGAATATTATATACCTATGTATAGATGTTTTACTCTTTACTATGCATGGTATTTTCTGAGCTTCCTGGATTTGTGATTTGGCATCTGTTACTAATTTTGGAAAAATCTCAGTCATTATTTAAACTTCAAATATTTCTTCTCTTCCTTTCTTTCTTGTTTCTTTTTATGGTATTTCCATTATGTGTAATGTTATTCTTTTTGTAGTTGTCCTGCACTTTGGGGTTGTTCTGTTCTTTTTTTTTCCATTTTTTTTCCCTTTGCTCTTCAGTTTCGGAAGTTTTTATTGACGTATCTTCAAGCTCACTGACTCTTTCCTCTGACATGCCTAGTATACTGATGAAATTATCAAAAACATTTTTAAAATTTTTATTACTGTATTTTACATTTCTAGCATTACCTTTTCATTCTTTCCTAGAAATTTCTTCTCTCTGCTTATCATATCTGTTTATTCATGTATGTTGTATGCTTTTCCTGTTAAAGTCCTTATAATATTAATCATAGTTATTTTACATTTCTGATCCGATAATTCCAAAATCTCTGCCGCATTTGAATCTTGTTCTGTTGCTTGCTTTGTTTCTTCACACTTTGTCTTTTACCTTTTAACATACATTGTAATTTTTTTTTTGATAGCTGGACATAAAAGGAAGTAAAGTAAATAGGCCTTTTATGTAAGGTATTATGTTTATCTGGCTAGAAGTTAGGCTGCATTTATTGTTTGTTGTAGCTATTTGGGTCAAAGGCTGAAATGTCCTGTAATGTCCTTGTTTTGGTCTCCCCTATTATTATTGGATCTCCCTAGACACCACTTCTTAAATAGGGTCTGAGGTTTACAGTTCATTCACTATAATCTCCTGTTATCATACAGGATCCTGATTCATCTGATGGTAGTGTAGAGTGAGGGGAAACATCCTCTAGTATCATAATTAGGTCTCAGCCTTTTAGCAACTTGTGCTTCTCAGTTATCAACTTCACAAATGCTTCTTAGCCCCTACCTGAACTTAAGTCAGGCAGGATACGAGAGAGAGATGTAGCTGAATATTCAGTTTCCCCACGTGGAAGGATAGAGGAAGGTGGAGTTGTGTATTGACCTTTTCCAAGACTGGTTAGGTTTTGGTATTATCCAAATCAATCAGAATCAATCAGAATCTGAAAAAATAGTTTCCCTTGAGGGAAGACTTTTTTTGTTAAAGACAACAGAATGCCCTGGAGTATTTAAAAAATGGTTATATTACCTTCCTTAATCAGAAGCACAAGATTTTTCTCTGTTCTTTACACTAAATACCTGCTAGGACACTTTGAGGTAAAAGCCATGCAAGTGTTTGACCTCTCCCCAGGACTGGGCCTCATGGAGTTTCAGCTCCCAAGTTAGTCCACATTGAACATCCAGCAGTTCATCGGTTATAATTGATGTGTTCCTATTGTGCTTCTGCTCCTGGTAAGCTGGGAAGCTCTGTTTGGGCCTTCCTGTCCAAATTTCGGGACAAAAATTCAAGTCTGCATAATAACCAACTGACAACATGATGTCAAGATCAAACCTGCACATATCAATATTAACCTTGAATATGAATGGGATAAATGCACCAATTAAAAGGCACAAAGTGGCAAATTGGATAAAGAGGCAAGACCCAACTATATGTTGTCCACAGAAGATCCATTTCACAAGAAATGACACCCATCAACTTAAAGTAAAGGGATGGAGAAAAATCTACCAAGCAAAAGAAAACAGAAAAATGAAGCAGTTGCTATTCTAATTTCAAACCAAACAGATTTTAACAATGATTTTAAAAGATAAAGAAGGGCATTATATAATGGTAAAGGTTCAATTCAACAAGAAGACCTAACTGTCATAAATACATATGCATCAAACCCCAGAGCACCCAGATTCACAAAAGAAATTCTTAGATACATATGAAGAGATTTAGATAACCACATGATAATAGCAGGAGATTTTGACACCCCATTGGTAGTATTAGACAGATCATAGAGGCAGAAAACTAATAAAGATGTTCAGGATCTGAACTCAACATTTCACCAAATGGGTTTAGCAGACTACTACAGAACTCTCCACCCCCAAACAGCAGAGTAAACATTCTTCTCATGTGCACATGGTACATACTCTAAAATCAACCATGCAACCGGGCATAACACAATCCTCAGCAGTTAAAAAAAATCATACCAAACACACTGTCAGACCACAGTGCAATAAAAACTGAAATAAATACCAAGAATATCTTTCAAAACTACATAGTTAAATGGAAATTAAACAATCTGTTCCTGAATGACTGTTGGGTAAACAATGAAATTCAGTCAGAAATCAAGAAATTCTTTGAAACTAATGAGAGCAAAGATATAACATACGAGAATCTCTGGGACATAGCTAGAGCAGCATTAAGAGGAAAATGTATAGTGCTAAATGCCCAAATCAAAAAGTTAGAAAGATCTCAAATGAATAACCTAACATCACACACAGAGGACCTACAGAAACAAGAGCTAACAAACCCCAAAGCTAGCAGAAGACAAGAAGTAACCAGTACCAGAGCTAAACTAAACAATATTGAAATGTGAAAAACCATAAAAAGATTAAAAAATCCAGGAGGAGATTCCTCGAAAGAATAAATAAGATTGATAGACCAGTAGCTAGACTAATAAAGAAAAAAAGAGAAAACCCACATAAACACAGTCAGAAATGAAAATGGCAACATTATCACTAATCCCACAGAAATACAAAAAATGTTCAGAGACAACTATGAACACCTCTATGAACACAAGCTAGAAAACATAGAAGAAATAGATAAATTCCTGGAAACATACAACCTCCCAAGAGTAAACCAGTGAGAAACTGAAACCTTGAACAAACCAATAACAAGTTCTGAAATTAAATCACAACAAAAAGCCTACCAACTAAAAAAAGCTCAGGACCAGATGCATTCATAGCCCAATTCTACCAAATGTATAAAGAAGAGTTGACACCGTCCTACTGAAACTATTCCAAAAATTCAGGAGGAAAGGATCTTCTCTAACTCATTCTATGAGGCCAACATCATTCTGATACCAAAATCTGGCAGACACACACACACACACACACACACACACACACACACACGAAAACTTTAGGCCACTATCCTTGATGAACAGAGGTTCAAAAACACTCAAAAAAAATACTAGCAAACCAAATCCAGCAGCACATAAAAAATCTAATCCACCATAATCAAGTAGGCTTTATCTCTTGGATGTAAGGTTGGTTTAACGTAAGGTGAGTCAATAAATGTAATTCACCACGTAAACAGAACTAAAAACATGATCATCTCAATAGATGCGGAAAGGGCTTTTGATAAAATTCTACATGTCTTCATGTTAAGAAACCCTCAACAAACTAGGCATTGAAGGAATATACCTCAAAATAATAAAATAATAAGAGCCATCTATGGCAAACCAACAGCCAACACCATATTGAATGGGCAAAAACTGGAAAGTTCTCCTGGATGACTGAAACAAGACAAGGATGCCCACTCTCACCACTCCTTTTCATAGTACTGGAAGTTCTAAACAAAGCAATCAGGCAAGAGAAAGAACTAAAATGCATCCAAATAGGAAAAGAAGAAGTCAAACTATCTCTGATTGCAGATGATATAATTCTATACCTGGAAAACCCCATAGTCTGCCCAAAACCTCTTACATCTGATAGACAACTTCAGCAAAGTTTCAGGATATAAAATTAATGTATATAAATCAGTAGCATTTTTATACACCAACAGCATCCAAGCTGAGAGCCAAATCATTCACAATAGGCCAAAAAAAAAAAAAGAATAAAATATCTAGGAATTTAGTTAATGAGAGAGGTGAAAGATCTCTACAATGAGGATTAGAAAACAGTGTTCAAAGTAATCAGAGATGACACAGACAAATAAAAAAGCATTCCATGCTCATGGATAGGAAGAATCAATATTATTAAAATAGTCATTGTGCTAACAGCAATCTACAGATTCAATGCTGTTCCTATCAAACTACCAATGACATTCTTCACAGAATTAGAAAATAAACTATTTTATAATTCATATGGAACTGAAAAGAGCCTGAATAGCCATGGAAATCCTAAGCAAAAAGAACAAAGCTGGAGGCATCATGGTACCTGACTTCAAACTATATTACAAAGCTACTGTAACCAAAACAGCATGGTAATGGTACAAAAACAGACACATTGACCAATGGAACAGAATAAAGATCCCAGAAAGAAAGTGACATGCCTACAACCATCTGATACTTAACAAAGTCAGCAAAAACAAGCAATGTGGAAAGGATCCCTATTTAATAAATGGTAATGGGATAACTGGCTAGCCATCTACAGAAGATTGAAGCTGGATCCCTAACTTACACTATATACAAAAATCAACTAATGATGGATTAAAGATTTAAATGTAAAATCTAAGCCTATAAAAACCATGAAAAATAACCTAGGAAATACCATTCTGGACATAGGCCCTGGAAAAGATTTCATGTCAAAGATGTCAAAAGCAATTGCACAAAAAAAAAAAAAAATGGACAAGTGGGACCTAATTAAAGAGCTTCTCCACAGCAAAAGAAACTATCAACAGAGTAAACAGACAGCCTACAGAATGGGAGAAAGTATGTGCAAACTATGCATCTGACAAAGGTCTAATATCAAGAATCTATAAGGAAATTAAATTAACAAGTGAAAAACAATCAACCCCATTAAAAGGTGGGCAAAGGACATGAACAGACACTTTTTAAAAGAAGACATACACACAGCCAACAAGTATACTTAAAAAACTCTCAACATCACTAATCATTAGAGAATCACAAATCAAAACTACAAGGAGACTGTGGCCATCTCATGCCAGTCAGAGTGGCTATTATTAAAATGTCAAAAAGTAACAGATGCTAAAAAGGTTGTGGAGGAAAAATAACACCATACACTGCTTGTGGGAATGTAAATTAGTTCAGCCTTGTGCAAAGTAGTGTGGCAATTTCTCAAAGAACTTAAAACAGAAGTTCCATTCGACCCAGCTATCCCATTATTAGGTATATACCCAAAGGAACATAAATTATTTTACCATAAAGATACATGTCCACATATGTTCATAGCAGAGACATGAAATCATACTGAATGCCCATCAATGGTAGACTGGAAAAAACGGTACGTATACACCATGGGAAACTACACAGCCATAAGAAAGAATGAGTTCATGTTCTTTGAAGAAACACGGATGGAGCTGGATTCCTTTATCCTAAGCACACTCATGCAGAAACAGAAAACTAAATATCACACATTCTCACTTATGAGTAATAGCTAAACACTGAGTACACATGGACACAAAGAAGGGAAAAACAGACACTGGGTCCTACTGGAGGGTAGAGGGTGAGAAGAGGGTAAGGATTAAAAAACTATCTATTGAGTACTATGCTTATTACATGGGTGATAAAATAATCGGTACACCAAACCTCTGTGGCATGTAAGCATTTATTTTCTTGAACCTCATAATGCAAATCCTTAGAGCTCACTAGCAGTTATTTGAACCAAAGAAGTGGAAAGTGCAAAGCTCTTGAGGGGAGCAGGTTCCTGTGCTTCTGAGGGGGCAGTGTGTCTGGAGACACATTGAGATTGGGATAGGGAGAAGAGAAGGCAATGTTGTCTGAGGTGTCTGCGGGGCCTCAATTATAAAAGAACTTGAGGTCTTATTAAGGACTTAGGTTTATTCTGAGTGAAATAGAGGCACTGGAAGATTTTCAGCAAAAGGAACACAGGATCTGACTAGTGTCTTAACAGTATCACTCTGGCTGCTTGCCATGATAAGAACAGACTGAAGGGAGATGAGGGAAGACGTAGGGAGGATAGTGAGGAGGCTCCGACAGTAGTCCAAGAGAGAGGATGGTGGGTTGGGTTGTTGGGATGCAGCGTTGCTTCTCACTAAAATCCTGGGAGGTTGGTACCTACACTTGTCTTTCAAACTGCATGTCACAAGGGTTTGGTGTACAGATTATTTATTTAAAAACTATACATGTACCCTGAACATAAAATAAAAGTTTTAAAAAAAGAAAGCTACAGAAAACATCAGGAAGAGCAGTGGAACACTATCAGAAAAAGAAAATATATTTCATTCCAAAAAAAAAAAATGCCAGCTCTTTTTTCTCTTGGGAGGGCAAAAAAGGGAATGAGCCGACAATATATCTTCTCACCCACTTAGACTTCCAACTTTCCCTATTCATTGTCTCTGTGAGCCAAAGCCAAGTCTCATTTAGTTGTTTCTCTCTGGAGGGGGACCAGGTAGTGTAATAGAAAGACCACAGGGCTAAAAAGCAGCAGGTCTGAGCTCCGGACAATTCAGCCATTTGCCAATTGTGTCACTCTGGGAAAATCTCCACAAATCCCCTATAAATGTGTGACAGTAAAGCAAACCATTCAGGTTTGTTTGGAGAATTAGAGGCTGGAAAGAGAGAAAGGACAAAGCATTGCTTTCCTATTCTCTCTGCATTGACACAGCCTTTGGAAGTAGCTACTTCTTCCACAGTTATACTACAAAGCAGCTCTTCTTACAAGACTTCTGCTCTTTATTGGTCCCCATAATAGTGTGTTCTCTTCTCATACCTTCCTGCTTTTCTTGTCTGTAGTGACCTCCCTTTCCTTCTTCGTTCCCTTAACTCTGCCCAAATTCTGCGAGGTCTTCATAAAAATCCCTTAAATAAGTCACATGGGATGAATTATGTTTCTTGGGGACACTTTTACTGATACCTGAGCCTTCAAAATGACTGAATGTGGGGAGTGAAAGAAAGAGAGGCGTAGGCACCCACCTCCTAGGATTTGAATGAGCAGTGATGCTGTGTTCCAACAACACAACCCACCATCCTCTCTCTGGGACTACTGCCGGAGCCTCCTCGCTACTCTCCCCACATCTTCCCTCGCCTCCCTTCAGTCGGTTCTTACCAAGACAGGCAGCCAGAGTGGTCCTGTTAAGATGCAAGTTAGATCCTGTCTTCCCTTTGCTGAAAATCTTCCAATGCCTCCTACCTCACTCAAAATAAGCCGTATCTCCTTAATAAGTCGCTTTATAATCCAGCCCCCCAGAAATCTCAGACAACATTGCCTTCTCCTCTCCCTATTCCAGTCTCAATGTGTCTCCAGACGTACTGTTTCCTCAGAAGCATGGAACGTGCTCACCTCAAGACCTCTGCTCTTACCACTTGTTGGTCCAGATAACTGCTAGGGATTTGTATTATCAGGTTCAAGAAAATAAATGCGTGGTTCCACTCATTATCTCAGCATTATTATTTCAGAAGAATAGTTCACACATATTATTAGATTAAATTTTATTCACCTAAATTGCGTTTGAGAAAATTTCTTTATTATCCATTTTGAGTAACGAGTGGGAATCCTAGGAGGTGCTCGAGCAACACCAGGTGGTTACTGCCATGAAAAGGGATGTGAGTCCCTCTGGGGAGGCAGGACTGGAAAAATCTGAGGAGTAGTCAGTGAATTTCTATACTGTGTAAAATAAAGGGAAAGAGAAACAAAACAAAAACTCCAAAAATGGTACTGGCCCAACCATGATGGGAATGGGTATTAGAGAAACGTTCAGAAGTCCTAACTTTATTTCACTTCTTTTAATCCTCTCTCCACCCAGCTTTCACCGATCCACTCTATGGCATTGGAAAATAAATGCTTGGTTCATTTCCATCAGTCAGCTTCACTAGAAACTACTAGGTTGGTTCATTCACTTTCAAAGTCACTTCTAGATCCATGAAACCATATGAGTCATCCTAAAATCTCTCATGGACATATTTCCTTAATGTGTGATCTATAAGTCCAACACCATGAGGGAGGCTCTCAGGGTCGGGCTGGTTCAGGTTATTTCCCTTATGAGAGGCCAGTGGCTGTTCCACCAAGAAGGGAAGAAGCCAGGCACAGATGTTGCCACCTGGCCACTCATCCCGAAGCCTTCCCAAACCCTCACCTTCTGCAATAAGATCCATGTTCCAAAAAGCAGAGAGGAGGGCATGGTAATGTCTCTGGTGTGCCATTTATAACCCAGATTTTTCAGAATATGAGACCAGGTGAGATGTGCAGTCTCAACCTCTCCCTCTAGCTGTATCCACACCCTCCTCCATCATGCATGTGCTCACATTTTACAGAATGTGGGGAAAGACAGGAGAAGGGAGAGGAGAGTAGAGTAAATAACAATTAGATAAAATCTAAAATATGTTTTTCAGTTCACCAGAGTGCAGAGAATGGGGTGGGAGTGGACAAAAAAGTGGTATAAAGTTAGGATGGTACAAAAAGCACCCTTTGAAATTAAAGCACTTTAATACTATCTTGAAAATCAACTTGTGATGTTTTGAAAATTCATTCTCAGGTATCCTCACTAACACCTTTCAATATAAGTAATAATATCTAAATAATACCTACAAAATTTAGCAGATGAAAAAGCTAAGGGTCAGAGGGATGACTTGCTGTATCTACTAGATTCCCAGAGAATATGGGATAGAAATGGGACCCAACCCAGCGCTAGTATACAAGACCAGAGCTGGGAGTTGACTTTTCATAAGGTCTTCCCAGAAGACACCAGATTAGGTAGGAATTCAAATTAGGTAGGACAATTTCTTGTCCACTGCCTCCCTCTTGTGGCTCAATTAAATATGACACCTCAATGTCAAAATGAAGGGGATAATAGGAAAAACAGAAAAACTGGGTTATACATTCATTACCTTCATGACTCACGTGAATCACTTTCTTTCCCTGGGCCACAGACTTCTCATATTTCAGTGTAGAAAGATTTCCACGTCTCTTCTAACTCTGATGTTCTATTTTTATAAGATGTAAATCAGGTCTCTTATATACAGCCCAGTCTAAGCAAAGCATCTCAATATTGTAAGAACTGCCTGTGTGCATGTGTGTGCGTGTGTGTGCATGCATGTGTGTGTGGAAAGAGATGACAACAATTGAGACTACAGAGCAAGTATTAAGAGAACTGTTTGTATTTCTGGACTCCTGAAAATTGTGCACCACCTTCTACATGTCTTTGTGGTCAGTGGTGAACAGGCCATACCATGAGTGCTAGGAGAATTTTCCTGATGCCAGGATTTGAGCTTACCATTGCTCATTTACCCTAATTTCTTCCCAAAGATATGTTACTTTTGGGAAAGAAACTGGGGAAAGATTGAAAAGTAAATCCTAGCTTGCATTCCTGGGACAAATAGTCCCCGAGAGATATATAACTTTAAGCTTGGTTCTGAACTGAGATCATTGTCTCCTCTAGTAACCTGAAGCAGCATCAAGACATCACATCCTACTCTCTGTCCTTACAATAAAAGGCCTCAGTTTAGTATCCCGAAGTCCAACTTGGCCCTACCCTCCAGACACAGATATGAAGATGTAAAGAGAAGGCCAAAGCTTATGGAATAAATCCTACTCAGAAGAGAAGATAGGCACAGGGCCAGGTTCTATGCATTCTGGCTCAATACCAGCGGTAGAATTTAAAAAGCCTTTAGTTGCATCTGGAGAACTCCAGGTTCGTCTAGAGCAGTAGCTCTTAAAATGTGGTTCCCAGAGTAGTAGCATCAGTATCACCTGACATTGTGGTTGACATGCAAATACCCTACCCCAGACCTATTGAATCAGACAGTCTCGGTGTGCATTCTGTGTTTTAAGAAGCCCTCCAGATTTTGATACACACTCAAGTTTGATATCTACAGGCTTATAGCAGTAATTGGCAACATTGACTATACGGTAGAATCCGCTAAAGAGCTACAAAAAATTTTGACTCTCCAACCATAATCCATATTAATTAAATCAGAATACCTGGTAATGGGGCTCATGTGTTAGTACGTGTTAAAGTTTCCCAAGTTATCCCAATGCTCAGACAAGATTGAGATCCATTGCTCTAGAGGCAAAGGCAGACTTCTTGGAGAGTCTTTTGCTTCTGTCTCCATCCTTTCAGCTAACTAGTAGAAGGGCCCAGGCCTTTCTCACATTAACTTCTGTTAAGCAAGTTCTAGTCCCATCTCAGGTTTGTGCAGGTGATTTGTTTTTAAACATAAGCTTGGGACTTTAATTTTACCTGATTAAATTTGATCTGTATTCCAACGCTCATGTTCCAGACTTTTGGGTTGTATCTTCAATCTGGACACTCTCGTTTTATAAATTATACTTCTTGTTTTTGGATCATTTGCAAATAGGATCAGCAACTAAATTCTTGATGAAAATATTAAGTGGTTGAAGATCCAACCAAGAGACTCCACAAAGGATGACATTAACACCCCCTGCATAGGATTTCTACCAGATGACAATCCATATAACTGGTTATTCAGGGCATGGTAGGCAGCCATAGTCCTGATTCTCTGGTTTTCCATATTTAGGGTCAACCCTGAGCCATTTGGCTGAGACCAGCTGGGCCTGGGTGTCATCTGATCACCTTTGTTACAGGATCAGTCCCGAGCCTGTGCACTGAGGCCTCTTCAGTACTTCTTCTGAACTAATAATACAAGGTTCCAAATGTCAGATATAGGAGAAACCGAGTGTTGGAGTTATCTGGGCCTGGGTTTTTAAAATACAAGTAAGGACAAAGGATGTCAAGATGTATAACTCTGATGTTCAGTCTTCGGCTTCAGTCTTCCTCACTTGACTGTCACTCTAGCCCTGAAGCAAATATACCAATGCCATGCCATGAAATTGCCTCATGGGCATAATTGTTGTACATTCCGACTAAACACAATAAGAAGACGGCAGGGCTTGAGTTTCACCACCAGCCCCCAGATGACCGCATAACAGCTATCACATAGTCTTACTGAACTAAAGTACCTGGGAACTTGAACTCCAAGCTCTTGGTGCTGATCCTGTGAAAAGTGCAATGTTGCATGTCCTGTCCCAGCTTCCTCTTTTCCAGGGACTTTCATATCTTAACTGTTCCTCTTGTGGTGCTCTCAGAGCTTTTCTCCACCAACCACTTTTTTTTTCTTTTTGCATTTCAAAACACATCACTTTTCGTTTATTTCATTATACAAATTATTTGCTTTCAAATCCATTTTTTCATGCATAAGTGCATGGCCATTTCTATTTCTTTAGTTAAATTGTCTGGTCCTGCACTTCATCCATTTATATTTTTTCTATGATTACTATGTGGGCATTCTATTCTCATTTTCTTGCCATTCAGTCTTTTTTAACACAACGCATCACTTGTATTAGTTATTGTATACTCCATTTTAATTTCTGATAGTACTGTCTTTACTTCAACATTAGTCTTTATTAAAATACTTTTGGCTAGTCATACTCATTCCACATGGACATAAAGAACATTAAGTCAATTTCCACAAGAGATTTATTTGAAAGTATATTATATTACGTCCGAAAAAAATGTGGAATAACTGACAACCAGAAATAAGTCAATACAGTCAAGTCTCTGTCTATGTTTCTAAATAAAAGGCGTATGTCTTTCCTCATAAAAATTCTTCATGTTTCCACTTAAGTGAATTACTGAACACTTTATATTTTTGTTTTAGTATGACCAAAATATATTCACTTTAGGCATTTAATCTGGTTATTAACAATTAAAAGTCTATAAATATTCATTGGGCTTGAAATTAATCTTATTTTGGTAACAAATATTTGTATTACTTACCTCTAGCTTTATTGATTAGTTAATGTGGGCTGGATTTTTTGTTTTAAGTTAGTGAGGTTTTGGGATGAATATTTGGTCAATTGTTGCCAATGTACCAAGGGTTCTTAAAAAGCATGCTTTCTTTAGTGTTGATTCATTCAAGTATTTTGTAATTCAAATCATCTTTTTTGGCTTACATTCCTCAAAACTTACATATGTTAAAAATTCTCATGAGTACTGTGTTTTTGTTAGTTTCTCACACTCCTAGGCATTTTTTTATTAGTAGAATATTATATGTTATTTGATCATAAGATTCTAAACAACATATCATTATAAATGCCCTCCTTTGTCATACCTGAGAATTTTCCTTAGAACTTTTATTGCCTAATATTAATATTCTATCCCATGTCTTATTGTTTTGGATTTTCTGACCTTCATTTGCCTTTCCGTACCCTTACATTCACTACTGTAATAGGAACTTTTGGAATAGAAATGGGATTTTGTCACTGTGCTGCTTGAATCTTTCTGTGTCTGCACATTGACTGCATGACAAAGCCCAATGTCTCCAGTAAGCATTTGAAGTCCTGTGAATTCCACATTTTGCACGTCCAGGATCTTACCTCTCACCCAAATGAAACTGTCACTTCTCCCACTGTGACAGAATCATAACAAAGTGTTTGCAGTTCCCCCCAGTAAGCCAAACTGTTTCAGGGCTCTAGCCTCTGTGCGCACTGATTCCCCTACCTAGAATGCATATGGCTGCAAGCACCTGCTCTTCTTTGAAAGCATTATTTGAATGTTAATTTTCAATGAATCCTCCTCTTCCCAAGGGAAATTTTAGCCAACACATCTGAACTTTTTGTGCTCTCGTGATGCTCCCTATGTACTGTGTTCAAGGGCAGGGACATTATCTTCTACAGGTATTACTGATCTCTTGCATAGGTCTGCATGGGCCAGATACTTAATAAATATTGGCTGAATAAAATAACTGTGAGTGGTAGCTCATTTGGAATAGGAACCTAGGATAACTTTAGACTGGTGAGAACAAAATGGCAGCCCTGTTCACATATACAGAGGCTGGCACTTAGGAGTCCCTCCTGTGTGAAGCAGAGAATTGTTGCTGTAGCAAACCTGTTTTCAAAAACCTCTTCATTCATGAAAAGAGAGTAATAACAACAGGGAAAATTATGTGAATTTGGAACAAGAGCAAAATAAGACAATGTAGCAATAGTAGACAGTGTAATTACTTGATATGAATGTTAGGCAGTGTATTAATGTATTTCTTTTGCACCGTAAGGTCCAAAATAGTAGCATTGAATGCCACAGCCTATGAGGTATTCATCAAGATTTGTCAATTTAGTATCGGTTTCCTACAGCTTAGAAAAACTGTTTGTCTGAGTACCCATAAGGAGCCTAAATTCCTGGTGGGAGGGGATCTTATCTTTTTTACTTGGTGGTGCCAGTGTTTTTCATATATTAGTCAAGAGAAGAAAGATTTTTATTGCCTCTCTCCAACTCATTTTTCCATTCCTGTCCCCATTGTTGGAAACACATGCTCAGTGTCACAAAAAAGAACTAGCGCTGAAACAAAGGACAAAGGGTCTCTCAGCAAGGCAAATTTACTTCTGCAGAAGGGTGTGTCTCGCATATGGAGCAATGGCGAGAGCACACAGAACAAAGGAAAGCAGGGGTTTTATTATCTCTAATGCAGCTTCTGCTTCTGTGTGTTTCCTCTATTGGCTAGGGTTGGACAGCACAGTCTAACTAGTCGTGACTGGCTAAACATTTAAACTTTCTTAGATAAGGTAGACATGTAAGGAAGGTGAGAAGAGAGAGACGAGGGGTCATTTACGGGGACATTAGGAAGGTAACCTATTCCCTAATAAGGAAAGGAATGTGGACTGGGGTTGTAGCAAGTTCAGGCATGCCTAGGTTCAGACAAGTTGGGGTGCAGCAAAGGCAAGGGGGTATGTGGAATTATAGGATAGAGAACAGGGAAACTGGATAAGCTGTTTGAAGTGGGAACCTAACTGTATCTAACACCATGAATGCCCTGGTTTCTTTGTTTTTCTCTCCTCAATTTTCATCCTTCATTTCCAGGGCTCAGAG
The DNA here is from genome assembly GCF_000001405.40 of Homo sapiens. Lineage (NCBI taxonomy): Eukaryota > Metazoa > Chordata > Mammalia > Primates > Hominidae > Homo > Homo sapiens. The sequence continues at coordinate 60,260,722 of NC_000011.10, read as the reverse complement.
TAAAGGATTTTGATTGTTTACTTATCTAAATTACAATCTGAATTGGAGAAATAGTGGTCTTTGTGACATTAAACAAATCATTTTTTGTGTTTCTAAATGCAAAGGATGGGAGGAGGGAGGAGTACATTATTTATCATATAGAGAAAGTCAAAACAAAAAATGTAGGCTAATGTTTCTGAAGACTACAGAGTTGAGGTGAACTTCAGATAAGATTGGAGCTACTGGTTTAGATGTTTAGATGTCATGGAGGCTCCAGCCCCAACTCTTGTGTACCTTTGTGTAGTGTATTAGCTCTACCCTCTTCTGTGTGTTGGCTTCATGCTTAGGCTGATTTCCCACCGCTTAGCAAAAATGTCTACATCAAGTCTAGGCCTTACATCCATATATCACCCTGTAGTTTGGAAGAATAGTGTTTTTAGAATAGTCTAGAGTTTCAAAACAAGACGATTGAGAATCATTCTGATGAGACCATGTAAGGTTACATGTCCACGCTGATTCAATCATTGCAGTGGAAAGGGGGTGTGAAAAGCACATTGACTGGGCCTAGAGCCAGAGCACAGTGGAGGCAGGGACGGAGTCAGTCCTCAGAATTACATGGATCCCCAGTCAGAAGTCACAGATTGCTGGGAAGAGGAAAGTGGAAGATGGATTCTGGGCAGGCAACAAGTGCATACTACAGGTCACTCCTTTGTCTGCCCTATGCCCAAGGACACTTTCTTCTGATCCATTCTTCCAACAATGATCACAGCTAACTGATGTGCATTCAGCCTTTCCCAAGTGAATGTCAAACCAAAAGCCCCATGCACTTAATACTTCATTAAAATATTAAGGGAGCTCTGTCTTAATAGGGAACTCTGCCTAAATAGTAATGTGTGTTTCTTGGCCTGACAGTTCAGCCACTTCCAGTTCTGTTTTCCAGGAATACTGCCTTTTCTCTCTTCAACCACATCCAGCATGAGAACTGAGAAAATGCGAAGCCAACTTAAATATGGTACAACTTTGAGGGCCTACATGGTGATTGTCTGTGATTGTTTAATCCATAGGGCAATTCTTGGGTCTTCCATCAAATAATAAGAAGGAAATTAAACAAAATTTTGGCAGTCTAATAGAAAAAAAGAAATTGGAAAAATAAGAACAATTAAATAATGGTGAATAGAAAGGAAAATATAAGATGTTATACATTTAAAATCTGATATATTAGTAATCTAAATAAAAATGAATACACTATACTTACTATTTAAAATAAATATTAATACCCTGAAAATTAGAAGTAATTTAAAATATACATATGCAAATTGAATAAATAATTAAATAAATAAAACACCATGCCCTGAGAAGTGAGTTATATGATACTAAAAATAATAGACAATGGAAATTTTATTCAAAATATTCAGAAGATTTTTTTTTAAAAAGGGAATGCTCACAAATTCATTTTAAAAGATCTTGATCTAAACCCAACCAGCACACTAAGAGATGGAGAAGTTTTCAGATATTTTTCAGTCTCTGAAAAATCATATTTAAAACACAAGGAAATATAATCCCACAGTGTAACATATATCATTACCAAGTTGTAATTATACTGCGAATGCGTGGGTGGTTTAATAATATTTCACTGCAGACTTCAGAGGTAAGCATGATAAAGAAGGCAATCTTGTAGAACTTAGTGAGGGAGAGGGGCACCATGCAGCCATGTCACTCCAGACACTGTCCCTTGCAGTGCCCTGAGAACAGCCACCACCAATACAGCAGAGCACATGCACAGGCAAGGCCACCTAAGCTCCCAGGTATCTGCCATGGAGTGATGGGCCATGAGTTACACACAGTCTCACTCCTGGAGAAAGCTCTGCCCTTCTGCTATATTGATTGTCTCTTCCTGGTGGGCTCAGATGAAGGGACTGCCCAACAAGGACTAGACACCCTGTTGATCCACATGCAGCAACCCAGCTGGGCCATTAACACAGACAAGATAAAAAGACCTAATAATATCCAAATGAAACTAATAAAACTCCTGGGCATAATTCAGAAAGCAGAAAAGCCTCTCATTGCAAAGATGATTGTCAAGATTTTGAACTTCTCTGTCCCTCCCCACCAAAAACCACAAAAAAAACCCCAGCAATTGGTAGACCTATTTGGCTACTGGTATCACTCCTACAATACCTGATGTAGATCTCTTGAATATACTCATCTACTGGCTTACCATAAAGACTGTTACCATGGAGTTGGACCCCAACCAACAGGACACTCAGGAGGACCTCTAAAGGGCCACCCACCCCACTCTTCTCCTGGACCCCATTGACTCCATTTGCTGTTTGAATCACAGGTCTCAGCAACCTCTCAGTTCACTGAGTGGAGCCTATGGCAAAAGAACACACAGGCCATCGGGCTTTGGATTCATAAACGTAACTCCCCACCCCTTAAGTCTGGGCTGTGAATAGTGACTTCCTTCCAAAGAATACAGAATGTAAAGGGGAATAAAAAGAGTAAATTTACAGTGAAGAAGCCTGACATCACTACCTCAACCAAGTGACTAAGAGTAACAGTGGTAAGTCATGTTGATAGTGTGGGCTGTTGATGGGATGTGATGATACTGGCTCTTTATATCTGTGATCTCCTTCCACAAAACCCAAACATCAGTCTAATCATGAGAAAAATATCAGGTAACTTCCAGTTGAGGGAGTTTCTACAAAACACGTCACCAGTACTCCTCAGAACTCTCAAAGTTATAAAACACAAAGAAGGTACGAAAAACTGTCACAGCCTAGAGGGGCCTAAGGAGATGGACACCTAAGTGGAATGCTGCACCTTGGATGGGATCCTGGAACAGAAAAGAACATTAGATCAGAATCTAAGGAAATCTTGATAAGAAAGTGTGGACTTCAGTTAGCAATAATGTTCAATATTGGTTCATTAATGGTGCATCATACATTAGTAAGATGTTCATAATTGGAGAAACTGGGTGTGGGGCACAGGAGAACTCTCTGCTCCCTTCACAAGTCTTCTGTAAGTCTAAAACTTTTCTGATAGAAAAGTTTATTTAAGATATTTTAATTTTTCTTTTGTTTTTTCACTCTGTTCTGCTAAACCATGTTGTCCAACATAGTTCACTAAAATAAGACAAAACTTTCCAATTCTACATTATAAACAATATAATTATGCTACACAGTTTGGTGTAAATTCTCTTTCATTACCAGGTTCCCAGGAAGAAATAAAACAAAAAATTAGGCTGGACACGGTGACTCAGCCCTGTAATCCCAGCACTTTGGGAGGCCAAAGCAGGTAGCTCACCTGAGGTCAGAAGTTTGAGACCAGCCAGGCCAACATGGTGAAACCCAAGCTCTACTAAAAATATAAAAATTAACTGGGTGTGGTGATGTGCACCTGTACTCTCAGCTACTTTGGAGGCTGAGGCAGGAGAACTGCTTGAACCTGGGAGGTGGAAGTCACAGTGGGCCAAGATCAAGTCACTGCACTCCAACCTGGGCAACAGACAAGACTCTGTCTCAAAAATAAATAAAATAAAATAAAATAAAATAAAATAAAATAATTAAAAAAATAAAATAAACTCCTTTACCCTGGGAGTTAAAAAAACACTCCCAAAATCATCCTGCTTCATTTTTTGGTTTTGCTACTTTTCATTCAGTGATATCCCTCAAATTCTGCATGGGGTTAAGGATGGTTTTCTTTTTTAGCAGTATTCCAACTTTTCTTAGTACCAGCTTCACATTTGCAAAATGTAGATGATGACAGTAATATCAAGCTTCTTAAACAGTTAGCCCAGGGAAAATTATGTACCAGACCCAATACTTAATCTATACCCATGATATTATTTCCAAACACCAAAGCAATAACTCAGGAGTATCTGAAGGAAGGAGGGTAGACGGAGAAAAAGAAACCTTGATTTTCAATCTCAAGGATGACAATCAACTCCAGATTTTCAGAGTCAATGATTTGTGTTAAAATCAATTAACCCTGAATTCAGGCACCTTTTCATGCTGCCATCAGTGGAGGACGGAGAAATCAGTGTGTGCATATTATATTCTCTTTCAGAGCATGGCCTTTGAGATATTATTGTCAATGAAAAGAGTCAAACTCTAAAATATTTGAAGAGATTTATTCCGAACCAAATATGAGTGACCATGGCCTGTGACACAGCCATCAGGAGATCCTCGGAACATGTGCCCAAGGTGGTCAGGGTGCAGCTTGGTTTTATACATTCTAGGGAGTCACGGGACATCAATCAAATACATTTAAGAAAGATATTGCTTTTTTCCAGAAAGGTGAGACAACTCGAAGCAAGAGGCAGGTTGTGGGGGCTTCCAGGCCATAGGTAAATGTAAACATTTTCTGGTTGATAATTGGTTGAGTTTATTCAAAGATCTGGAATCAATAGAAAGGAATATCTGGTTTGTGATAAGTGGTTGTGGAGACCAAAGTTTTATGATAAAGATGAAGCCTCTAGGTAGCAGGCTTCAGAGGCAATAGGCTGTAAAATGTTTTTTTTTATCAGACCTAAAGTCTGTGTTGATGTTAATGCCAGAGAGGTATAAGGAAGCATGCTCGACCCCCACTTCCCATCAAGGCCTGAACCAGTCTTTTGGGTTAAATTTTAAAAGAGCCCTGGCTGAGGAGGAAGTCCATTCAGATGGTTGGGGCCTTAGAATTTTATTTTTGGTTTACATTATGGTACCTTTGCAAAGTTTACAAATTTGGTGATGGCCCCAGGTTCCAAAGTCACTCTTGAGGCACTTCTGTCCCATTGGCCTTATTCAAAACCTCCTGATATTCATTTCCTCTCTGGTCTCTGTGTTCCTGGCATCCTCATGTTGCATCAAGTGAGATCTGTCTCTAGTGACAAAAGTCCCTTGCCACAGTAGCTATGGCCACTGTTTCTTTCAATGGAATCATTTAGGCTTCTAAAGCAAACCTTACAGGCACAATTTTCCCCTTGTCCTCATTGTAATTTCAGCCAAAGAACAGCTCTGAGAGAAAGGGTGAACCAAAGCTGCTATGTAGGCCTAGGGAGCCGGTGGCCCTTGGAGGCTCAGGACAGCCAGTCCCTCCACCAATGTGCTCCACTCCAGAGTCTAGCATCTCTTCAGCCTTTGATCGTTCAGGCCTTGTGTGTGGTGCTTCATCCTAAAATACTGTGGTACCTCAAAGAAATGGAAATGTTTCTTTTATCCACAGCATTTTGTTTCTGCATGATTTATGTATGACCCTCGAATTCTGCATCCTTCTGAAGTGTTCCCACATTTTGGAATGCTTGACTGAGCTCCTAACAATTCATCTGCTCCTTAATTGGATCCAGTTCCATATCTGTTGATGTAACATTGTAAGGTTGATGACGTTAATTGATTATAGTATATTCTATTTTCTTTTCTCTTTCTTTTGTCTTTTTTTTTTCTTACTGGTCTGGACATTTTTGTCTTCCTAACATACCCCTTTCATTGAGTCTTCAAGACTCTTAGTGTTCCAAAAGCATCCATTGTTCAAACAAGGCTTGTCCACCTCATCTCCCAGTGTCCCATGATGCCCCTAAGTGACATACTACTGTGTTACCAATGTAGAACCAACACTGGACTTCATTGTTGACTTGAAACCACCCAATCAAGGCTACCACAGATGTGACACAGGATTTTTCTTGACCACTTTGCAAGCTGGAGACCTCTGGCTGGTGATGGCCCCTACCCAGGCCTTGCTCAGTTCTGGGCTCACTGTAGGAGATGCCCCATCTACTCAGCCTGCCAGACCATGCCTGGTTTGCACTCCAGCATGGATCCCATGTACACTACAACAGTGCCCTCATCCCCTAGTGGGAGGAGGTGTGTGAGTGAGTGAGTGAGGGATTGGGCCAGCCGTTCCAAGCACTGACACAGGAGCAGGCTTCATGCAGGGCTTGACCAGGCATGTCACAAGTGACTCCCACAGTGGACTCCAGCATCCAGATGAGGAGAACACGGTGGCACCCAGGCAGAAGTGTCCACAATGCTGAAACCCCAGAGGGGGTGTTGCAGCACACTAATAGCAATTTTAGTCGCACCATCTGCAGCTTGATGGATGGTAGTGTGTAAACAGCTCTGTCAGTCCCATAGCCTCACTCCAGCCTGCAGCTCCAGGGCTGGCTTGTTCCTGCCACTGCTTCTCATTGCATGGGGTGGCTCCCGCCACTGTCATAGGGCAGAGGGCCACAGTGTTACGGCCTTCTTTGTACCCACATTCGGTGGGTTCTGAGTTCTTGTCCCACGTCCCAGAAGAATGAGGTTATGCTGATAATTGAAAGGTGAGGAGAGTGGAGGAGGATTTTATTGAGAGACTGAACAGCTCTTGGCAGAGAGGGGATGCAAGGGTGGTCCCCCAACCAAAGTTGGGTGTTCTCTCTCACCCGGAGGTGGTCAGTTCCCAAGTATGGCTGAGTCTGGGGCTTTTATGGGCTCAGAATGGCAGAGTGAGTGCTGATTGGCTTGTGAGTATGCAAAAAAGGCTAAAACAAAGGCAACACTCAAAGGTGGGCATGACAACGTAAAAGACCAATTAGGGAAGGGTAGGTACATGTAAAACAGGTGAAAGGTAAGAATCATTCAGAGGAAAGCATGCCAAACAGGAAGATAGGTTCTCAATCTGGTCTGTGGATTTGTCAAGACTTGTAGCTTGGCTTTCAGGCTTTAAACTGTCTTTGATTTGAAGATGAGGTTCACCAGACACCTGCCCCTGTTTGCCTAGGATTTGTCTACCTCCTACTGCTATCAGATGCATCAATCTCCCCAAGTGCTTTTTTTAATATATTTTTCAAAGTTCCTAGTCTCTGAACATAGGTTTTTTGGGGAACTAGGGCCTATACACAATACCCCTTTCTTCTAGTCCTCTCTTTAGAGTGACTTGCAAAATAAGAAAAGAATTCCTTCAACTCAAGGCCAAATGAAATTCAATTAATGTGCCAAACCAGTCACTGGCAGAGCTGGGTCATGCCAGGCCTCCTCTGTAAGAAGAGGCACCTCCAAACCCTAGCAAGGGAAGGGAAGAGCAGGTGATGATGCTGTCTAGTAGGAAGACTGTCTCCCAAACAAATGAAGAAACACAGAGGGGCTGAGCCACACAAACCCAAGCCCTCCTTCCAAACACAGAGGGGCTGAACCACACAAGCCCAAGCCCTCCTTCCAAACTCTGCAACTTTGTGCAGCATTCCTCTTTCCCTGAAGAGAATCAGGTTAAGGAGAGGAAATAAACAGGTGTGTTTCTCTATAGGAAGTTCTGCTGGAAGGAAATGTGAGGCTAGAGACAGAGGAAGTTCCCTCCTAACTGTGAATACCTCTGGGGAAGGAGGCAGGGGGAGGAGGAGACAGGGAGAGCTTTGGGGCTACCTGCAGCATTTTATTTCTGTAAGGAGGAAAACGATGTATCTAAATACAGAAAATGATCATGTCACCTGAATCTCGGGGAAGATATGTAGATATCTGTTTTATCATTTTCTACTCTTTTATCTATGTTTATAAAGTTTCACGATTAGCATATAAACATTACAAGTTATTCTGAAACATTTATCATCTCACCTTTTTATAAAGCTGATCCTTTCTGAAGGAATACCAAAAAAAGAAAAAGAGGAAAATATAAGTGTCCTAGGAACCTCAAAGTTGTTTTATTTTTACTTAATGTACCATTTTTATACAGCTCAGCAATTTATAAAAGTCCCTGAGTGCCAAATATATATATAAATATTTTCCCCTTGTTTGACCTTCTGTCTTCCTCTTTTCTTTGTGTTTCACTGTAGCCCCTCAAACAATGAGTACTCTTTTCAGGACAAAATGTCATGCACAAGTCATAAAGTACAGAGGAACTACACCCTCCAGAACAGTGGTATGGGCAACTTTCTGCCTAATAGATACTTTATATTAACCAAGCAGTAGATTTCCTCTCAAACAAATGAAAAGCAACTGAAGAGAAACCTCATAAAAACACAGCACATTTTTGTTTCCCAACAGTTATAAACAACCCAGTTTTCCTTTCCCTTCTCACCCCATGTTCAGACACTATGAGTATTTCCCAAACTTTGGAAACAAAGACCTAAGTTTCAGTTTCCTGCAATGACATGTTGGTGACATTCTACTGCAGTCTTCAGGGCAACTGCTGATGGCAGAGTTGCAGCTGGCTTGGAAAATTTATTTTTATTTATAAGGGCAGAAGCAAAGGAAGCCCCCAGGTTCACTCACTGAAAATAACTATTGCCCATCTGCATTTGTTTTTGCTGCAGCCCCAAGAGCCACAGTAGAGAGGCTGCTGGCATGGGCAAGCCTGGTCTTGGAGCTTAGGGCCACTGACCTCGGCACTAACATGAGTCCCTTTCACAACAGATTGCCACTGCCCTTACGGATCTGAAACTCAGGGTCAGCATAGGCTCAGAGAGGTCACTGGCATCTAATCCAGCAGACCAGACAGATGTATGAGCACTTTCCCTCCAGAAACCTATTTACTTCTTCAAACACACAAACATTATATTGAGCAACTTTTATAACTTTTTGGTATCTCCTTCTCTGTTTGCAGAATGGAGATAGTTAAACATAATAATACTCCATGATCACAGGATGAGAAAATATATACATCCAGCACTTAGAACAAAGCCCGACACAGTGTAATGTAATTTCATCAGGACTTCTGAGCTTCCTTTTCTTCCTCTTACATCTCTTCCTGTCTCACTTTCTTAAATGATACAGCTTCTCTACACTTCCATATACTGGCACCCTCTTTATTTCCTCCCTCCAGCACTTGCACACAGAGACACCTAAAATCCTCAAGACCACTCCAGTGATTTTCGGGTACCACTCTTGCTAGACAACAGAAAAAAGTAATATGGAAGGAAATTTTGCATCTCAACTCTTTATAGCTTAGATAATGCTAAATGGTCCATATGCTTTCTGATAGTTGAGGGCACATGCATTTATACAATAACATGCACACACAAAGTACCGTCCCATGTGAGTGTTTAGGGGGAACGCTAGGCAAATCTGAGGCTCCAACCACTTTTTGTGTACTTTTCACAATTTCCCAGCAGATGGCAGCAAAGTGTCCTGAGGACGGTTGGGTTTTTCTATGTAATTGAGCTCTGGAGGCAGTGTAAAGCTGGAGGCTAAATTGTCCCTCTAGATACACAACAGGACATAGGCAGGAGTAGCTTTCTGTTCAGTTTCCTCTGAGGCCCGAAGAGAACAGATGACACAGAGTCATGCCAAGGGCAGCCTCTGAAGCAGGTAATTATTCAGATAGAATTGAAATCAACTTTTTTTTTTTATGAGAGGAGTATTCTGTTATCAATATTGTGTAGAATTTCTTACAAGTAGGTGATAAAAAGCAGATGGCAGTTTGTTATTGTTGTAAAAAAAAGCCCAGGACCAGACGGATTCACAGCCAAATTCTACTAGAGGTACAAAGAGGAGCTGATACCATTCTTTCTGAAACTATTCCAAGCAAAAGAAAAAGAAGGACTCCTCTCTAACTCATTTTATGAGGCCAGCATCATCCTGATACCAAAATCTGGCAGAGACACACACACACACAAAGAAAATTTCAGGCCAATATTCCTGATGAACATCGATGCAAATATCCTCAATAAAATACTGGCAAACTGAATCCAGTAGTGAATCAAAAAGCTTATCTACCACGATCAAGGCGGCTTCATCCCTGGGATGTAAGGCTAGTTCGACATACGCAATTCAATAAATGTAATTCATCACGTAAACAGAACCAATGACAAAAACCACAGGAATATCTCAATAGATGCAGAAAAGGCCTTCAACAAAATTCAACAGCCCTTCATGCTAAAAACTCTCAATAAACTAGGTATTAATGAAATGTATCTCAAAATAATAAGAGCTATTTATGACAAACCCACAGCCAATATCATACTGAATGAGCAAAAGCTGGAAACATTCCCTTTGAAAACCAGCACAAGACAAGGAAGCCCTCTCTCACCACAGTTAGGCAAGAGAAAGAAATAAAGGGTATTCAAATGGGAAGAGAGGAAGTCAAATTATCTCTGTTTGTAGATGACATGATTGTATATTTAGAAAACCCCATTGTCTCAGCCCAAAATCTCCTTAAGCTGATAAGCAAATTCAGCAAAGTCTCAGGATACAAAATCGATGCGCAAAAATCACAAGAATTCCTACAGACCAATAACAGACAGAGAGCCAAATCACGATTGAACTCCCATTCATGATTGCTACAAAGAGAATAAAATACCTAGGAATATAACTTACAAGGGATGTAAAGGACCTCTTCAAGGAGAACTACAAACCACTGCTGAAGGAAATAAAAGAAGACACAAACAAATGGAAAAACATTTCATGCTCATGGATAGGAAGAATTAATGTCGTGAAAATGGCCATACTGCCCAAAGTAATTTATAGATTCAATACTATCCCCATCAAGTTACCAATGACTTTCTTCAAAGAATTAGAAAAAACTACCAAATTTCATATGGAACCCAAAAAGAGCCCATATAGCCAAGACAATCCTAAGCAAAAGGAACAAAGCTGGAGACATCACACTACCTGACTTCAAACTATACTACAAGGCTACAGTATGGTACCAAAACAGATATTAGACAATGGAACAGAACAGAGACCTCAGAAATAACACCACACGTCTACAACTATCTGATCTTTGACAAAACTGATAAAAACAACAATGTGGAAAGGATTCCCTATTTAATAAATGGTGTTGGGAAAACTGGCTAGCCGTATGCAGAAAACTGAAACTGGACCCCTTCCTTACACCTTATACAAAAATTAACTCAAGATAGATTAAAGACTTAAACGTAAGACCTAAAACCATAAAAACCCTAGAAGAAAACCTCGGTAATACCACTTAGGACATAGGCATGGTCAAAGACTTCATGACTAAAACACCAAAAGCAATGGCAACAAAAGCCAAAATTAACAAATTGGATCTAATTAAACTAAAGAGCTTCTGCACAGCAAAAGAAACTATCATCAGAGTGAACAGGCAACCTACAAATGGGAGAAAATTTTTGCAATCTATGCATATGACAAAGGGCTAATATCCGGAATCTACAAAGAACTTAAACAAATTTGCAAGAAAAAACAAACAACCCCAACAAAAAGTGGTCAAAGGATATGAACAGACACTTCTCAAAAGAAGACACATATATGGCCAACAAACATATGAAAAAAAGCTCCTCATCACTCATCATTAGAGAAATGCAAATCAAAACCACAATGAGATGCCATCTCATGCTAGTTAGAATGGTGATTATTAAAAAGTCAGGAAACAACAGATGCTGGAAAGGATGTGGAGAAATAGGAATGCCTTTACACTGTTGCTGGGAGTGTAAATTAGTTCAACCATTGTGGAAGACACTGTGGCAATTCCTCAAGGATCTAGAACCAGAAATAGCATTTGACCCAGCAATCCCGTTACTGGGTATATACCCAAAGGATTATAAATCATTCTACTATAAAAACACATGCACATGTATGTTTATTGCAGCACTGTTCACAATAGTGAAGACTTGGAACTAACCCAAATGCCTATCAATGATAGACTGGATAAAGAAAATGTGGCACATATACACCATGGAATACTATGCAGCCATAAAAAAGGACAAGTTCATGTCCTTTGCAGGGACATGGATGAAGCTGGAAACCATCATTCTCAGCAAACTAACACAGGAACAGAAAACCAAACACTGCATGTTCTCACTCAGAAGTGGGAGTTGAACAATGAGAACACATGGACACAGGGAGGGGAATATCACACAACAGGGGCCTGCTGGGGGGTCGGGGGCTAGGGGAGGGAAAATATCAGGAAAAATACCTAATGTAGATGACAGGCTGATAGGTGCAGCAAACCATCATGGCACGTGTATACCTATGTAACAAACCTGCACTTTCTGCACATGTATCCCAGAACTTAAAGTATAAAAAAATTAAGAAATTTTTAAATAAGAAACCTGAAATGTAGATATTCTATAGGAAAAGTGACATGGTTTCTTTAATAGATAAATGACATGAATAAAAAAGAGTGGGAAGGGGAAAATATAGATTGAAGGAGACTTAATTAACATATCAACAAAATGCAATGTCTGGCCTTTGGATGGATGGGGCTGGGGTGTTCTTGACTTAAGAAAATGAACAAATATGTATGAGAAAATAATAAAATTTGAATATGAACTCTATATTCGATGATACTAAGGAATTATTGATAATGCTGTAAAATGTGATAATGATATTAGAAAATGTTATGGAATAAGTGTCATCTGTTAATGATCCATACCAAGGTATAAACTAGTGAGGTGATATTAAATGTGAGATTTACTTTAAAATACTCTTACAAATATGTGCAGGGTGGAGAGAGATGAGAAAACATTGGCAAACTATCGATAATTGTTGAAGCAGACTGGTGGATGTATGGTAATTCATTATACTAACCTCCCTACTTTTGTGTGTGTTTTAAATTTTCCAGAAGAAAAAGTAAAAGACAGAAAGTGGTGATGGTTTCATGAGTGTATATTTATCTACCAAATGATCAAGTTGTATACATTAAATATATACAGCTTTTTGTATGCCAATTATACCTCAATAAAGTGGATTTTTAAGACAGATAAGAAATAAAAATAAGATAGATAAAAACTACACGTGATTGTGAAATTAATGAAATGAGTGTTTTTAGCTCCATCAGTTCAGTTTGGTTCTTTCTTAAAATAGCAATTTCATGTTTTATCTACTGTACTATTTTATTGTATTCCTTAGATTCATTGGATTAGGTGTAGACTTTCTGCTGTTGATGATCTTTGTTCCTATCCATGTTCTGAATTCTACGTCTGACATTTCAGCCTTTCAGCCTGGTTAAAAACCATTGCCGGAGAACTAGCGGAGTAATTTGGAGATAAGAAGAGACTCTAGCTTTTTGAGTTGCCAGTTCTTGCACAGCTCTCAGTCATCTGTTTGTGCTGATGTTCCTTCAATCTTTGAAGCTGCTATCTTTTAGATGGGCTTTTTTTTTTCTTTTATTGCCTTTGATGCCCTTGGGGGTTTGATTGTGGTATAAGTTGGGTTTAGTTGATTGGCTTTGATTCTAGTCAGTAGACTGGCTTTGATCCTAGTCAGTTCCTGGGTATTGGATGAGGCTTCCCTGATTACTGTCTCTCTGCTCACATTTATTATGTTGGGCATTCTGGTCCACAGAACTCCCTTAGGCAGGGGCCACAGTTGGCGGACAAGTAGTATCCTTACAGCTTAGCGCTAATCTGCTGTCTGAATGCTTTCCAGGGTAACACAGTGTTGTCCCTACCTATGGAGTTTAGGTAGAAGCAGGACCACTGGGCTATAAGCTGGGGTGTCTGGTTACAAAAGGCAAAGATTGGTGGAGTTGCCCACCCTATCATCTGGGTGTTTCTGGGGCAAGAGAATGCTGCACTTCTTGGTAATTTCAGGCAGAAAGAAGTAGCACTGCTGAGCTGGAAGCTCCAGCAGATGTGGCTCACCTGTCTACCAGTGGTAGGAGTGGGTAGGGCTGTCCTCTCTGGCATCTGGATGCTTCCCAGGGAAACAGGAGGCTGCACCTGCTGGCTCAGTTCACAGAGAAGTAGGACCACTAGGCCAGAACTCTAGCAGGCATTGCCCACCAGGCTACCAGTGGCAGGGTTGGGTTGCATCACCTGCCCTGCTGTCAGGGTGTTTTCTGATTACAGGAGGCTGTGCCCTCTGGCACACCTAAAGACTGCAATTTCTGGCTGAGTTCACATATAAGAAGGACTACTGGTCTGGAAGCTCTAGCAAGCATTGCCTGCCCGGCTACCAGTGTCGGGGGGTGGGTGCATTGCTTGTCCTTCTTGTCTGGGTGCTTTCTGGGACAAGAGTAGGCTATGGCTACTGGCCAAGTCCAGGCAGAAGTGGAAATGCTGGGTAGGAAGGTGGCACAAGGAATATTATGTGGAGATTATTTCAGAACCCTACAACAGTCCCTAATCAAGAGAGGCAAGAGCTAAAGGAATCAGGAACCCTAGGAGGGCTATGGGACTGCAAGTGTCTTTTCTTGGTAGAAGGCCCAACAGTTAGCTCAATTGTCTGTGTTAAATGTCTGGTAGTTTGTCATTGATACCTTCTGTTACATACCCTCTATGCTCCATCAATCGTATTCTAATCCTACACAAGCATTTTTTAACTCTGTATTTCTCCCACCTCCTCAAGCCAAGCCATCATCTTATTTTTATCAAGAATATTGCTTACAGCCTCTGAATGTTCCCTGGTTTTTTATGTATTCTGGATATATATCCTTTCTTAATTACATGTATTAAAATATTATCTAATATTCTGTGGGTTGTCAACTTTTGCTATGTATATTTAGAGGTTCTGTTATTAAATATATACACACTTAAAATGATTACATCTTTCTGAAGATTGTACTATTTTTATAATTAAAAATTAATCCCTTTGCTCATCAGTAACATATTTTGCTCTAAGGTCAATTTTCTCTGATCAGTTTTTTTTGGGTTAAGGTTTGCTCGATACATCATTTCTCATCCTTGTACTTTACAGTTTTTGTATGCATTAAAATTTACTTCTTTTTAACAGTAATTAGTTCAGTTTTGACCTTTTAAAATTTTATCTGAAATATTTGTATTTTATTACATATGACGTATTTATTTATATATTTGGGATTAAATCTACCATCACACTATTGACTTTCCTGGAGGAAATAAATGTTCTAAATGTTATTAGAATTTGATAAATTAAATACACATGCTTTAATTTTTAGGATTACAAGAACACACAATGAAAGACTTTATAAGTACTAAAATTAATTAGAGGGAGAAATAATGCAATAAAGGGGTATATAGAACCTTCAATCAAAAAAATAGAAAACATTTTTCGTTTGTTCATTTGTTTGTTGTATTTGGTTTCTCTGTTTTACGATATTGATTTTCTTAAATATTCAGTGTTCATTTACACTTTCATTTGGTAATTTCTCCTATCATGTCAGGGAATGTAGGTCTTGCTTACCATAGCTTACATCGGGTGACTGTGAGAGAAGAGGGGGCATAAAGCCAGGTTATACATACAGATTGGTTGTGATGTAGTTGAGAGAAAGCCCCTTCCTTCTCCAGACTAAGGTGACCTCTGTGTCTTCATCATCAGGATCCCAGCTCTAAAGAGTGAGCGCAGGACTTTCATTTGGGAATCAATTCCATAATATTCTCTGCTTTTTGCTTTTCCTTTATACCTTGTGAATGGAAGCTTAGACCTTAATTCTTGTCTCTTTCCTGTTTTTTACTCAGAGCTGGCACTCACATTCTATATACTTGTCTAGAGCAGAACCCTAAAACAGTTTTTTGGTTTGGTTTTTTGCTCATAAAACAGTTCTCATATTTTGGTTTGGGGATAAACTACCTTGTTAGGTGATGCCTGTGTGAGGGACAGAGGAACAACTGACCCCGCTTTTCCAATATAATTTTAAAAATTAATTAACAACTGCTCTGGGCTCTGACCTACTCTGCTGCTTGTTGTTTTGTCACTGAACTTGAGCTCTTTTTTATTTGCTTTTATTTGTATAGTAGTTAGTTTTGTCCTATGCTTATTTAGAGGTAGGGTGATTCTATTTATGTTTCTCTGTCAAATTTCAATTTTATTGTTCTTTATATCACCATAAATCCTCAATCACTTGTCTGCTAAGAATAACACTAATAATATCTCACTTCACACTATATGGAAGAGGAGGTAAGATTGACATCTGTTCTTAGTCTAGAATTTCAACCTCTCTTATAAAGTCATGAAACTCTGTACCTTTGTCTTCTGTAATGCCACATTTTCCTAGTTTGCCTGTTATCTTCTTTAATCTCTTTTTGCCATCCTCTGGAAACCCTTATTTCTGATAATACTGTTTCTATTCTCTAGCAAAAAGGGTCTGATTTTTTCTGCCTCCTCCCACAAGCCTGGGTAACCTCATCCCTCTGGGTGAAGAGCTGTTGGGTTTACCTCTACAGCCATGTTCTCATTCCCTAGCTCCTGCCAGTTATCCAACTTTTGTGAACCTTATTTGAAGGTGCCCACACAATTCAAATTAAATATGCTCCAAGTCTTACTCTTTGTTCCTGCAGTTCTGTCTTGGTCCATGTCTATTGCCTTACTGAATGGCTCTATCATTCATTCAGTTTCCTAACCCAGAATCTGAGCGCCATCCTTTCCTGTTTTCTCTCCTGATTTACACATCCATTATATCAACAAGTACTGTCATTTCTCGTTCCTAAACATCTTTCAAATCCATTCATTCTCTCCAACTTCACTAGCATCATAGGTAGTTCAGTAACCATCATCCCTTCCCTAGAGAACTGCCTCTTTCTTAACCCTAACTCCCTGATTTCAGTATTATTTATTCCTATTGTTGCTTTACATGAAAACCAGGACAATATTTCTGAAATATAACCCATTTAATTCTGAGAATTAAAATAATTTCAGATTATAGACAACAAAGTTTTTGGGATTAGGCAAAACTGGATTTCAATCTCATCTATACCAGCTATATGAATATCTCTGAGTTTCAGTTCCATCTTCTGGAAAATGGGAATAATAATGTTACCTAGCTCCATCCTTCTTCCATTTGTGTGTCTTTTGCTTATTCATCAGGTCTCCAATTAGATGTCCCTTTATCTAGGAAGTCTCCTCTGCCTACCTACCCAACGTTGAGTTCTTTGATCCTCCTATGAGCTCTCTCAGGATATCCAATTTTACCTTGCAGATCACTGATTATAATGGGTTGTAATGATTTATTTATTCATCAGCATTGCCACTTTACCTTGCAGGTAACTGATTATAATGGGTGATTTATTTACTTGTCTATATTGTCAAGTAGCCTATAAAATCCTTGAGCGAAAATCATTTTTCACCATTTTATCTGAAGCACATGGCACACTGCTTGGCTTATAGTAGCTTTTCTCTAAGAAAATGCTGAGTGAATGAAAATTGCATGCCACTTTGCTTTCCTCCATGTAAAGAAGGCATTATTTTATTTTACCAATGAATCAGGTTCAGGGGATTAACAAGGTCATACAAGAAATGATTGCCATTGGGTTTGTCTTAGTCAAAGACCAGCTTGTTCTATGATACCAGCTGCTTCTTTGACTTAGAAAGGTGTTGTATTAATTATTGCTGTACAACCAACTTGTTCCCATTTTGTGGCTATTCATGTTGAACCTCCAAAGGTGAAATATCATGAAAATAAGATATTTAAGTTGTGTATATTAAGGCACAATTACTTTTTCACCAACCTAATACAATAGTAACAGTAGTTCTCTGGGAAGAAGAGTACTGTGGAAATGTGTGAAATTGTGAAAGGGGGCATTTATAAATTACCATTTACTTAGTTGTGTATATAACAATCTTTGAGCAGAGTCTGGCAAACAGAAAATCCTCCACCACTGATACCCACAGTAATTAGCACTATTATTTTCATAGGAAAGACTGTATCAGGCAGCCACTGCTTTTTCAGCAAATTTCAAAATAAACGTCCACACCCATATTGGGAACGCAAAATCAGTTAATGCTTCCGATAAAAAAGAGGAACTAGTTGTGTGTCTCAGAAGTTCTCAACACATCCTTTAAGGTTCCAAACATCTACTAGAAAAGGAGTGCAGATTTAAACTGAGTGAGGTGTGGAGTGGGGGAAGCTGACTGTGTCTGGAACAAAGAACTTTGAGGAACTTGCCCAGAGCCCTGCACTCATCAGACCTGCAGCAGACATTGCAGGCCTGAAGAAAGGTAGGTCCAGGGACTTGCCTTCCTAGGCTCTCGGACTGATAGTTTGTTTCATTTCCTGGGTTTAGGATTTCTGGGAGTGGAGTGAGAAAAAAAAATGAGGTCACTTCCCATGACCCAAGCTGGTAGTCAGGGTTGGGGTGGATTGAGTGCACATTTAAATATGCATTTGGTGAGGGTTGTGGGTGGTTGAGGAACAGTCTTCGCTACAGTTGATGGGAGTTAGAAAAGCCTCCTAAAGGCTGACACTGGAGGCTGGATGAAGTTGTTTTAGTTACTTTTGTTCCGTAAGTTCTCAGGATACCAAAACACTGTAAGCAACATTTTAAACTTTGATTAATTACCTCATCTACTGTTAATGCACTTCTTCCATGGTCTTTATTCTTTGTCTCTGACTGGTTATTTTTATAATTCAAGACTTAAGAAAAGATCTAGCACGTGCAGAATTTGGTGTACATGGAGTAGGGCACAGGCAGGGTCCCCAGCCTTGTACATTTAGATGGGCTGTGGCCTGACGTAGTTCTCCAGTGGTCTTTGGCACTATTCATGTGGCACCCAGGCAGTAAACTGAGGCTGCTCATGATAAAATCTGCAAATGAAAAACATCTTGTAGACTTTTAGCATTCTTAGGATAAGAAAGAAGCTTGTAAGTAGTCGTAGTCATTGTAATCTTTCCCCAGATGAAGTAAATGAAATCCAGAAAAGGGAAATAATGTACCTAGAATCACACAAGTTAACAAAAGGGCTAGGAGCAAAAAACCCAGAATTCTTGGTTCCTAGCCCAGGCCTTTCCCCCTTTTCCCTTCCCATGCCACCATTTCTGCATCCCCATCATCCTCCTAAAAACCATCCAGATTCAGGCCTCATTTTGGGTTTCTAGTCTATTTGATAACTCTGCCAAGAAAAAGGGGATGACCGTGTATACCACTCTCCTCATGCTCTCTTGTGTTGTGACCCATAAGGGGGATGGTGACATAAAAATGAGGAAACAAGAGACTGCTGGTGCTGCTGATCCACAAGGAGACTGGGGCCAATAGAAGAGGGAAGGGTGGTCTAGGTTACCCCACCTCTTTATCCGGGGTGGGGAGGAGGGGCGGGGAAGACATTGTAGTTGTCAAGAACCTGATGCATATAGGTGATGTGGCAAAACCAAGGTTTAGATTCTTCTCCAACCTGAAAGAAATGTCCCTCCCTCATATGTATCCAATATTCTCTGCAGTTAAAAAATATATATTTTGATTGTAGAGAAGTGGAGTCTTGTAAACACACGCTTTCTTTCCTTGGGGACCTTATCTACCCTAGATAATTAACACATGGATTTCTGTGGTGTAAAGATAGGAGGCAGTTATATAAATTTATGTCAAGAATGTCTTATAAAGACAGAGCACCAGCCTTGAATGACCAGAACCTGACCTATGTTACCAAAGAATTATGGAAAATCATAAGAGTCAATTATAAGCCTTAATTTGATATAATGGCTCGGCCCTCAGGAAGCTTACAGCCTTACCCGAGAGGCACTAAACACAGAGGGAGAACTACCAAGTGTGTTTGATAAGACAGACCCAACATGTCCTAAATTCTCAGTCTGAAGGTGTGCGTGAGAGATTGAGGCCGAGTTTCCCTTACATTAAAGAATAGGCCGGGTGCGGTGGCTCACGCCTGTAATTCCAGCACTTTGGGAGGCCCAGGTGGGTGGATCACGAGGTCAGAGGATCGAGACCATCCTGGCTAACACGGTGAAATCCCTTCTCTACTAAAAATACAAAAAAATTAGCCAGGCGTGGTGGCAGGCGCCGGTAGCCCCAGCTACTCTGGAGGCTGAGGCAGGAGAATGGCGTGAACCCGGGAGGCGGAGCTTGCAGTGAGCCGAGATTGCACCACTGCACGCCAGCCTGGGCAACAGAGCGAGACTCCGCCTCAAAATAAATAAATAAGTAAATAAATAAATAAATAAATAAATAAAAAGTACACATTTAGATGGACTAAGAAGAATTATCTTCAGTTTCTTTCAAAATAACTTTGGTTTCTGTGGTGTAAAAGGAAAATAACATAGATTTCTTAAATCCTTAGTTACCACTAGAGGTTGAGTAATCCACATGCGGGAAATGGGGGCTGTAGGAGAATGGTGTCTGAGAGAAGACAGAAACTATGCAAAACTGTTAGTGTGTGAGAAGATTAGATGCTGTGGTGGGTTTGTTGCTATTCTTGTAAGGTGGTCATGGCCGGGGGAGTGGAACATTCCTGCAAACGGGCTCAACATATGCAAATGTCTCAATATAGGAATGAAATTACTTTAGAACAACTTAAATAAGTCCAATATACTTGGGGCTTTAAAAAATAAAAAGGAGAAATTCAAGGTAAGGCTACGATAATAGATATGGGTTGAAGTAGCAGCAATATCAACAACATTAAATTTTTATCTTTATACTAAAGGTGGTGAAATGCAAAGAAAGGACTTTAAAGGGGAGGGTGACACAGTTGTCTTTGCATTTGATCATTTGGCTACAAAGTCAGGGGTGGGTTGAACATCCAAGGCTACAAATGGACACCGGGGAACATTCAGAGGCTGTAAGCAATACTCCTGATAAAAATAGGATGATGGCTTGGCACGAGGAGATGGGAGAAATACAGAGTTAAAAAATGGTTGCGTAGAATTAGAATATGATTGATGGAGCATAGAAGGTATGTAACGGAAGGTATCAATGACAAACTACCAGACATTTAACACAGACAACTGAGCTAATTGTTGGGCCTTCTACCAAGAAAGGACATTTGCAGTCGCATAGCCCTCTTAGCATTCCTGTTACCTTTAGCTCTTGCCTCTCTTGATTAGGGACTGCTTGTAGTGTTCTGAAGTAATCTCCACATAATATTCCTTGTGCCACCTTCCTTTATCTGAAAGATAAATTTTGAGGAAGACTGAATATCTTCTAATTTGGTCTTCTAATGTTTGAAATAAAAATTACCTCTTCTCTTTGCTGGAACAATTTGATAAATGATCAAATTATGGGCTTTATTATAGTGACTTCAAAATTAACCCCAGAGGGGGACAATTCTCTCAAGTTCAGCAAAATTTGAGGGTATGGATTCAGTTTAAGACCAAAAATAAGGCCTGCTATTTTATTTTATTCGTTTGCTCCAAATCTAAATTTTGTATTCTGTTCAGGGGATGCTGAAGTCTACTTATAGGTTTGATTATACCTACTCAATAAAATGTAAATGTAAGTCACCTCATAAACTCCATTATCATTAGAACAGAGATTACAAGAGGAAGAGGAGGGCCTCTTGGCCCACCTCTACATAGTCTTGTATCTACCTAGTCCATGAGAGCAAAAACAAGCACAACCCTGACTCTTCTGACCAATCTTTGAGACAAACTGCAAAAGAGAGGAAGAGTCAACCTCTGACAACACGGTACCATGAATAACATGCTCTCACCAGTTATATAGACCCCTCCTTTCTGCTTTTTCACTTCCCCCAAGACAGGACAGGTTGGAGCAGGGTCATGCCAGGAATAAAGCCCCTCTTTAGCATGTCCTTGAGTGGTAGGAAGTGTTAGAGGAAATTTATGTTTTATACTTCAAGCCAGAAATGAGTAAGTGATAGTAGGAAGACCAATAATAATAGTCAATAGGTAGTTAGTATTTATTAAGTGACATGAACTGGTTTAAATGTTTACCTGTGCTATTTCATCATTAAATTTCTCTACGAGATATGCTGTATTATTCACAGAGTAGAGTTACAGAAACACAAGATTAATTAACTTGAGTAAGGAGTGGCAGGGCCAAAATTTAAATCCGGGTAATTTAATTCCAGAACTCGTTTGCTTAAGAGGATCCACTACACTAGTCTGGCGAATAGAAGAACTCTTTTATTTGCACATTTATTCATTCCTCAGTTGTTGGACATTTGGGTTGTTTGCACCTTTTGACTATTATAGGTAATACTGCTAGGAAAATTCATTTTACAAGTTTTTGTGTGGACATATGTTTTTATTTCTCTTTGTATGTATCTGGGAATGGAAGGGATAGGTCGTAAGGCTGGTTCATGGTTGACATTTTGCAAAGAATCAGTTAGGGAGGAATCCTCCTTATGTTTTAGGAATAGTTTCAGTAGGATTAGCTCTTTGGTATTTATTAGCTCTTCTGTGGTATAAACACTTCTTTGTACATGTGTTAGAATTTGGATGTGAATCTATAGGGCTCAGTAATCTAATCTTCCACCTTAATAAACTGGAAAAAGAAGAACAAACTAAATGGAAACAACTTGTAGAAAAGAAATAATAAAGACTAGAGTGAAAATAATAGAGAGTAGAAACACATTAGAGTAAATCAACAAAACCCAAAGTTCATTCTTGCAACGATCAACAAATTTGAAAAACCTTTAGCTATATTGAATGACAAAAATTACAAGAAGAAATCACTAAAATCAGGAATGAAAGAGGCAGCATAATTACCAAACTTACAGAATTAAAGAAATTATAAGGGATACTATAAAATTATATCCAAATAAATCAGATAACATATGAAATGGTCAAATTTTTATGAAGATACTACTAAAACTGACTGAAGAAGAAATACAAAAATAAGAAGAAATACAAAATCTGAATAGATCTGTAATAAGAGATTAAATGAGGAATTTTAAAAACTTTTATAAAGGAAAGCCCAGGCTCCTGTGATTTCACTGGTGAATTTTACTAAACATTTTAAAAAGAATTAATACCCTTCCATCAAAAACTAGAAGAGAAGGGAACAATTCCAAACTTATTACATAAGGCTAGTATTATTTTGACACCAAAATCAAGAAAAGACAACATAAGCGAACAAAACTACATATGAATGTCTCTCATGAATACAGACACAAATGCTAAAAAAAAATTAGCAAGCAGAATTCGGCAACATGTAAAAAAGATTATATATGAGGACAAAGTCAGATTAATCTCAAGAATATAAAATTTAGCATTCAAAAAATCAGTGTTACATAATGCATTAATAGAATAAAAGACAAAAACCGCAAAAAGCCACCACGAATGCCTCAATAGATTAAAAAATTAACAAAATCCAATACTTTTTATGATAAAAATACTCATCCAATGACGAATAGAATGGAATCACTCCCCTACCAAATAAAAAGCTATTAGAATTAATGAATGAGTTAAGCAAGCTTGAAGGATACAAATAATATACACAAATGAACAGACACTTCAAAATAAGATGTACATGCGGCCAACAGTCATATGAAAAAATACTCAACATCACTGATCATTAGAGAAATACAAGTGAAAACCATAATGAAATGCCCCCTTACACCAATCAGAATGACTATTAACAAAAAGTCAAAAAAATAAAAATAACAGATACTAACGAGGTTATGGAGAAAAAGAAATATTAATACACTGTTGGTGTGAGTGTAAATTAGTTTAACCACTGTGGAACACTGTGGTGATTCCTCAAAAACCTAAAAACAGAAATACCATTCAACCCATCAATCCCACCGTGGGTATATACCCAAAGGAATAGAAATCATTCTATTTTAAAGACACATGCACACATATGTTCATTGCTGCACTATTCACAGTAGCAAAGACATGGAATCAACTTAAATGCCCATCAATAGTAGGCTGGATAAAGAAAATGTGGTATATATACACCATGAAATGCTATGCAGCCATAAAAAAAGAACAAGATCATGTTCATTGCAGGAACATGGATAGAGCTGGAGGCCATTATCCTTAGTAAACTAACACAGGAACAGAAAACCAAATACTGCATGTTCTCACTTATAAGTGGAGCTAGATGATGAGAACACATGGGCACATAAAGGGGAACAACACACACTGGGGCTTATTAGAGGGTGGAGGCTGGGAAAAGGGAGAGGAGCAGAAAAAATAAATTATAGGTACTAGGCTTAAAACATGGGTGATATGGTTGGGCGCAGTGGCTCATGCCTATAATCCCAGAACTTTGGAAGGCTGAGGTGGATGGATCACCTGAGGTCAGGAGTTCAGGACCAGCCTGGCCAACATGGTGAAACCCATCTCTACTAAAAATACAAAAATTAGCCGGGCGTGGTGGTGCATGCCTGTAGTCCCAGGTATTCGGGAGGCTGAGGCAGGAGAATTGCTTGAACCCTGGAGGCGGAGGTTGTAGTGAGCTGAGATCACACCACTGCACTCCAGCCTGGGTGACAGAGCAAGACTCGGTTTCAAAATTTAAAAAAAAAAAAAACCTGGATGATAAAATAATCTGTAAATCAAACCCTATGACACAATACCTGTATGACCAACCTGCACATGTACCCCTGAAGTTAAAATAAAAGTTAAATTAAATATATATACATACAAAAATAAATTGGAGTTCTATATGCTAGCACTGAATAATTTAAAAATGAAATTAAGACAACAATCTCCTTTACAATAGTTTCAAATAGAACAAAATTTATCAAAATAAGCACAAGACTTGTACATCGAATACTACAAAATGTTAAAAGAAATTAAAGAAAATTTAAACAAATGAAAAAAAACTCATATTCAGGAACTGGAAGGCTTAATATTGGTAAGATGGTAATATTATTCAAATTGACCTACAGATTCAACACAATCTTTATAAAAAATTCAAGCAACCTTATTTCAGAAATTTGCAAGCTAATTCCAAAATCATATGGAAATACAAGGGACTCAGAATAGTCCAAACAATTTTGAAAGAGAAAAATAGTTTGGTGCACTTACACTTTCCAATTCAAAACTTACTACGAAGCTATAATTTTAAGACAGTGTGGTATTGGCATAAGGACAGACATATAGAACAATGGAATAGAATTGAATAAAATTGTCTAAAAATAAAAATGGGATGGAATAGAATCATCTAGAAATAAACCTCTATATTTATGACTAGTTGATTTTTGACAAGGATAACACAACTACTAAGTGAGAAAAGAATAGTCTGTTTAGCAAATCATGTTTGAACAACTTCAGATTCACATGCAAAAGAATGAAGTTGGACACTTTCTTACACCAAACAAAACAGCTCAAAGTGGAGCAAAAACCAAAATGTAAGACCTAAATGTAACTAATACCGTTCTATTTAGGTATATTGAGACCTATATGTAGACTTTAGCATCCTGTGAGCAGAACACAAATTTTAGATATAGAGCAAAGAGATAAAATAAAATAGCAGGCCTTATTTTTGGTCTTAAATTTAATACATACCTTCCAATTTTGTTAAACTTGGGAGAATTGTCCTCCTCTGGGCTTAAAGTCATTACAAAAAAGCCCATAGTTTGATCATTTACCAACTTGTCCCGGAAGGGAGACAATTTATTTCAAACATTTGAATACCTAAATAGAAGATATCCAGTCTTCCTCAAAATTTCTCTTTCAAAAAAGTAAGGTGGTGCAAGGGACAGTATGTGGAGATTATTTCACAACCCTACAAGTAGTCGCTAATCAAGAGTGGCAAGATCTAAAGGGAACAGGAACCCTAAGAAGGCTATGAAACTGCAAGTGTCCTTTCCCTGTTGAAAGCCCAACAATTAATTACTTTGTCCGTGTTAAAAATCTGGAGGTTTAAGATCAGTCACTGTGGCTCACACCTATAATCCAAGCACTATGGGAGGCTGAGGTAAGAAGATTGCTTGACCCTGTGAATTTGAGAACAGCCTGGGCAACATGGCAAAACTCTGTCTCTACAAAAAGCACAAAAATTAGCTGGGTGTGCTGGTGTGCACCTGTAATCCCAGCTACTTTGGAGGCTGAGGTCAAGGCTGCAGTGAGTCATGATAACGCCACTGCACTCCAGCTTGTGTGATAGAGTGAGACCCTGTCTCAAAAACTTCTGGTAGTTTGTCATTAATGCCTTCTGTTACCTACACTGTATGCTCAATTGCTCATTAAATGATGACCTTCTTTGCCTCTTTTGACAGTTTTTGATTAGAAGTTTATTTTATCTGACCTAAGTACAGGCAGTCCTTCTCCTTTGACTACTATTTGCATGGAGTATTTCATCCCTTCACTTTCAGCCTGTGTTTTTTCTTAAAGCTAAAGTGAGACTCTTATAGCATATAGATCTGTTTTTTTTTTTAAATTCAGCCACTCTGTGATTGAAGAATTTAATTCCTTTATATTTAAGGTTATTATTAATAGGTAAGTAGTTAGTAGTGCCATTTTGTTATTTTGGGGGGGGGGGTTGTTTTTGTAGATATTTGTTTATTTCTTCATCTCTTGTCTCCCTTTGTGGTTAGGTAATTTTATGAAGTACTAAGCTTTTAATTTTTTTTATCTTTCATGTATCTGCTGCAGTTCTACAGTTCTTATAGTTCTAGAGGCTGGGAAGTCTAAGGGCATGTATGACATAAACCTCTGGTGAGGGTGATCCCATGGAAAAAGATGGAAGTGAGTGCACAAAGCAAAGAGAGAGAGATGGGGCCAAATTTATTCTTTATCAGGAGTCCACTCCTGCCATAGCTTACCCTCTCCCATGATAATGACATTTATCCATTCACGAGGATGAAGGTCTCTGGGTGTAATTACCTCTGAAAGGTCACACCTCTTAAAACTGTTACAATGGCAATTAAGTTTTCACATGAGTTTTAGAGGGGACAGTGAAATCATAGCATTTCATCCACGACCCTCCAAAACTCATGTTCTTCTCACATACAAAATACAATAATTCTGTTTCAATAGCCTCAAAAGTTTTTACCCATTCTAGCATCAAGTCTAAAGTTCTAAGTCCAGAGTCATCAGAAGCAGATATGGATGAGATTCAAGGTATGACTTATCTGGAGGCAAATGTTTCCAGCTGTGAGCCTGTGAAATCAAAACCAGTGATTTGTTTCCAAAATATAATGGTGAGATAGGTATAGAATAGACTGTCTCAGTTCAAAAGAGAGAGCCAGGCAAGAAAAAGGCATAACTGGTTTCAAGTGAGTCCAAAATCCAACAGAGAAAACAGAATTATGTTTTAAATCTGGAGAATAATTTCCTTTGACTCCATGTCCTGAATCCTGGGAGTGCTGATTGGGGCCCTCAGACATGACCCTGCTCCCATATCTTTGCTGGACTCAGTCCGTGCTTCAGCTCTGTTAGGTTGGAGTTGCATGCTAGTGGCCTTATAGTTCTGAGATCTCAAAGGTAGCCCCACTCCCAAGGCTCCACTAGGCATATCCCTAATTGGGACTCTCTGTGTTGGCTCTGACTCCGCATTCCCACTCAGCTTTGCCCTAATAGAGGCTCTTAGAAGTGGCTCCACTCCCATAGCTATATGTGATATTCTTTGATCCTAGGTGGAGAAAGCCATGCCCCTACATCTCTTGCAGTCTGTGAGCCTGTACACATGGATTCCACCAAGGTTTACAGCTTGTGCCTTCCAGGCACAGGTATTCCAGGCATAGTGGCAGTGCGAGCTGAGGTCCTAGGCTCAGGGTTTTGCAAAACTGCTGTGGCATATGGCACAGGTTCACTCACCCAGTTGTGGCTGGATGCAGGTTACCCACAAAGCTAAGGCTGTAACTCTAAAGCACACCTCAGTAACTCAAGCCCATGGAGCAGGGATGGAATTGAGACTGATTCTGGGGTCAGTGCACAACATCATCAAGGCTCCAGGGAAAGAGGGGTGCTTTGGAGGCTTGAGCTCTGGGGAGCAGGTTACTGTTGAAATTTTGGTTCCAGAGACAATCGGGCATAGCAGCAATTCCAACCCTGGGGAATGGAGTGCCACATAGTGTTAACTCTAGACCCTGGGATGGTAGGGCATGGCAATATCCCAGGCTGTGTAAGGCTGGATGTAGCAGCAGCAAGGCCTCAGGAATGACTAGGCCTGTCTGTAGCTTTTTCCTTGGGTTTCTTGGAGCAGGTGCAGAAATGACCCCCTGGGGAGTCAGGGTTTCTCAGAAGCTTGGACTCCAGGGGACAGGTCAGTTCCGGGGAGGTGGGGCACTGCAGCTATTTTGCCTGGATGGTGGGGTGACGTAGCTCAATCAAAGCTATGGGTGCCCAGAGAGTGGAGCACAGTTTCAACTTGAGTTTGGAGGGGCAGGGTGCACCAGCGACTAAGATGGGGGCATGGAGCAGTTCCATGGGAGCCTGGCCTCAGGGAGTAGAGAGTAGATAGCGGCAGTTTGGCTCAGGAATGGCTTCCACGTGTGCATAGTGTAGTGGTGGTTAAGTCTCAGAGATGGAGGGGTGCAATGGCTACTCACTCCTGAAGCAGAATGCACTCTAGCCAGTGATTCAGTTCCAAGAAGGGGCAGCACAGTAGCAACTCAGGCCATGGGGGCCAGGGCACAGTGTCAGCTCCTCCTCTGGGATAGAACAGACATGTGGACTTCAGGTAGCTCTGTCAGCTGAGCTCAGAGCCTGTAAAGACTCTATGTGTCTCCAGTAGTAAGACTGCAGGTGTCTATGGTGGTGATGGGAGCTGCTGGGATCCTGTCACTAACCTTTTCCCTGTAGGAAGAAGGCCCTCCTGACTCAGAGCTGGTTCTAACTGGGGGAAGGGGTGATGGAAGAAAGGTGTTTTCTCTCCTTCTTCCTGCAGCCATTCTGGGTTTCTGTGCTCTACAAGATTTCTGCTACTCCTTTGCTGTTTTCTGGAGCTCTTCCTTAGTTATTTTGGTTGGAATGTAGTTGTTTATTCATTTTTGGTGTGTGTGTGTGTGTGTGTGTGTGTGTGTGTGTGTGTTGATGGCGATGAGGTTAGTAACTTCTAATTGGCCATCTTGCTGACATTCTCTAGAATTCTGAAGACATATTATAGACCTTTTAATTCTAAACTTCTAATCTTTTAAACTTTCTTCTATTGTGACCATTTTCTTGTTTTTCTGTAGAATTCTTGGTGATTTCTTCAATTTTTTTCCAGTTGACTAATTCTATTTTCAGCTATTCCTTGTTATTTAACACATTGGCAAAATTTTTTCTGTCAACATTATTTTATATTTGAAATTTGTTTGAGACAATGTTGCAAACATATTGTGTCACTTTTTGCACTTTATCTTTAACTTTTCATTTTTGTGATTTCATTTTCAATTGAATAAATTATCCATACTTTTTACATATTCTATATGTGATATATATCCAGATGCTCCTAATCTGTGGGACTTCTTGGAGGCTTGTATCAAGCATATCTACTTCCTTCTTTATGGAATCCAATGTAAGACTTATTCAGAGACTAATTGCTTTCTAAGCATGTCTTTTTGTTGGGATTTCTCCTTTACTACTAACTTTGATAGTTCTCAGAACTATAATTCTCCAGGGAAGTGATAGGTATCAGCTGATGCATTTAATTTCTAGGATTATGATCAATAATTTATGCTGTACACCTCAAGGAGACTCTTATCTTTGATAAGTATAATCTGAAATCTGTGACCATAGTGTCCTGTTTCTTTGATACTGTTTCTACATTTTCCCCCAAATTTATCCTTATGCAATCTTTGTTTTTAACACTCATTTCACCTGACTTATAGAGATTTTAGTTGTTTCCCACTTTCATAACAAAATGGAGTTCTAATTCTGTTTGTCCAAATTGTTTTTGGAACTTTTCTAGATGAGATAAGAATAAGAACATTGACTTTTTGGTTACATTCTTACATTTAAGTCCTTATCTTAACTACTTCAATCACATTTACATTATTTATTTCTTATTATTAATTATATTTATCTTTCTTTTAAAAATACTTAACTTCTTATTTTATAATTTGTAATTTTGTACTTTTTATTTTACTGCTTTTCATAATTTTGAATGTATACATTACTAAAATTAATGCTCTAAATGATTAATCTTTTATTTTCATTTTAACTTTTCCCCTCTAGCTTTCTCTGAAATTCACCCTCCTTCTCCCAACTTTAATCAATTTTATTGCTAGATAGCTAATAATGTATTTTCATTGATCTATCAGAGATAAATACACGATGACAATTATTTCCACAGAAATCTGAATTTTTTCTGTACATAGCAAATTTGGACTACAATAACTTTTTTTTTCATTTATGTTACCAATAAAAGGGCACACATCTCCAAACCTGACAGTTTTTAGCATATATGCTCCACTGAAATCAACTATGACTTGAAGGATATTAGCAAGCTTCACTTCCCTAAAATTTTATGGAAGTGGGCCATGAAACATCTGAATATCAATTCAAATACATAGGTAAAAATTTCCATGTGGCTTTAGCCTATCTCCACATTACTTGGTTGGAATCATTATACTGAGGAGAGACAGAGGCATAAAAGTAATATCTTTGTGCTTGGAATTTCAAAAAATGGCTTTATGTATTCTTGCTATGCACCAGCAAGTTAGAATTTAAAGCACTGTAATAGGAAAAGAGATTTAAATTTGTGGTGCCAAGAATATGACTCAGAGCTGTAAGTTTCATTCCCAGAGTTCAGAGCTTATGGGACAAAATACAAGGTTACATGGGAAGATTTTCAGCCCTGAGAATTTAGCTGTGCTTTGGTTATAAAAGGAGGAACTATACAATACTGTACAATAAATTGGAAGGCAGATGAATTTGTGTAGCTTATTACTATTATAAAAGTAATCCTTCATGGGGAAGTGGCTGTAATCAAGAGACTAGGCATTAAAAGGGATAGAAATAAAATCTGAGCAGACTTGGGATTTGAAGTTGAAGAAATTTCTCTAATTTACCTCACTTCTGTCAACATGTCCTCTCTCCTAGCATATTATTGATATCATATAACATTTAAGTCTCTCTCTCTCTCTCTCCACCCCCCACTTAATGTGTTGCCTCTTCCACTTCCCTAGCTCTAACAACTGTTATAATATTGGAGGGGAATGTAGACCAGGTTTTGTCCTTAGGGAGGAATCTGCCCCAAAGTGTCAAGACTTTCTTTTGTCATTTCCAGGACCTCATCCTAAATTACATTTCTTATTGTAGCACCTTTTCTGCTGCCATGACAACCATGCAAGGAATGGAACAGACCACTCCAGGGGCTGGCCCTGATGTGCCCCAGCTGGGAAACATAGATGTCATACATTCATATCTGTGTAAAGGATTGCAAGAGAAGTTCTTCAAGAGGAAACCCAAAGTCCTTGGGGTAAGTCAATTGCAAATCTGGGAGAAGACCAATAGTGTTGTAAACTCACATTTGATCAGAGCTAATGCCCAATACACTGTCCCGCTAGCCTCATAATACATCAACCAGCCCTAGTAACATCAGAATTTAATTTCAGGCCCTTTCTTTGAAAAAATATATAATATTCTATCACATCCTGCTTCCAAATTAATTATATTTAAAATATATTGACTTCAGATCTATTCTAGGGTTGTGGGTCAGCCATGATAATTATATTTAACTTCAATATAGAAGAACGGCAAAAGAAAAGGCCCACCTGTCCACTAGCTGACTCCCCCTCCACAGGCCTTCCTGACAGCTGATAGATGTATATTGCTACTCTTTCTTTCTTGCAGCTTTTCTTAGCCTACTGCTCAGAGGATGAAAAATCTGCTATTCTCTGAGCATTTCCTTCTGGAGTCTCAGGCGAACGTGTCTAAAAACAATATAGAATTAAAACAGTGACAGGTTAGGGAAGGTGAAAGAACATTAAATATAGGTTTATCACTAGCCCAAGCTTCAAACCACTGAGAAAATGTCACTGTGGATTCTTTGGATTCCTTCTCTTTTTTTGCATTATTCATTTTTTTGGAGAGAAATATAGTTACTTCTCATAAAATATGTTATTTATGTTGGCACATACTAGGTTCAATTTTTAAATGTATGGATAATTATTTTAAAATATACTGTATGTTTTAGAGCAGTTTTAGGCTTAAAGAACAATTGAGAGCAAAGTACAGGTATATCCCATATGCCCCTTGCCCCGACACATGCATAGCTTTTCAATTATCAACTTCCCCCACCAGAGTGGGACATTTGTTCCAGTTGATGAACCTATGTTGACACATCATTACTCAAAGTACACAAATCACAATGGGGTTCATTCTCTGTGTTGTGTGTTCTATGGGCTTTAACAAAGGCATAGTGATATGAATCTACCTTTATAGTATCATACAGTATCCCACCAATCCCTGGCAATCACTAATCTTCTATCGTCTTCATAGTTTGCCTTTTCCAGAAAGTCATACAGTTAACATTATAAATTAGGTAGTTTTTAAAGACTGCCTTCCTTCACCTAATAACATGCATTTAAATTTCCTCTATGTTTTCTTATGGCTTAATAGCTCATTTATTTTTAGTACTGAATAATATTTCATTGTCTAGAGGTACCACAGTTTATTTATGCATTCACCTACAGAAGGACATCTTGATGGCTTCCAAACTTTGGCAATTAGGAGTAACGTTGCTATAAATATCTGTGTGCAGGTTTTGTGTGGACATAAGTTTTCAACTCATTCGGGTAAGTATGATTACTATATTGTATTGTAAGAGTATGTTTAGTTTTGTAAGAAACTGCCAAACTGTCTTCCCTGTTACTTTGCAATTTTGAAGATTTCAGTCAACAATGAAGGAGAGTTCCTGCTGTTCTACATAATTGCTAGCATTTGATTTCCTCAATGTTCTGGATTTTTTACCATTCTAATAGGTGTGTAGTCCAATCTCATTACCATTTTAATTTTCATTTCCCTGGTGACATAAGATGTGGGGCATCTTTTTATATGTTTATTTACCATCTCCATATCTTCTTTCTTGAGGTGTCTTATTAAAGTTTTTGACACATTTTTTTAATTGGGATGTTAGTATTCTTAATGTTGAGTTTGAATTTCGTTGTATATTTTGAATAACAATCCTTTGTCAGGTATGTTTTTTGCAAATACCTTCTGTCAGTCTGTGGTTTATCTTTTCTTCTGACAGTGTCTTCTGCAGAGCAGAATTTTTTAATTTTAATAAAATTAAGATGATTAATTCGGTATTTCATGGGTTGTGCCTTTGGTATTGTATTGACAAACTCATCACCAAAACCAAGGTCATCTAGATTTTGGCCTATGTCATCTGTTAAGAGTTTCAGAGTTTTGAGTTCAACATTTGGGTCTGTGATTTATTTTGAGTTAATTTTTGTGAAGGATACAAGGTATGTGTCTAAGTTCAATTTTTGCCTATGGAGGTCCAGTTTTTTAAGTAGTATTTTTTTTTTGGAAAGACTATTCTTCTAATTGTATTATCTTAGTTCTTTATCAAAGATCACTTGACTATACTTCTGTGTCTATTTCTAGGCTTTCTATTCTATTCCCTTGATCTATTTGTCTATTTCTTTGCCAATATCACACAGTCCTGATTACTATCACTTTATAGTTTGTCCTAAAGATGGGTAGTGTTACTCCTAAAACTCCTTCTTCTTCAAGATTGTTTTTGTTATTCTAAGTCTTTTGCCTTTCCCTATAAACTTTAGAGTCAGTTTATCAATATACACAAATAATTTGCTAATATATATATATATATTTTGAGATGGAGTCTGGCGCTGTCACCCAGGCTGGAGTGCAGTGGCCCAATCTCAGCTCACTGCAAGCTCTGCCTCCCGGGTTCACACCATTCTCCTGCCTCAGCCTCTGGAGTAGCTGGGACTACAGGCGCCTGCCACTATGCCTGGCTAACTTTTTGTATTTTTAGTAGAGATGGGGTTTCACCATGTTAGCCAGGATGGTCTCAATCTCCTGACCTCGTGATCCGCCCGCTTCGGCCTCCCAAAGTGCTGGGATTACAGGGGTGAGCCACCACGCCCGGCCATTTGCTAATATTTTGAGGGAGATTGCATTAAATCTACAGATTAAATTGGGAAGAACTGATGTCTTGACAATGTTGAGTCTTCCTATCCATGGACATGGAATATCTCTCCATTTATTTAGTTATTCGACTTATTTTTTTTTAAGTTTCTCTTATAGATTTTGTACATAGTTTGTTAGATTTATGCCTAACAAACACCAAATACCAATACCTAAATATTTAATTTTTAGGGTTGCTAATTTAAATAGTATTGCATTTTTAATTTCAAATTTCACTTATTTACTATAAGTACATAAGAAAGTAATTGACTCTTGTGTATTAAGCTTGTATCCTACAACCTTAATATAATCATTTGTTAATTCCAGGAGTTTTTGGTTGATTCTTTCAGATATTCTACACAGACAATCACGTCATCTGTGAATAAAAGCAGTTTTATTTTTTTCCTTACCAATTGTATACCTTTATTTCCTTTTCTTGTCTTACCATTTCAGCTATGACTTCCAGTAAATGGTAAAAGGAGTAGTGACAGGCTTATCCCTGCCTTGGTCCTGATCTTAGTGAGAAAGCTTTGAATTTCTCCATTAAGTATGAAGTTAGCTGTAGTTTTATTAATAAATATTCTTTATCAACCTAAACAAGTTATCCTCTATTAATAGTTTTTCAAAAGTTTTTATAATAAACAGGCATTGGATTTTGCTCAATATTTTTCCTGCATCTGTTGATATAATCATGTGATTTTTCTTCCTTTTAGCCTGTTGATGTCATTAGTTACATTCATTGATTTTTGAATGTCTAGTCAGCCTTGCATATCTGGGATAAATCCCATATGGTTATGGTATATAATTCTTTTGATACACTATTAGATTTAGTTTGCACATGTTTTGTTGGGAATTTTTGCATCTTTGTTCACCAGAGATGTTGGTCTGCAGTTTTCTTTTCTTGTAATGTTTTTGACTTTTTTTTTTGGTAGATAATAGTGCTAGCTCCATAGAATGAGTTAGGGAGTATTTCCTCTTTTTCTGTTTTCTGTAAAGAATTGGTATAATTTCATTTTCAAGTGTTTGGTAGAATTCCAAACCTTTCCAGGCCTGGTGCTTTCTGTTTTGAAAATTAATTAATTATTTATTTTATTTATTTAATAATTATAGGCTTATTCAGAGTGCCTATTTCTTCTTGTGTGAATTTTGACAAATTGTCTTTAAGGAGCAATTCATTGGCTCAAGGTTATCAAATTGTGGGCACAGAATTGTTCGTAGAGTTATTTTATTATCCTTTTAATTACTATGGGAACTGTAGTGATATTCCCCCTTTCACTTATGAGTAATCTGTGTCCTCTCTCTCTTTCTCTTAGACTGGCTAAAGGCTTATTGATTTTATTTATGTATTTTTCTTTTTTTTAAAAAAAAGCATTGGATTTCATTGAGTTTGTCTATTAATTTTCTGTTTTTAATTTTATGATTTCTGCTCTAATTTCTATTACTTTTTTTTCTTCCGCTTACTTGGAGTTTAATTTGCTTTTCTTTTTCCAGTTTCTTAAGGTAGACTCTCAGGTGATTGATTTTGATCATTATTTTCTAATATATTCATTCAATGTTATAAATTTTTTCTAAGCACTGCTTTCA
This sequence comes from Homo sapiens, assembly GCF_000001405.40. NCBI lineage: Eukaryota > Metazoa > Chordata > Mammalia > Primates > Hominidae > Homo > Homo sapiens. The sequence continues at coordinate 60,225,649 of NC_000011.10, read as the reverse complement.
CTACATCCCATAAATTTTGATAAGTTGTTTTAATTTTTTGACCCATTTATAATGCCATGAGATAATTGTACTCCAGCTCCTATTTTAAGAACGCTGTTTACTCATGTTCATGTCCTCAGGCCCAGACGTCAAGAAAACATCAGATTTGCTCTTCTTTTTTTCTTCCCTTGTATACACTCCTTTTTCTTCAGGTTACTTCCCCTTGCTACAATAATTGCTTTCTAATTCCTTGGCCACTTTTCTCTGAGTGTGTGACAAAAGAGAGAAACAGTTGCGGTAGAAGTAGCATCCTAGGTATCAGAAAAGCACCTCTGGGCTGGTTCTGGCATACTCCTTTTAACCGTGAAATGATTGACAGTGGTAGAGATGCTGAGAGATAATATTGGTAAGATAATATTCATGGTTCTTTATGTGAAAAAAAGAGTGACAACAGAATATCAAGGTCATATGACTATATCAAATGAAAAAGAATAAGGATAGCTTAGTGATTGGAAAGGGAGTGGCATAAGCACCATTTTTGTGGTGGATAATCAGTTTTTGCTTTCATCATTTCTAGGTTGTGCGGATTCTGATTGCCTTGATGAGCCTTAGCATGGGAATAATAATGATGTGTGTTGCATTTAGTTCTTATGAAGAACATCCCATTTTTGTGTATGTTGCGTACACAATTTGGGGGTCAGTGATGGTAAGCAGGGTATTTTTTGATATAATTGGATATAACATAATAGAGGTGTAAATACCCTGATCTTTGCAATTTTATTCTAATTCTATCTTGTAATTCTGTAAATTTGAGAATGGTATCTAACCTTTTTAAACTCAATTTTCTCATATTTAAAATAGTAATAATAATATAAAACTTAAAGCTAGGCGATTAAATACTTTATATAAGTCAGTTAGGATATATTACAGCAACACATTGCCAAAGACCCAAACTGGAATGACTTAAGCAATGAAAGCACTGATTGTTTCACAACAAGATTAGGGGCTTATCATTTCCAGAATTGTTTAATTTGGTGGTGTAAGGATTTCATCAAGGACTGCTAGCAGACTATACCAGAGGGGAGATGGTAGACACATCTCATTTTTGATAAATATTTTATATACATATGCCCAAATCAACTATCAGTAAGGGTAATGGACTTGCCATTACTGGCTTAGACTGATTAAGATTTACCTCTGTAGCTGGGAGGAGTCTACACTACCTTTTAGCTCAGGAAAAACTGAAGAAAATGATGGTTTAGTTAGCAAGGAAAAAGAGATGTGGCTGGTAAACAGGCAGTTTCTAATATAGAGTCTACTGACTATCAAATCTCAGGAAATTGTTACCTTAGAAAATTAAATTGTTATTTGATACATTTTGTTTCATAAGTTTAATAACAGTGACTATGATTAATATTAAATTAAAATTAGAATTGGAATTTAAGTTTAAAAACCTTTTCCCAAGAGAAAACACAAGAGAGTTTTGATGCAAATTGAAAGTAAAATTGAGAATAAAATACCAAGTCTTACCTATTGACAAAAGAAAAATAAAATTTATGAGGCGGGTTTATGTTAGAATCAAGGAATCTATTCTAGCATTATAGGGTTTCCATTTATTTCCAAAACTGAGAATGAGACAGTTTAGAGTTTTATAATAGAGCTTAATTTTTGCTCCCCTTCACTCGTGTACAGCGGAAGTGAAAGATTTGAAGGAGAGTGTATTAGTCAGGGTTCTCTAGAGGGACATAACTAATAGGATAGATGTGTATATATATAAAAGGAAGTTTATTAGGGAGTATTGAGTCACACAATCACAAGGAGAGGTCCCACAATAGGCCATCTGTAAGCTGAGGGGCAATGAAGCCAGTTTGAGTCCCAAAGCTGAAGAACTTGAAATCTGATGTTTGAGGGTAGGAAACATGCAGCACGAGAGAAAGATGTAGGCCAGAGACTAAACCAGTCTAGTGTTTCTATGTTCTTCTGCCTACTTTTATTCTGGCCACACTGGCAGCTGAGTAGATTGTGCTCTCCCAGATTGAGGGTGGGTCTGCCTTTCCCAGTCCACTGACTCAAATGTTAATCTCCCTTGGCAACCCCTTCATAGTCACATCCAGGAATGATATTTTGCATCCTTCAATCCAATCAAGTTAACATTCAATATTAACCATCAAGAGTCCACCCCTTGTCAACCTGAACCCACACACATCTCCTGAAGTCATACATGATTTTCAAATAAAGAAAATAAAGACAAAAGGCCAAAATTATGCCTAACATAATGCAGCTATTTTTTGTACAACCCAAAATGCACCAATCCCCTATACAAATGCTATTACCTAAAGTTAACAACACTTAAATGCTAATATGAAGTTAATAGGTCTTATGTCACATGGTAAAGAAAAAAGAAAGAAAATAAAATGAAGATATTTTCTTACTACAAATGTATACATGCACAAACATGTTCTTAACAAAAGAAGGAGGAAATACTCATGACAATTACGGTCTTCATTTCTGCAACTGATCACATGGTTGTAGCTGGTATTGATGACAGCCTTCTTCTACCACCGATTCTGTATTCCCTTTGCCTTCAGGAAGCACCTCAGCAGGTTGTGTTTTTTTTTTTCCTGGTGGAGTGACCAAAACCTTCATTCCAGAAGGCCTAGTCTGGGCCATTTGTAGTCCTGCCCAGATTGGGTTGTTGTAGTTTCCCATTGACCTTAATCATAGGGCATGGTAATACTAAGAGACACCCTAAGGGATCTCCTGTATTCCACACATACTTCCTTACCTCCATTGTGGAGTAGTAGACTAATTTTATCTTGATAGTCCAGGTCAGTCACCCTAGCCAACACTGTAACTCCCTTCTTAGCTGGTTGACTTAGAGGTAAGAGGAGCCCAAAATGGCCAGGTGGCAATCTTAACTTCCAGCTTAATGAAATCATTGTTGTCTCCCGGTGGCAACGTTCCTTCCTCTGGAACTAAGACCTCTAGGCCAGCAGAACATAGTGTTGTGGAAACAGGAAGCAAAAATTTTGCTGGTAGGTCACTAGGGGTGATGGTAAGTGGTGCCACTTCCACTTATACCCCTTGATTTCTGGACCCACAAATCTTGGCTATAGCAGAAACAGTACCTTATATTAGACGCTGATTCAGAGCATGCACAGCCTTCTGGAGAACATTGCCCCAGCCCTGAAAAGTATTGTCACCTGGTTGATGTTGTAATTGTGACTTCAAAAGGACATTCCACCATTCTATCAATCCAGCTGCTTCAGGATGATGGGAAACATGGTAAGACCAGTGAATTCCATGAGAATGAGCCCACTGCCGCATTTCTTTAGCCAACAAGTGAGTGCCTTGGTCAGAGGCAATGCTATGTGGGATACCATGACAGTGGTTAAGGCATTCCATGAGTTCTTGGATTGTAGTCTTGCCAGAAGCATTGTGTGCAGGATAGGCAAACCCATATCCAAAGTAAGTGTCTATTCTGGTGAGGAAAAACCGCTGCCCTTTCCGTGATGGAAGAGGTCTAATATAATCAACTTGCCACCAAGTAGCTGGCTGATCATTCCGAGGAATGGTGCTATATTGAGGGCTCAGTGCTGGTCTTTGCTGCTGGCAAATTAGGTGCTCAGCAGTGGCCATAGCCAGGTCAGTGAATGGAAGTCCATGTTGCTGAGCCCATGCATATCCTCCATCCCTGCCACCATGGCCACTTCGTTCATGGACTCATTGGGCAATGACAGGGGTGGCTGGAGAAAGAGGCTGACTGGTGTCCATAGAATGAGTCATCCTGTTTACTTGATTATTAAAATCCTCCTCTGCTGAGGTCACCGTTTGATAAGCACTCACATGAAATACAAATATCTTCACAGTTTTTGACCACTCGGAGAGGTCCATTCACATACCTCTTCCCAAAATTTATTTGTCACCAATTTTCCTATCATGCTTCTTCCAAGTCCCTGACTACTCAGCCAAACCATTGGCTATAGCCCATGAATCAGTATATAATTGCAGATCTGGCCATTTCTCCTTCCAAGCAAAGTGCACAATGAGGTGCAGTGCTCAACATTCTGCCCACTGGGACGATTTTCCTTCACCGCTGTCCTTCAGGGATGTCCTAGGAAGGGGCTGTAGTGCTGCAGCTGACCACTTTGAGGTGGTGCCTGCATATCGTGCAGAGCCATCTGTAAACAGGGCCCTTGTCTTCTCTTCCTCTGTTAATTGATCCTGGGGAACTCCCCATGAGACCATCAGTGCAGGCTGGGGGAGAGAAGGCAGTGTGGCAGGAATGGGGATCATGAGCATTTGTGCCACTTCCTCATATAACTTACTTGTGCCCTCAGGAGTTGCTCAAGCCTGATCACATATATGCCACTTCCATTTGATGATGGAATGCTGCTGTGCATGCCCCACTTTTGGCTAGACAAGTCAGAAAGCACTCAATTCATGATAGGTAGTTCAGGTCGCATGGTGACTTGATGACCCATAGCCAACCGTTTAGTTTCTACCAAAGTCCAGTAACAGGGCAAGAGCTCTTTCTAAAAAGGAAAGTAGTTATCTGCAGAAGATGGCAGGGCCTTCCTCCAAAATCCTAGAGGCCTCTGCTGTGATTCATCTATGGGGGACTTCCAAAGGCTCCTAACAGCATCCCTCTCTGCTGCTGACACCTCAAGCACAATTAGATCTGCTCTGTTCTATGGCCCAAGTGACAGAGCAACTTGCATAGCAGTTTGGACCTGTTGCAGAGCCTTCTCCTGTCCTGGACCCCACTCAAAACTGGAAGCCTTTCAGGTCTCTTGATTAATGGGCCAAGTAACACCCCCAGGTAACGAATGTGTGGCCTCCAAAACCCAAATAAGCCCACTAGGCATTGTGAGTCTTTCTTGGTTGTAGGGGGTGGGGGCAAATACAGCAACTTATCCTTCACCTTAGAAGGAACATCTTGACAGGCCCCACACCACTGAACCCCTAGAAATTTTACTGAGGTAGAAGGTCCCTGAATTTTAGTCATATTTATTTCCCATCCTCTGGCATGCAAATGTCTTACCAATAAGTCCAGTGTGCTTGCTACTTCTTGCTCACTGGATCCCATCAGTATAATGGCATCAATATAATGGACCAGTGTGATATTTTGTGGAAGGGAAAAGTGATCAAGATCTCCCTGAACAAGGTCATGACACAAAGCCAGAGAAGAGTTGATATACCCCTGAGGTAGGACAGTAAAGGTACATTGCTGGTCTTGCCAGCTGAAGGTAAATTGCTTCTGGTGGGCCTTATAGACAGGAATGGAGAAAAAGGCATTTACCAAATCAATGGCTGCTTACCAGGTACCAGAAGATGGGTTAATTTGCTCAAGCAATGAAACCACATCTGGTACAGCAACTGCAACTGGAGTCACTACTTGGTTAAGCTCATGATAATCCACTGTCATTCTCCAAGATCCATCTGTCTTCTGCACTGGCCAAATGGGAGAGTTGAATGGGGATGTGGTGGGAATCATCACCCTTGCATATTTTAAGTCCTTGATGGTGGCACTAATGTCTGCAATCCCTTCAGGGATGGGATATTGTTGTTGATTTACTGCTTTTCTAGGTAGAGGCAGCTCTAATGGCTTCCATTTGGCCTTTTCCACCATAGTAGCCTTCACTCTATGAGTCAGGGGCCAGTGTGGGGGTCCTGACAGCTGCTAAGCATGTCTGTGTCAATTATGCATTCTGGCACTGGGGAAATGAATGCAGGATGAGTGTGGGGACCCACTGGAGCCACTGTAAGTTGAACCTGAGCTAAAGCTCCATTAATTACATGACCTCCATAAGCCCCTACTATAACTGGAGGATCACAATGACTTTTTGGGTCCCCTGGAATCAATGTCAGCTCAGAGTCAGTGTCCAGTAGTTCCCAAAAGGTCTGATCATTTTTTCTTTCTTTCCCCAATCCAGTTACCTGGTAAAAGGCCAGAGGTCTCCTTGAGGAAGGATGGGAGAAAGATTAACAACATAAATTGTCAGTAGTATAGTGGGATCCTTCTTTAAGAGGACCTGGCCTCCTTTTCATTCAAGGGGTTCTGGGTCTGTAAAATGGCATATGTCTGGAAATTGATAGTGGGGCTGCGATTCTCTGTTTTTATAATTCAAATTAGTGTTTTGTCCACTCGACCTGGAAGTTTTCTGCTTATGTAAATTAAGTAAGAATTCGGTAAGCTTCCTGTCAATTTCACTTCTAGGAACGCTGTAATTAATTAGCCAATACCAGAGCTCTACACAAGTCAGACTATTCTGATTGCTGCTTTGCCTCTTCTGTCTATTATGGTAGCTATGCCTACCTTTCCTTTGATGGCTGAGTGCTGCCATTTGGCCCCTGCTGTCTCTAGATCCAATTATTTTTATTGCATTTAAATTTTGTAGTTGAGTGACTACAGTTTCTACTGTAAGATCTGGCATACAGAGAAAGGCAATCACAGAGCTCTTCAAGGATGCAAGTGCTGCCCTCTCAAATCTATTTCACAAAGTACTGGTCAAGGGTATATCTTCTGAACCCTCCCAGCTGGGATGAATAGGCTTAAAGTGACTAATCCACTCCTTCATCACAATCTGCCTAAGCCTTTGGATCCCTTCCTCTACATTAAACCAAGGAGATCAGGCATTTTCAGCTCACCCACAGTGGGCCATCTTTTAATCCATATTTCAGCTAACCAAGCAAATAAACTAGAACTTTTTTAACTCTGCAAGCTGCAACATTAAATGCAGAATCCCTGCTTAGAGGGCCCAAATCAATAAATTCAGCCTGATCCAACTCTATGTTCTTCCACCATTATCCCACACCCTTAATATTCATTCCCATGCCTGTTTTCCAGATTTCTGCTTATATAAATTAGAAAACTCAAGCAGTTCTTTTCAAGTGTAGCACACTTTCTTGTGTATCGCATTCTGAACCTCACCTCTAGGGGCCTGCTGGGACTTTAGTTATAGGTCTAGAAGCAAACAGGGGCCTTGGGAGTGGGTCCTAAGGAGAATCAACATTGTCTTGCTTGGCAACACCTGAGGAGAAGGCCATCACTATCGGGGAACCTGCCCCGATAGTCACGTAGGTTCTTTTCTGTTTTCCCTAAGCGTTGGCTGGCTTGAGAAATAAAGGGACAGAGTACACAAAAGAGAGAAATTTTAAAGCTGGGCATCCAGGGAAGACATCACATGTCGATAGGTTCCGTGACACCCCACAAGCTGCAAAAACCAGTAAGTTTTTATTAAGGAGTTTCAAAAAGGGAGGGAGTATGCGAATAGGTGTGGGTCACAGACATCAAGTACTGTACAAGGTAATAGAATATCACAAGGCAAGTGGAGGCAGGGCGAGATCACAGGACCACAGTACCGGGGTGAAATTAAAATTGCTAATGAAGTTTGAGGCACCATGGTCATTGATAACATCTTATCAGGAGACAGGGTTTTGAGAGCAACTGGTCTGACCAAAAATTTATTAGGCGGGAATTTCCTCTTCCTAATAAGCCTGGGAGCGCTATGGGAGACTGGGGTCTATTTCACCCCTACAGCCTCGACCATAAGAGACCGGCACATCTGGGGGGCCATTTATAGGCCTATACCCCCAGGCGCGTATTCTCTTTCCCAGGGATGTTCCTTGCTGAGAAAAAGAATTCAGCAATCTTTCTCCCATTTGCTTTTGAAAGAAGAGAAATATGGCTCTGTTCTGCCCGGCTCACCGGTGGTCAGAATTTAAGGTTCTCTCTCTTATTCCCTGAATAATTGCTGTTATCCTGTTCTTTTTTCAAGGTGCCCAGATTTCATATTGTTTAAACACACATGCTGTACAATTTGTGCAGTTAATGCAATTATTACAGGGTCCTGAGGCGACTTACATCTTCCTCAGCTGACAGGATTAAGAGATGAAAGTAAAGACGGGCATAGGAAATCACAAGGGTATTGATTGAGGAAGTGATAAGTGTCCATGAAATCTTTACAATTTATGTTTAGAGATTGCAGTAAAGGCAGGCATAAGAAATTATAAAAGTATTAATTTGGGGAACTCATAAATGTCCATGAAATCTTCACAATCCACATTCTTCTGCCATGGCTTCAGCCGGTCCCTCCGTTTGGGGTCCCTGACTTCCCACAACACATCACTGTTGCATTAGGCAGCGCAGGGTTTATCTCCTTAGACAAAGGTGAAAAGGCTGATGGCAGTGTGGGTTAGGGAGGGGATGTTGCCACTACTGGTGATGGGGAAGCTGTTTTTTCTGGCAAAAAAAAGGCTCCTGAGAGTTTACAAGCTCAGTGTCCCCAGCTTCATCAAGGTTCTACCGCACATCCCCATTCCAAGTTGCAGGGTCCCATTCTTTTTCAATCAATGCTCTCGCTTTAACAGTAGACACCTGGTGAGTCTATGCATGCACCTTTTGTTGCAGGTCAGCAAATCGCATGATAAAAGCTTGTGTCTGAGTGTCCACAATTTCAGCTCTTTCTCTACAGAAGATAAGACTCTCACTCAGGGCAATCTTAGAAGATTTGAGGCTCAGTATCTGCTTCTGAAGCTTAGAGTTAGAATCCCTGAGTTCATAATTTTCTTTCATCACTTTGTCCAGTGAACTTAGGAGCAAAACCAAAAAAAGAACTCCATCCTTAATATTCTGTTTTTCTAGATCATCTCCTGGTACCAAAATCTGTATTAGTCAGGGTTCTCTAGAGGAATAGAACTAATAGGATAGTCAGGGTTCTCTAGAGGGATAGAACTAATAGGATAGATGTATACATAAAGGGCAGTTTATTAAGACCAGAAGACTAAATGAGTCTAGTCTTTCCATGTTTTTCTGCCTCCTTTTATTCTGGCTATGCTGGCAGCTGATTGACTGAGGATGGGTCTCCCTTTCCTAGTCCACCAACTCAAATGTTAATCTCCTTTGTCAACACCCTCACAGACACACCCAGGAACAATACTTTGCATCCTTCAATTCAATCAAGTTGACACTCAATATTAACCATAACAGACAGCAAACACTGTTCCATCTCTGGAAAGTTGCAATATATATATATACATATGATATATAACCTATATATATAATATATATATTACCAATGTCAATAATAGCTTTTTATTAAACTCTTACTATGATCTGGACATTCTGCTAAGTGCTTTTTATGTGTACTTTTTATTTCACATCATCACCACAAACTTTTGAGGGAGGATTTCTCATTATCTTCATTTTATGGATGAAGAGAGGTTAAGTAACTTGCTCAAGATCACAACTGTTTGGTACAGGATCAGGGTTCAAATAGGGTCACTCCATTATCAGAATCACATACATGTAACTACCTAGGTTTCCGCTTTCATGTCCATTTTCTTTTCAAGATCTCATTGAAAACCAGCTTACATGGTTTTAGCCTTCCACACGTGTTCAGTAGATTACCAAGAACTGCAGGAGCTGTGTTTGTCCACTGAGTCATCACTCAGACTCTTGTAGGCATTGAACTAGATTGGTAAATGCAGTAAATTGGTAAAACCCTTTTTTGCTGCTACCTTCCATTATTCTTTCAACCTTTTTTTCCGAACATCACCTGCAAAGTGCCTCTCTTTTCTCCCTTTTACAGTATAAGTACCAGTACCAAGAGCCAGCTGTAAGTTTGTATTATCCTTGGCCTCTTCAGTTCTATTCCTATTTATGTTTCACATTCTTTGTTAAGTTTTTCCTCTGAGATACCATATACATATTTTTTCCTGTGGTAAATGAAATCCCTTTTTTCAATCCTATCTTCAAATACACAAACATACATACACACTTCTAATATGTTTATCTAATTTCTGTATATAACATTTTTCCAAGGTGCTTTACTGAATTTTTTAAAGAGTTTATGGTACTTTTTAGTTTATATTCTTGGATGTTTGCAATATATGTTATTCATACTTAAATAACAGTAGTTTTAGCCATTTGTTTCAACTATTTTTCTTATATAATTATTTTGGTTAATATACCCCAAATAGTAATACATAATAGTCTACATGTTTATCTTGATTTTGACTTTAATAAGATGGTCCTACTTTTTTTTTAATCATTAAACATGATAAAGACTTGTAGACTGAGACAGATGTCCTATCTTGTTACAGAAAGTATAATTATTTATATTTTACCAATAATGTTTAAGTCACTAATAATGTTGGATTGTATTAAATGTCCTATCCTATCAACACTGTAAACATGAGTAGCAATTAACAGGTAACGTTTTTCTTAAATTTATTTATTATATATATTAGAATATTTCAATATTAAAAATCTTTGTAGAGTTGAAGGAACATCCCAAATGTTCATGATGTATTTTATGTTACATGATGGATGATTTGCTCTACTGTTATTTTTTTTCCAATGGTGATTTAGATAACATGAATCATCTCTATGTCTGGGTATTTGGAAACTAAAGAAGTTTATTGAGCTATTTTATTAGTCCAGTTTCTTTATATTAGGATATAATTTTTGAATCATCTGAGATCAAATTTGTAAAGGAAATAAAAAACTCTAATAATGGAATATTATAAGGTAGAGAGTCCAACCAACTTGATTAGCTATTTTGGCTAAATGAAAAATAATTGCCCCATTGATGGATTCAGATGAAGTAGTATATTCTAGTTATCAAATAACTGGGAACTAAATTTTATGTGCTACTATTTTATTTTATAACTTTTTAAACATATTTTCAATGAGAATTATTTTAGTACATTTTTTGTTTATTGTATTCAATATTAATACCATATAAGAATTACTTCTTATCAGGAATTTGGAAGCTTTATCTTTCAGTGTCCTCAAACAGTTTTAATATCATTCCAGTTAGCTATTATTTGAAAGGCTTGATAAATTATCCGGTGGACTCATCTGGCAGAATTTTTCTGTTCTTTCTGGGAAAAGAGAAAATTATGTGCAATCTCTTGCTTTCTAAGATAATTGACCTGTTTATACATATCTATCTAATTTGGAATAAAGTTTACTAAGTTGTGATTTCCAATACTTGTTTAAAACTTTTTATCTCCATTTTTTTCTCTCATTCTTATTTTATTATTTCAGTATCCTTATCAGTTGCAGCAGGAATTAGAACAACAAAAGGTCTGGTGAGTAATGTTTTGTGGGGGGTATCAAAAGGAAAGGATTAATCAATAATGTATTCTGCCAGGGTATAAAACAGGTTTTGTTTGTTTGTTTTTAAAAAAGTCAGGAGCAACTATGCATTTTACTTAGCAGGATCTGTCTCAAAAATTACGATAAGGCTAATGATAGAATTACTGACATAATAATGGATATTTTGTCAAGGTAGTTGATGAGGGAATCTTTATGAAGATATGGAAAATTATTTAGAACAAATATGAAGTGGGATCACTCAAAAAAACTCTGCAGCTTGGGATTCAGCCCATGACAGTCACACCAAGTATTGGTGTGGCATAATGTTTATTGACCAATTGATTAAAAGGTAGATTCTGGCCGGGCGCGGTGGCTCATGCCTGTAATCCTAAGACTTTGGGAGGCCTAGGTGAGTGGATCATTTGAAGTCAGGAGTTTGCAACCAGCCTGGCCAACATGGTGAAACCCCTTCTCTACTAAAAATACAAAAAAATTACCAGGCGTGGTGACGGGCGCCTGTAATCCCAGCTACTCAGGAGGCTGAGGCAGGAGAATTGCTTGAACCCTGGAGGCGGAGGTTGCAGTGAGCTGAGATTGTGCCACTGCACTTCAGCCTGGTGACAGAGCAAGACTCCATCTCAAAAAGGAAAAAAAAAAAGTAGATTCCAACTGTATCCAAAAAGGATTTTGAATTTTCAATATAAGAAATTCACAATAAAATTATTACATAAGAAGCAGCAAATTTAAAATGTAACTCTCATGTCAAGATGCCTTTCATAAAGCCAATAAAATGCAAAAGCCAAGATCTCAACAAGGGTTTTTCTGGCTAAACACTATTTGAGTTTTCTTTGTTCAAAAGATAAATATCAAACTCTGGAGCATGATCAATATCGGTTTTCCAAATCTGGCCTAACCCAACTTCCTAGTGTCTGCCGGGACCTGCAGCCACACTACACTCTTCACACTTTCCTGTGTAATTTTAATACTTATAAAAAGCCTCCTTACCTTACCCATGAGAAGAGAAAGTACAAAAAGGAATACACAACCGAGAAAAATAATTTAAAATGTAGAGAGGCATGAGAGGCAAGCAGTGTTTAGAACAATGATAAGAGATCGGGCACCAGAAGCAAGGAATGGCAGGGAAGGACACAGACATGACTGTCCAGCTAATGTGTAAAAAATCATTGAAAACCCTGATAAATGATTTGGAGATTATCTCATCTTCTCACAGGAATTATCTGAAGAATTTAAGCTGGAGAATAATGGGATCATATTTGTGTTTTGGCGAGAGATCAGAGTTGAAACCACTATAAGGAGACAAGTTAGAAGACTATTGAAATAAGATAAAGGTAGACAGCAGTGTAAAGTAATTAACAGAGATATATCTGAGGATGATGTTGGATTGCTTAATTAATTTTCATTTCTTTCTAGGTTGGAGGTAGTCTAGGAAAGAATATCACCAGTTCAGTCTTGGCTATATCAGGGATCTTAATCAATGCAATAAGCTTGACGTTTTATTCATTCCGTTACCATTACTGTAACCACGATCAGTTGTCAAGTAATTGTTACATGACTATGTCCATTTTAATGGTGAGTGTTTTCTCTTTTCATGAGATATTATCATAGAAGCAAGTTTAGGGGAGTGCTGGCTCTGGCAACAACAATAATTATCATTTCCTAATTGCTGAATGACTTTGGAAGTTGTAAGTGATTGAGAAATAGAATAATCTTTCATTTAGGAGTCAGGTACACATCTCATCTCTGTCTTTATTTTTCCTCTATATGTGATGAGGCAAAATGGGAAGAAAGCTTATAGTTATAGAACACCTACTCCTTAATAGTTACTGGGCTGGGCATTTTGCATAAATTTTTATGTTTAATTTTAAAACATTGATGCAGTGTCTACTGTTATCTCCTCCAGACCCCTCTAAAAATGGCGTCAAAAAGTCAGTCCCAGCCGGACACGGTGGCTCACGCCTGTAATCCCAGCACTTTGGGAGGCCGAGCCAGGCGGATCACGAGGTCAGGAGATCGAGACCATCCTGGCTAACATGGTGAAACCCCATCTCTACTAAAAATACAAAAAATTAGCCAGGCATGGTGGCGGGCACCTGTAGTTCCAGCTACTCGGGAGGCTGAGGCAGGAGAATGGCGTGAACCCAGGAGGTGGAGCTTGCAGTGAGCCGAGATAGTGCCACTGCAGTCTGGCCTGGGCGAAAGAGTGAGACTCTGTCTCAAAAAAAAAAAAAAAAAGATGTCAGTGCCTATTCTCAAATAATAAAGTAAAATTGTCTTGAACAGTATTTTATAAGTGGTAACTCAGTATCCTTTCCCACATCTTTGGATGTTCTTGCAACGTTAACCACTTTTATCCTCAACATGTGGCACCTGAAAAATTCTCAATCTCCATTCTGAATTTTACTACTTTTTTTGTACCAGTTGTCCTTATTTCAATGCTATCTCAATTGCTTTATTCTGAAAATTACCACTTACACAACATTTTGTAAGTAATAAAAGTTCTTGATGTTTTGGGCCATTGGGTAAGTGTGGGGGAAGAGTTCTTGCAGCACATCACAGCAGACTAAAATGCACAATTTAATCTTTATAATTATTATTATTATTATTGTTAGAGATGGAGTTTCACTCTTGTTGCCCAGGCTGGAGTGCAGTGCAGTTCACAATGCACGTGGTGGCACAATCTCTGCTCATTGCAAACTCCACCTCCTGGGTTCAAGTGATTCTCCTGCCTCAGCATCCCAAGTAGCTGGAATTACAGGCATGTGCCACCACGCCTGGCTAATTTTTGTATTTTTAGTGGAGACGGGGTTTCTCCATGTTGGCCAGCCTGGTCTTGAACTCCTGACCTCAGGTGATCCACCCACCTCGGCCTCCTAAACTGCTGGGATTACAGGTGTGAGCCACTGTGCCCAGCCAAATCTTTATTATTAAAAAGCCTACTGGTCATTTTCAACACCACCAAACTTTCAGTTACTTTTCCTCTCTATGAACTTTCAGCCTTTCGCCTTGCTGCTTAGTTCTTTTCCTCACTGTGCCCTTCCCTCATGTGTATGTGGAAACTCAACACTCTTCCTAACTTACTAGACAGAATCAACTGCATTCTGTTTACTTCATTTCTAGCTAATCCCACATAGTCTTGAGGGCTACGTAGTCACACCAAAATAACCGCTTGAGGTGTCTTTGCGAAACTAATTTACTTCCCTTGAGATATCTAATGCTTTTTATAGTAAGTAATTTTATTTCTTGCCACTCACTCAAGATAAGAAAAGAAAGTTTCTTTTGAGAATTTGACAAATTTTCCCAATGTCACTCAGTTAGAAATTGGCAAAAGCAAGATTCAATTGTAGAACTTCTTGTCTCTAATTTCCCTCTTATTTGCTATTGCTATCCCGAAGAAGAACCTTACTTTTAGTTTATGAGGCTCTCTTCATTCATAGACTTTAATGGCACAATGATAGAGACAAAATCTGGAATTGGCCAGGTTCATAGGGCTGATTTCGTGGGCATGGGACCTGTGCAGTTACTCAGGACCTCAGAGTTAGAAGAGCCCTGTGCTTGGTCTAATGCTCTGCTGTTGCTATCTTGAAATTATTTTTAAAAATTTTAAACAAGACACTCTGTAAATTACGTAGCTGGTTCTGCATTCATCTCAATCACCTTTCCCAGAGGTCATGATGAATTCCTATTAACTGTGTGAACATTTTTATGCCTGTTCTAATAGCAGAGGACTTCCATAAGAGCTTTCTGGAATTTGAAGCAATGAGTCTCTTCTTGCCTGGGCACCTTTACATTCAGTCCACAGGTCTATGAGCCCATAGTGTATGCCCCATCACAGGGTTGGCACCCTGGTAGACATAAGAAAGAGAACAGTTCCCTACCACAAAGGAACTTTGGTTCTCCTGGAAGAAAAAGATAGAAATGCTGGAAAGCATATAATTATTAAAGAGGCCAGAAAAAGTTGAGCTCTAGAAAAAAGTAGTTAGAGTCTACCACCCGGAATCATTAGGCAGAACCATATGAAATTGCCAATGATCAACTATACTTAACCTAGAAAGACAGCAGTTTCGTATAGCTCAAGCTAAGATATATATGTAATTTTAATAAGAGAGTCTATAAATTACATAGCTGGTCCTGCATTCATTTCAGTCACCTTTCCCAGAGTCCATGATGAATTCCTGTTAATTGTGTAAACATTTTTATGCCTGTTTTTATAGCAGGGGACCTCCATAAGGGCTTCCTGGGATTTGAAGCAATGGGTCTATTCTTGCCTGGGCACCTGCACAATCAGTCCACAGGTCTATATACATGCTATGTTTTTGGAAGTCCAGCCCTGTATTTGTTTTTGTAAATAAAGTTTTATTGAAATGTAACGAACCCATTTATTTACATATTGTGTATTGCTGCTTTTGTGTTATAATAACAGGTTTGAATGTGTGTGCCAGAGACCTTACGGTCTGCAAAACCTAAAATGTACATTATCTGGCCTTTACGGAAAGCTTGCCATCTTCTAGTCTACACTTCTAGATGGTAAAATCCTTGAAGACAGGGGAATTGTCTGTTTTGTTTGCTGTTCTATATTCTGTGCCTACAACAATGTTTGAAACACAGAGGCCGCTACAGCTGTTGAAGGCACAAGAAAATAAAAAAGCAATGAATGCAAATATTCTCAAGGTCTCCTTAAGTCTGCCTCACTCATATCCTGAGCTCTTGGTCTATTGGCTCTTCCGCAACAGAGGGACTATCCCTAACCATGGAGAGAAAAAGAGAGAATATTTAAACCAGATAATCCCTGCATCAGTCCGGGGTAAAATTAATAGAAATAAGTGTACTGCCCAATTGTTCTCCAAATTTTGACTATGTTTCTTGGCTGAAGACTAGCCCTAAAGCCAGTGCTCTGGGGAGATGGATTAAAGACTGACCTACGTGATGTTCATTGTTGTATTAGCTTCTTATTGTTACTGTAACAAATTACTACAAATCATTAGGCAGAACCATATAAAATCATTTAGTGTCTCAAGACAATACAGTTTGGTTATCTTCTGTTTCTGGAGGTCAGAAGTTCAAAGTGGGTCTCACTGGGCTAAAATCAGTGTGGGCAAGGCCGTACTCCTTTCTGAAGGCTTAGGCAACAATAAGTTTTACTGCCTTTTCTGGCTTCTGTAGGCTGCCTACCTTTCTTGGTTTGTCATCCCATCCTCTACCTTCAAATCAAGCAATGCAGCATCTTCAAAACTCTCTTGAACTCTATTCTGCCTCTTGCTTCCACTTATAAGGATTCTGTCATTACTTTGAACCCACCTGAATAATCCAGGAAAATTCTCTCATTCCAGCTAATAAGCAACCTTGATTTCAGCTGCAAATTTAATCCTTTTTGTTGTGCAAAAAGAACAATGGTCCCCCCAGGGAGGTCTGCATTCAAATCCCCAGAAGCTGAGGATTAGGGGACTAGGATGCAGACCTCCCTGGGGGACCATTACTCTGCTTACAATCACGAAGATATGGAATCATAGTATTTTTTCAATGATATGAGTTTCTAGTACTCAATAGGATATGATGACAATTATCTTTATACTACCTTCCTAACATTTTAAAGCACTTTCATCTTCCATGCCCACAATAGCACTGGGAGGTGCTGAACTAGGGAATAAATGTCTGTGATTATTTTATTAGTGAAAAAAGTGAGAAGCTACTTCAGCAGATCAAGAATTGGTCAAGGGTATGGCTGCCATTGGGAGGCAGGTTTCCTGACTCCCAGCCAGTGCTTTTTCTCTTATGACACTGTGGTTGCTGGGAAATGTTTTCACTTGTCATCTCCATTTCTCACATTCCCTTGTTATGAGTTTTCTCCTAGGGTACGGATGGCATGGTGCTCCTCTTAAGTGTGCTGGAATTCTGCATTGCTGTGGCCCTCTCTGCCTTTGGATGTAAAGTGCTTTGTTGTAGCCCCAGTGAGGTCAGTATTGGCCTTCATTTGAAGGTATCTGTATTACTTTTGTATTGCTGTATAATCAGTTAAACAAACTTATAGTCTTAACACAGTACACATTCATTATATTTCAGTTTCCATGGATCAAGAGTCTGGGCCCAGTGGATGTGGGTCCTTGGTTCAGGATCTTATGACTCTGTCATCAGGGAGTTGGCCGGGGCTGTGGCCTTGTCTAAAGCTTCTGATTCTCTTTCATGTGAATGTGGCGGAATTAATTTCCTTTAAGTTGAGGACTCATGACAATGTACTTTTTCTTTGAGACCAGCAGGAGAGCCAGAGTCTCTAGTGCTTTAATCCTCTCATAAAGCATTCACATGAAGAGGTGAGGTCCATCCAGAATAATGAGTTTTTTTATAAACTGAAAGTCAACAAATCAGTCCTACATACGGGACTTGTATCCCATCTTATACACAGGTTTCATCCACACTTGAGAGAAGGGAATCACAAGGGGTCAGTGAGTGTCACCTTAGAACTCTGCCTAGCACAAGAGCTAAATAAAAGCTCTTTTTCCCCTTCCTTTCTCAAAGGGCATAACCTCTGAATCCAGATAAGAAAATATTTCACAATGAAGAGGTCCCCAAAAGTACTTGGTTTTATTCTATTATCCTATTACAACAACTTTTCCTGGAATACGGAAGGAATGTCATGATCTCAGACTTCTCTATCAGTCTGTGCCCACCTGCCCACTCTCTTACCCTGAGACCTGCAGCAGATGCTCCTGGCAGTTAAGCCAAAAGAAAGTTACACAGAGAGAGGAAAGTGAGGAATGGAAGGAGAGAAGAAATCAAGAAAGAGGCTCTAAGAATAATGGGGTGGGATATCCTCCTAGAATTGAGGGTTCCAGAATGAGGAAATGGATAGTAAAACCCCAACAGCTACTCATTAGCTTCATTACCCAAAGTCTGAAAGGCAGACAAAACCGTCAGCCAAAGAATAAAGTAATTGTAGTTTGAGGAGATTGTTTCTCTGGTGCCCTTCTCCATCATTTTGTGCCTCTCTGTCTTCTTTAGGGATTCCCAGGCAATACCATATCCCACTCCCCGACAACCCTCCCTCATAGAAGAGAGATTGACTATAGCGCATTAACTCTAGTGGTGGGGTTTTGCATTGTAAAACCCTAGAGGTGAGAGATTCTCAGCAATTACCAATGATTTTGTAATTTCATCAAGTGAAGTAACTTTCATGTCATGATATTTAAGTCTGTGTTCCCTTTGGCTCTTTGCATAGAAGCTGGGGAATGTTGTTTCCCTAATCCCCTGGTTTGAGTCCAGAAAAGCAGTGGCTTTGGGGCATATCTTGGCTAAATCTCTATCTCTTCCTGGTCCCCCACCGTGCCCTACCAATCGAATGTTGCACTGAGTTTGTGGAAGAATAACCAGAACTTTTCTTAGTTTTGTGATGATCCCTGCTATTCCAGGCCAGTGTGGTTTTTGCAATGCTTTATTTGTAACCAGCAAATCATGATTTGGGTATGTTGATGTCATCAGCATGAACAACCTGGTTTGGAAGAAGAGCCCCATATTTTTCATGATACCTTGGTTTACCCATCATATTGTGCACTGTCATCCACATGTAAGATTGATCCTCTTGCGAGACCAGGGCAGTGGTCATCAGCAGCTCAGGTCAAGAGCTATCACTGAATGTTGTGTCCTAAATCTAGCCTGATCTAAAGAATGACTGAGAATCCCCACATGACTGATATTGAGAATGAATCAGAGAAGAAAAGAGTAAACTCTGATAATGATGACTTTATGTGGGCAGGAAAGGGGCACTCTGAGGTGATTTGGGTGACTCACCTATGGCATTCTGATTGTTTGTGCTAATTACACCATCAAATTCTCACATGGCAGAAATAGCATCTCCCACACCACTTAAGACAGTTTGATGCCACCAAAAGATTAACAGAAGAATGCTCCAGAAATCTATGCTGACTGTAACACAAGAACCCCACATGAGAAAGTACCAGAATCCAACTCCAATACTGATAGACATATTGATATCATTATTATATGGAATCCAATTATGACCTCTGTGTGTGTGTGTGTGTATATATATATACGTATATATATACATATATATATATATGTGTGTGTGTGTATATATTCAAAATTTTGTTCTCATTTTTTCCCCTGGAACTCAACAACTAATTTCATTGGCCCTTTATCGAGAGTACTAGAAGTTAAATTAATAAATAATGCATTTAATGAGGCAGCAGCACTTGAAAGGTTTTCATTCATCATTAGGACTTTATATAAAGGCATTAAACTGGCAAATAAGATTTGGAAGCAGAAGGGCAAAAAGGTATTGCTAAAACGAGGTCTCCATGCAAAACACATACTTCTGCTCCCCTGTATAACATTCCTCTCACTTACTTGACTTTTTTTCTGCCATATTTGGGGACCAAAGTGCTTTTTCCTTCATGAAGTGGAGATTCATGCCCTTCTCCCCCATCCTTTTCCTTCTGCTTTCCTTCACCCATAGAAAGTACCTTGGAATAGTATAGTCAGTCCTTGCATGTGCACAAGCTATCATTTCAGTAAAGGTATACATGGAGTAAAAATCATATGAAGGATCAGATTCAACTTATATTTTCTATTTTTTCTTCTTCCTCTCCCTTCCCCCACCTTCTGCTGGGCAGAATTATATCTTAATCAAATGTGTATCCTGTGTCACATATGGAAATGTGCAACATATGGTATTTGTTAATGTTTGTTAATTACATTTGCTTTTTTATTGCAGAGCAAAAATAAAATTAGAAGCAATACTTTCATGTGCTACCTCCTTTCTATTCAGATGCAATATGATGGAAAGAGACTAAATGTTGATGTCGACAGTACTGTATGGTGGTAAATAATGTGGACTTTCTAATCAGACAACCCTGGGTTTTCATCTTGCTATCCCATCTTTGTTGTTTACTACCTATGTAGCTATGAACATGCCACAAAATTTATCTGTGCTTCATATTTCTCTTCAGCAAAATAGTAATAATATTGTCTGGCCCATAGACCTATGATAATTTCTTGGTATAATAAAGATAGAGCAATTAGTACTCTGGTACATATGGAGCCTCAAAAGCTTTAATTAATACATATACATATGTACATATATACATATTATTTATATTTGTCAGTTCATCATTTTATTCAGCATATATTTGTAAAGTATCTACAATGGGGCAGACATTGTTTTAAGCATATAAGAAAATAGCGGTGAATAAGAGAGATAATATCCTTCCTCTTGTAGGTTAAACTTTTATGGGACAGGACACAGATTAACATAAAACAATCAAAACATTTTTATATGCTGTTAGAAGCTAACTGTAAGAATTAATGTGCTGGAGAGTGGTTGTTGGTAGTGGTTGTGAAATATGAGTCATTAGAGAGTAACCAGGAAAGTTCTTTTTGAGGAAGCGATATTTTCATTATGATAAGATAAAAAGTATTGAATTTGCATGGACATTCATATTTTCCAACTCAGTATATAGGATTTCTCATTCTGCCCTACACTCACGTATCTATTGTATCCACCTTTCTCCATGCACGCTTTTCATGGGAATGTGAGGCCCTCCTTCTTTCAATGCTAACCTGTCTACTTTCTCCAGCTCCGGAGATGGACAGTATCTGGAAAAAGTCTATTATGACATTCTATCTTCTTGGTTGAGGATTGAAAGGTAATCTAGCAAGAACCACCAAATAGAACCTTAATACTGTTGCTTACTATTATGTAGTATATAGAACCTTAATACTATTGCATAGATGTTCTATGTCTCTTATGGGACATCAGTGAGAATACATGTAGCCTACTTTATTACTGGCATACGTGTGTGTCTGTAAAGGAAGTATGTTTAAAAGAAAGTCAAATAAGCAGAAATAGCAATAAATGGAAATGAAATGAATGCTTGATTTCATGGATGAGCATCTGTCTGTCACAGGGTTCATATAGTAGCATGATGGCTGCTGATTGCAGCAAACTTACCTCTTCACAGCTTCAAGCCCAACAGGAAAGAGGAAAGAGAGGGAGATCATTTCTTAGACAGTGAAGTGAAAATGATGAGAGTAATTTGATTGGAAATGTGTCAGTCATTCACACAATTAATTTTTCCTAGGTCACAAAGCTACCACAGAACTTCACTCTAGTTGAGTTGATGTAATTTGCTCACAGACGAGCAGAACTGAGAAGCGCCAAGTGAAGGATCAGACCCTAGCAAAATCCTTTGCATCTCCAAGTCAAAGTTTACCTCAAGTTGGGCCAATCCCTGACGTTTTAAATATATAAAGGCAAGGGAAGATGATTAACTGCTATAACTGGGCAAAATCCTTCAATGGCTTCCTCTCTAACTCATAATAAAAGCCAGAACTCATACTAAATCCTAGAAGTCCTTACATCTCCTGATTCTTTGTTCTGTCTTGGATTTTGTAAAATATCCTAACTTATATCCTGATATATTGCCTTGAGATTATTTTAAGTGGCCTGAGAATGCCTTCTGTTGGTTTAAATTAGCGCATACATAAACTTTTTAAGGTTAACACTTACATAAGCAACCTAAGATTAGTACATTTTTAGTTGTAAAAAGCTAATGCAAATATTTTAGGCAATTCATGCAAAATATTATGATTTCAACTTGTAGAGAAGGCTGCCTCATTTATTTCATATCATGCAATTTTAAATTTATTCTTTATTTGGTTATTCTAGGTTCTATCTATAAGTGATTAGGATGTAAAGCAGTAGGAAAACGTCCATGAAAACTTTGCCTTCTTTTGCTACATTTACAAGAAAAATAGTTATTCTTTTTATTTATTTATCTAATTTTTGAGACAGGGTCTGGCTCTGTCACCCAGGCTGGATTGCAGGGGTATGATCTTGGCTCAATGCAACCTCCACCTCCTTGGCTTAAGCCATCCTCGCACCTCAGCCTCCCAAGTAGCTGGGCTTACAGGCATACACCACCACACCTGGCTTATTTTTGTATTTTTTGTAGAGACAAGGTTTCGCCATGTTGCTCAGGATGGTGTTGAACTCATGAGCTCAGGCGATCCACCCACTTTGGCCTCCCAAAGTGCTGGGAGTACAGGTTTGAGCCACTGCACCTGGCCAAGATAATTATTCTTTACATACATGATTAAATTCCCCACAACTTACTAGCTGTGGGTAGCTTATCATTGTGTTTCTTCAGTTTCCTCATCTATAAAAATTACAATAGTACCTACCTTATAGGCTCTTACAAAGACTACAGGTATTATTAAAACTTGTAATCACAGAATGAAGATTGACACTGGTAGGCGATATGAAAAGAATGGTGAGTGATACTGATAGGTGACATATAAAGAATTATTAAACAATATAAAAGCAAATAACAAAGTAAAAATAAAATAATAAAATAAGCTAAAGATTAACATAAGTCTTAATTTGAGCACATAAGCAGTTATTATACTTTTAAATATTCAGGAAAAGAAACAGATAAGTGTGTCCACAGAATTCTGATTTTTAAATAACTGTACTAAGTATAAGAGTAATGTCCATATGGGACACAAAGAAGCTGCACTACCCTGAAAATCGGTAATTTTCATTAACTTCAGTGAAGTTTTAGAAGTGGGAATTTATAATATTACTGTTTCAAATTTAATACCAGAATAATCTAAGATTCTCTAAAAATGGAGTCATCTTCCCTCAAACCTATTTTCCAGTCATTGTGAGTTAGGTAAAATGAGATTCCAACTGTAGTACAGTTTTCCACTGTCAATAGTAATACGCAATTGGGATAAAGTAGTGGATCTTTTTCTCTAAGAGAGGAGTATTTAACTTCTACAGATGTCATATTGAGAATGACATGGCAGAACAGGCACCTGGAGTCAGGTGGAAAGGATGATCCTCCTACAAGTAATCAGCTGGGCATGCATATGATATAAATCAATTTTGTGTTTAGGAAAAACTCAGTGTGGGTCACTTAGTGGCTTTGATGTATATTTGGAAACTAGGACTGTTTTCGGTTTGGGTAATAGCTCTCAGTTGGCTATCTGAGAGGATTTTTAGGACAGAAGAAACATAGTAGGGAACAAGAAAAAGACTATAATCTAAGCCAATGTAGTGTAACACAGGTGCATGCATTCAGATAATTTTAGAATGCTACTGACCAGATTGAATGGCAAGCTCCCATACATTCTATATACAAAAACATCAGAAAGTTATTTAAAAATGTGTACTCTGTCATTAATCTTCATTGTAAACACATTCATAGCACCAAAGGATAGGTTTGTTGTGGAAATATAGCAACAATTTGCCAACAGCACACACCATAAATCTTCTTCAAATCTTCAAGAGATAGGTCCTCACCTACACCAATTCCTTTCCTTTAGATCATCTCAACTTGTATTAATAAGACGTAGAGGCAATTTGATTCTCTGTCTGCTTAGTGATTGCAAGTGGCTGCTCTGCTGGGTTGAAGTTAGGCCAAGAATTGCCTTTGTATTGGCTGGTATGTACATGTCTGAGAGCAAGGGCTCTGGCAATTAGTGACAGTGGTTAACCATCAATTTGCTCTGTGAATAATAAGGATAAAAACAAGTCATAAGGTCTTGAGTATATAAGGTGATATTACTGATAACTTCTAACTATAAGTAGTCCAACCTATTCAGGTAGAGTCAGTATACTTGGGACTAAAAATGATTTATTTTTTAAAAAAGTATTTATCGAGTGCTCAATGGTGCCCAGGCTGGAGTGCAGTGGCGTGATCTCGGCTCCCTACAACCTCCACCTCCCAGCCGCCTGCCTTGGCCTCCCAAAGTGCCGAGAGTGCAGCCTCTGCCCGGCCGCCACCCCGTCTGGGAAGTGAGGAGCGTCTCTGCCTGGCCGCCTATCGTCTGGGACGTGAGGAGCCCCTCTGCCTGGCTGCCCAGTCTGGAAAGTGAGGAGCGTCTCTGCCCGGCTGCCATCCCATCTAGGAAGTGGGGAGCGCCTCTTCCCGGCCACCATCCCATCTGGGAGGTGAGGAGTGTCTCCGCCCGGCCGCCCATCTTCTGAGATGTGGGGAGCGCCTTTGCCCCACCGCCCTGTCTGGGATGTGAGGAGCACCTCTGCCCGGCCGCGACCCCGTCTGGGAGGTGAGGAGCGTCTCTGCCCAGCCGCCCCATCTGAGAAGGGAGGAGACCCTCCGCCTGGCAACCGCCCCGTCTGAGAAGTGAGGAGCCCCTCCGCCCGGCAGCCACCCCGTCTGGGAAGTGAGGAGCGTCTCCGCCAGGCAGCCACCCCGTCCGGGAGGGAGGTGGGGGTCAGCCCCCGCCAGGCCAGCTGCCCCATCCGGGAGGGAGGTGGGGGGGGTCAGCCCCCCGCCCGGCCAGCCGCCCCGTCCGGGAGGTGAGGGGCGCCTCTGCCCAGCCGCCCCTACTGGGAAGTGAGGAGCCCCTCTACCCGGCCAGCCGCTCCGTCCGGGAGGGAGGTGGGGGGGTCAGACCCCGCCCGGCCAGCCGCCCCGTCCGGGAGGGAGGTGGGGGGTTCAGCCCCCCACCCGGCCAGCCACCACGTCTGGGAGGGAGGTGGGGGGGTCAGCCCTCTGCCCGGCCAGCCGCCCCGTCCGGGAGGGAGGTGGGGGGTTCAGCCCCCCACCCGGCCAGCCGCCCCGTCCGGGAGGGAGGTGGAGGGGTCAGCCCCCCGCCCGGCCAGCCGCCCCGTCCGGGAGGTGAGGGGTGCCTCTGCCCAGCCGCCCCTACTGGGAAGTGAGGAGCCCCTCTGCCCGGCCACCACCCCATCTGGGAAGTGTACCCAATAGCTCATTGAGAACGGGCCATGAGGACAATGGCGGTTTTGTGGAATAGAAAGGGGGGAAAGGTGGGGAAAAGATTGAGAAATCGGATGGTTGCCTTGTCTGTGTGGAAAGAAGTAGACATGGGAGACTTTTCATTTTGTTCTGTACTAAGAAAAATTCTTCTGCCTTGGGATCCTGTTGATCTGTGACCTTACCCCCAACCCTGTGCTCTCTGAAACATGTGCTGTGTCCACTCAGGGTTAAATGGATTAAGGGCGGTGCAAGGTGTGCTTTGTTAAACAGATGCTTGAAGGCAGCATGCTCGTTAAGAGTCATCACCACTCCCTAATCTCAAGTACCCAGGGACACAAACACCTCGGAAGGCCGCAGGGTCCTCTGCCTAGGAAAACCAGAGACCTTTGTTCACTTGTTTATCTGCTGACCTTCCCTCCACTATTGTCCTATGACCCTGCCAAATCCCCCTCTGTGAGAAACACCCAAGAATGGTCAATAAAAAATTAAATAAATAAATAAATAAATAAATAAAAAGTATTTATCCAGTATTTTTTTTCCTTAGACTTACTGAAGCAAAATGAAGACTTCCCACTAAGCTAAATTTGTGTATCATATATTTCTGTCCCCTTTATCCTCTAAAATCTAATTTCTCTTCACTCATCCTATATATCAAATAGTATAAGAAACGTAATGATACTAAAAGATTAAAGAATATTCAGACGTGATTTTTTCAGTCAATGATAAAGAAATGGGTAATCAATAATGAGCAATTTGTAAGTGTACTATAATAGAATTGCTGCAAAAACTGCTGTCTATTGAGAAAACATGCATCCAACTATTAAAGGTAATTTATATTTATAAAATCAAATTAAATCCACTTGTAAATGTAAGAGAAGCCTCAAAGGGCTTCAATCATTGTTACAACAGTTATAAGAGGTATTTCTATATTTGAGGTTGTAAAATAATAATACTGAATACTATATGCAAAGTCAGGAGCAAATCAACAGTTCTAACAGTCTAACAGTGATGTGTCATTCTTACATTACACAGTAAATTGGATCATAGAGCATGAAACAGATTCAGGAAGAATCATCTCGGGTGTTCACAATGACCATTAAAAATCTGTAGTTGAACTTAGTTTAAATTAACTGTTTTCAAAATTTGCCATTTTCCACAACTCTTATTTTTCTTGATTCTGAGTCCTGATCCTGTAAACTTGCAATACTCTGTGGAAAGGATTTCAAGAGAGATATACTTTTATCTTTAATAAGAACATGAATTAAACCAGAAAAAAAGGAAATGAGTTGAAGGCCACTGCTGTGGCTACTGAAATAATTGATGCATTTTATCTTAATACTTGACTGGAAATTTCCTGTTTCTTTGGTTTGTATCTTGTTATTAATTTTTATCATTAAAATGTATAATAGCTTTATAGTAGCACATATCTATGTTATTTTTCTTCATTATTAAAATTGATTTGGCCATTCTAAGTCTTTATTTCATGTAAATTTTAGAATTAGCATGTCAACATATCCAATCCTAAAAGACCTTCCTGAATTTTGATTAGGAGGGTATTGAATTTATAGGTCTATAAGGGAAGAATTGCTAGCTTAACAATATTAAGTATTCTAATCCATTAACAGAACATACTTTTTAATTGATTTAGGCCTTCATTAATATGTCTCAGCAAGGTTTTTTCATTTTCTGTTAACATGAGGAACGTCCTTTGACATTCATTGTATTGATTTTTCTGGTACTAAATTTTCTCAGATCTTTTTGTCTGTTGTCTGAATACATCTTTATTTTACCTTAAGTTTTGATTAATATTTTCAAAGGATGTGGATCCCATGTTGACAGCTTTTGCCTTCAAGTACTCTAATAATGTCTTATGACTGTCTTCTGGCTTACATAATGTCTTATGAGAAGTCTGCAAGTATCCTTATCTTTGTGATAATGAGTCCTTTTCCCCCTCTGCTGTTAAAACATTCTCTTTCTTACTCATTTTTAGCAACCTAATTAAGTTATGCTTTGGTGTAGTTTGATTTTTCTTCATCCAGCTTGTGGCTAGTTAGGCTGTTTGGATCTGTGGGTTTATACTTTTATCAAATTTGGAAATTCCAATGATTTATACAAATATGTTTTAAATTCATGCTCTCTTCTTGGACTCAGATTACATGTTAGACTACTTCATACTGTCCCACTGATGCTTTATTAATGTTTCCAGACTTTTTTCCTACTCTTTGCTTCAGATTATAGAGATTCTATTTCCACCTTCCAGTTCACTAACATTTTCTTCTGGAAAACTTAATGTGTTGTTACTCATAGGCAGTGATTTATTCATTTCATATACTGTAGCTTTTATCTCTAGAAGTTCTATTTGATTTTTTATATTTTTATACTCTTTGTGTCCAAGTATTTCTTGAAATTCTTATGCACATTTATAATGAATATTCTAAAGCACTTCTCTTTTATTGTAATCTCTATAATTTACAGGTCTTTTTTATTAATTTTTCTCCTGGCTATTTGTTATTGTGATTTTTCTGTTTCTTGCCATGTATAGTAATTTGGGATTAGATGCTGGATATTATGATTTTTATTTGATTGAGTACCCAAATTTTTCTTTTTTCACAAGATATTCCATTTTATTTCTTGCAGGAAATTAAACTTAAAGACCAATTTGATTCTTTTGAGACTTTTACAAAGGCATGATCGGGAGGGTGTATTAGTCCCTTTTCACATTGCTATAAAGAACTACCTGACACTGGGTAGTTTATAAAGAAAAGAGGTTTAATTGACTCACAGTTTCACAGGATCTACAAGAGGCATGGCTGGGGAGGCCTCAGGAAACTTACAATCATGGCAGAAGGTGAAGGGGAAGCCAGCATGTCTTATGCAGTGGAAGCAGGAGGAGGAGAGAGTGAAGGGGGAAGTGCTACACACTTTCAAACAACCAGATCTCATGAGAACTCACTATTATGTGAACAGCAAAAGGAGAGTCCACTCCCATGATCCGATCACCTCCCACCAGGTCCCTCCCCCATCATTAGGGATTACAATTCAACATGAGACTTGAGTGGGGACACAGAGCCAAACAGTATGAGAAGGTTTATCATTGTTATTAATTGGGGGTATGCTTTACTAATAATTTGTTTATTATTAACAGATTAATTATTAAAGCATTAATAATAATTGACTTATTATTAATAACCTTTCTGGAGGTCTCTATTCTATCCCCCAAGTATTCATGGAAGTCTCTGCATTCCAGCTGATTGGAACTTGAATGTCTCCCAGCATTGTGTGAGCCCTGGTAATCATACAGCTTACAACTACCTGGCTAGTCCTTGACTGTACTTTTAAAATTTCAACCTATAAAGGTACAGCTTTGTATTGGACAACAAATTTAGGATACTTGCAGATTTCTGGAACTCTGTCTCTGGAGAGCTATCCCCTTTATTGTTCTCTTCTCATTAATTCCAGCTGTTTCAGTGCCCTCAAATTCTGGTTTTTGTCTTATGAATTCAGCAATATCAGAATAAATCTCTCTCCCTACCATGGTATGGAAAGTTTCTTCATGCAGAAAACCAGAGCAATTATTATATTCACTTTGTTTTTTCACTTGTCAATGTTGAAATTCCTGCACTAACTTTGTCCAATGTCCGGAAAGAGTTGTGCTTATTTTTTTCCAGTTTTCTTTATGATTTAAAAAATTTTATTGAGACAAGATCATCCAGGTTCAAGTGCAGTGGTACAGTCATAGGTCACTGCAGCCTTGAAATCCTGGGCTCAAAGGATCCTCCCACTTCAGCCTCCCAAAGTGCTGGGATTAGAAGCATGAGCCACTGGGCCCAACCCAGTTTTTTAACTGTACAGAGTGGAAGATTAAGTCTGGTTCTATCATAATTGGAAGAGCTGAGCTTCAACTTTAAAAAGATGCTCATGAATGTAAATATTAGCATTTTTATTTTTCTTTATATTTAAAATTTACTTAAGCTTGTCAACATATGTAACTTAATTAAATCAATACTTCTAATTTAAAATATCCAAGCAGAAAATTTAAGTATTATCATTTTTATATGCTGTTATTTTTAGTCACCTTATTTAAGTTTCATGAAGTAGCTATTAAAAGACCCTAGCACATTCCAGTTATTTTATATTTAAGTTAATTTGTGATATTTTCCAATGTTTTATATAGTAATATCCAGACAGTTTTAATATATGCTCAAATGTCTTTTCTTCACACAACAAAAAATACAAGAAATATAATAAGACAAAGTTGTACACATTCCAGGGAAAATATTTAAATCTTTTAATTAATTAAAATATGTCCCTTGGTTTAAATTTTGAGTTTACTGTATGAAAAACACAGGAAAGATGTATAAAGCAACATCCTTTTGATTGCCTGGTGGATAGAAAAACAAAAAACAACTAAATTTGAGATACAGTTTGAACAAAGCTGACAATGCTTTTGCCTTCCTCTTTGAATCTCTTCAAGATCAGCAATTTATTTTTTTACTGACTCAGGTTTCTTGGGATTGCTGCTGCTCATGTGATTCCCAGGAACTTAACTACTTGTGAATAACTCTGTCAGGCTGATAATACTAGATTAAGAAAACAATTCATCTTCAATAAGTACACTCTTTCTAGCAGAAGAAGCAGTTCAGAAAGTTCCTTGTGGTTTCCCTTCTGAATCTTTTCATCGTCAATTTCAGCAAAGCGTGGTATTTTCCCCCAGTAAAAGGTCAAGATAGCTTGTTTTAATCCTTCTCAGACTCTAGGTACAGTTTCACCAGACACAGTGGGTAACTTGCTCTCATCTCTTAAATGGATGCTTTCAGCTTGGCCAGGAGGGGCTGGACATCAAGAGGAGGAAAGTCGCCGTCTGGATGGGGCTCAGGAATCACATAGTGCTGTATTAGCTAGCTGTCATCTATGTTGATTCTTTTTCCCTTATGCCAGCAGCAAAGTGCTTCAACCCTTGCTGATTACTTCCAGTAATTTATTTTTTATCTTAATTTTTTTCTACTTAGTATTCCCTCATATTTGGAAAAAGATGAAAATATTTCCACCTTACCTCCAGCTCTGAAGCCACAGACACTGTGCCCCTAACAGGGTCACCAAATTGTCTAAATAACATACATGCATATATATATATATATATATATATATATATATATATACACACACACACACACACACACACACACACACACACACACACAGGCACACATGGAATATATATATGCATTTTTAAGTTACTTGAAAATATATTTAAATACATAAATAATTTGTGTATTACACACAAATATGTTATTTGAAAATACATTTAATTATATAAATAATTGTATATTTAAATACATTTAAATATATAAATAATTGTATATATAAATATTTGTATATTACATATAAAGGTATGTTTTTAAAAACATAATATATGCAAAGGGAGAGATAAGTGAAGGAGATAGAGGAATATACTAATGGAGAAAGGAAAAGGAGATGCTGCTTACTAGCTTCTAGCTTTTGTTTTCCAGCAATCCAAAGAATAATATCTCACTAGAGATTTTATATGTGCTTCAGAAAGATGTATAGAAAGAGAAGAGTTCCTAGTGTATGGGGTACGAGAGGTATCATGGAATGGAAGGGATAACATGATAATTAAGAGAAGCACAGATGTCCTTAGGGAATAGAAGATTTTCTGGTCCTGAAGGAGAGGAGTTGGAAAGTGGGTAACGAAAACTGAGATGCAGATGGGACCTGGGAAACAGGGCTAGCTAGGAAACAAAAGCACAAATAATTGTTTTGGGTCCAAAGAGTTAAGGCCTCCTTATTCTCTAAGGAGAGATCCTTGGAACTAGAAAGGCCAGAGAGACAGACTTGCTCATGGACCTGCAGGAATAAGAGATATTTTATGGATAATGTGCACAGGGAGTTGTACGTATACTTAGAGGAACTCCAAAATTTCTCTCCAACCCCTTGTTGTCAAACATAAGCATCTGTTTTTGAGCTCTGACACAGAAACTTGGGATAACTAGATGACCTCTCAGCACAATAGGCTCTAGCAATAGGAAATTGACTTGAGTGTCATCAGCAAGACGGTGGAATAGGAAGCCTCAGGCCCTCATTTCCCCATGGAGAGACTGACTTGACAACAATGTATGAACTACAATGCCTTTGTGAGAACTCTAGAAACTAGTTAAGAGGTTGCAGCACCTTAGGTGAATGCAAAGCCAGGAAAAGATGCATCAAAATGAGGAGAAATTGTTGTCGCATTTTACTCATTCCAGCCACTCTTTCACCCTGGCACAATGCGACTTGATCTACAGAAAACATTAAAGTTCCAGTGGAACAGGAATTAAAAGAAATTAAAAACTGTGTAAGCAAAAACTCAGTTTTATGTAAAAAAAAACCCCCAATTTCCCTTAAGGAAGAGAAAGGGCTGGAGTCCTTTAAAATTAACTGCCTATTTTTCTTTCTGAGGCTAGTGAGCCTTATCTCTGTCTTTCCCAGGCATGGTGAAGCATTGTTTTTCTAGCTGTGCAGCTGCAAGATCACTAGACAGATAATCTCAAGTCATAAAACATGTTGTTTCTTGAAAAGGAAGAAATGATGTAATGCATGTCTTAATTAAATAACTGTCTTTGTTTCTCACTTCTGTAATATGCTTCCTCCTGCACAGATCTCCCCCCACCCCACAAAATGCTTAAAAGGTAACCACATTCTTTGTTCAGGGCTCATTCCTTTGGATGTTAATCTGACTGGCTTGGTGCACCTAAAAAATTAAATAATTCCTCCCCAACCTCTCTGTCTCTCTGATTACTTAATTATCCCACTGCACCAGATTCTCCTTTAAAGAGGCAAGAGGACTAGACCATGAGTCCAGCATTCTGGGTTTTGTGGGGGTTACCCAAGGTACTGGTTTCTGTCTTGCCTGACTCAGAGTGCAGAGTTGAATAGCATGTTGTGAGCCTCGGAGAACAAAGGCAGGCACACTATTTCACCACTAGGGAGATTGTAGTACTGCAGGCAGACACCAGGGGGAGAAAGAAGAAGAAGCAGGCAAAACTCTTTTACTAGGAAATTACACATACATGTCCCAAAGAAGTTTGAAGGGCCCCCAGAATCTCTAGCTATGCTAACCCGTAAAGGTCTTCCACTACATAAAGTCAGTTTGTAATGACTGGAAAAGGTTGGTGTTGTTTTCAAATGCACAAATCTCAATAAAAGATCACAAGGCATACAGAGAAGCAAGAAAACATGGCCCAACTAAAGGAATACAATAAATCTCCAAAAACTAACTTTAAAGAAATAAGTATCTATGAGTTACATGATCTTGTAAAGATATTTGTACACATATTTATTGCAGCATTATTAATAATAGCCAAGAGGTGGAAGCAACCCAAATGTACATTAATGGATGAATAAAGAAAATGTGGTATATACATACAATGAAACATTAATCAACCTTACAGAAGAAGGAAATCCTATCATATGCTACAACAAGAATGAGACTTGGAGATCTCATGCTAAGTAAAAGAAGCCATCACAAAAAAAAAAAAGAAGCCATCAGAAAAAGACAAATACTCTGTGATTCCTCTCATATGAGGTATCCAAAGTAGACACATAGCAGGACAAGCTGTAGACAGAACCCCTCAGACACCAAGTTAAAGAAGGAAGGGCTTTATTTGGCCGGGAGCTTCAGCAAGACTCACGTCTCCAAAAACCAAGTTCCCAGAGTGAGCAATTCCTGTCCCTTTTAAGGGCTTACAACTTTAAGTGGGTCCATGTGAGAGGGTCGTGATCAATTGAGCAAGCAGGGGTTATGTGACTGGGGGCTGCATGCACCAGTAATCAGAATGGAACAGGACAGGGATATTCACAGTGCTTTTCCATACAATGTCTGGGATCCATAGATAACATAACCAGTTAGCTCAGGGGTCGATCTTTAACCAGGCCCAGGGTGTGGTGCTGGGCTGTCTGCCTGTGGATTTCATTTCCGCCTTTTAGTTTTTACTTCTTCTTTCTTTGGAGGCAGAAATGGGCATAAGACAATATGAGGGGTGGTCTCCTCCTTTAGTCCCCCGCTTTGAGAATCTCACTCATTAGTGGGAGTTCTCACTTTCATTTTCACTACCCATGTCTTCTTGCAAGACAGATCAATAGTGATTCATATAGTACATTTGTGCTGAAGCATTTTGGTGAACTAAGGTAGCGATGAAGCTTTTTATCATTTGAAGAAGTACAGGTAGCAAACAAGAGAGCAGTAAGCAGGTTTCTATTACTATTATTACTCCTATTATAAGAGTTTTAAATCCTCCTAGCACTGGGAACCATTTTCCAAACATGGCCCCAGGATCATATCCATGCCACACTTGCACGGGCACATGTGCCAGTTTTGTCATATTTCTAACTATGTCTTCAACTACTTGCCCTTGGTCATCTATGTGTAGATAGCAATTAGTAAGGTTAAATGTCCTACAGACCCCTCCTTCAGCTGCCAGCAAGTAGTTGGGAGCCAATCTATTTTGATAGATAGCATTTCTCATCTGAGTTTCTTGCTGGGCCAGAATAGTCAAGGCTCTGCTGGTCTTATTAGTGATTATTTCTAAGACAGCTTGTAACCATATGCTTTGGTTGAGCATGTAAATGGGGGTCCAGTATCCCCATGAGCTGTCTTTTGCCCAAGTAGCAGGCCAATAATATTGTATGATTCTTTCAGGGGACCATTTATTATCTTTCCAATTTCTTATGGCTATGTTTCTCTTTTCATGGGAAGCATAGACAGGGAAGCCCAGGAGTTCACCTGTCTTTATGGGCAGTAGGAAGAAAGATGATTTAATAGTGCCAATAACACAACTACTTTCCCACTGGTCAGGTAATTTGGCATAAGTTCTATGCCCACATATCCAGTATAATCCAGTGGGGGCTGTCCAGTCCTGGTGGTACTCTGGGTGGGTTCACATGGTTTACAACTTTGGGAATTTACTAAATGGATTTTTCTTAGTGTGGTTTGAACGCCACGGTGGCTGTTTTTGTAGTACTATTATACAGTTTTTGCCCAAGGCAGCTGGGTCTTCCCACAGGAAGGGTGAAGTCCTTCCCCACTCTTGCTATACAGTATTGTCTAATGATTGAGGCTTTCAAGACCCAGAAGTTATCAGGGTGATTCTCTTGAGCCAGGAATTTATCAGGAACTGGGTCTGTAGGTACTAATTCTCAGGCTTCCCATGGCCATTGATCTCCCAGTATAGTTCCTCCGCATAAATAACATGAAGTGACATTGAGAGACTGGGCTACATGCTTGGCTAATTGCAAAAACAAATTTCTTGTTTTTCCTGGAATTTCTGGCACTGGCACATTCAGTTCATCATAGAAGTTTGAAATACTGGCTCAGGAGAGGGTTTATAAACTTCTTCTCAAACTATGATATTTACTCAAGGATCCAGTCCAGCCCCATCGATTTCTAGGGTTACATGCTCCCCTTTTTTCCAGGGAGGATCAAGGGGGTTGGTTATTACCAGTTCTAAGGGGTTACACGGACCCCTGGTATAGGAAGGGCCACTTTTCCTTTTCTGAAGGTGGACAGGATTTTTTTTTTCATTTTTTATCCAAGTAGCCTAAATGACACAAGACCAGTATCCACATTCATTTTCACACAGTCCTAATTCATGACAAATGTACTTATTTTTTGTCATATAGCCTCTTTTTTAATTAAGAGAACCATATCCTATTTCTAACTTATTACTATTAATGACAGCACAGGCATCAAATTTCAAGGTGACTTTTTTGGGCACCCCTTTTTCTTCTGTTTTGGCTAACACTTTAATCATGTCATTTATGAGCCCCCACGAGTCCTCAGTCCTTAATCTTATTTCAAAAACTGTGGTCATGGGAAGCTCAGATGGGTCATAACACACATAACACAGGTCATTTCCTGGGTTACATACCTTGTATAGAATAACATTATACAAACAAGTTATTTTCAGAGTTCCAGTACACTTATAATAACCATAAAATAATAGGACCATAGCAACTTTTTGTCCTACCTCAGTGACTTGGTGTATACACTGGGAACAGTCCTCAGTCTGAGGAAGGTCAGTTGAAGTCCTTACTGTACAAGTTCAAATTTTAAGGAAAATGAGTCCCATGATGAGTTTTCTTATGCTTTGGCCATGTGTGGACCAGTCAGCTTCTGGATGTGACTGGAGCAGGGCTTGTTGTCCTCTTCAGAGTCACTTTGCAGGGGTTGGTGAAACTGCTACTGTCCACATACAGCTCACAGTCTACTGATGTTCAAGGATGGTCTTGGAGGTTGGGCCTGCTAGAATAAACTAGTCCAATACCTCTACATATTTATGTTCAGCTGAGCTCTCTGATACCGGGAACAAGGTGGCAGGGTTTAGGGTGTTGCAAACTTCAATGGTTATGGGGGATTTTCACATAGCAAGCTTTGATACTTGGTTAATCTAGCATTTGTTAGCCAATGATGTCCTTTGGTATTCATCAAAGTTACCACAGCATGGAAGGCCTTTATATTCAGGTTTTGCCTAAGCGTTAGTTTATCTGCTTCTTGTGCTAACAGGGCTGTCACTGCCAGGGCCCTTAGACATGGGGGCCAGCCTTTGGAAACTTTGTCTAGTTGTTTTGAGAGATAGGCCACTGTCCTTGGCCAGGGCCCGACAGTCTGGGCTAAAACTCCAACTGCCATTTTTTCTCTTTCTGACACATAGAGTGTAAAGGGTTTTGTCAGGTCAGGTAGCCCCAGGGCTGAGGCCAACATGAGTTTTTCTTTTAACTCATGAAAAGTTCATTGCTGTTGGTTGTAATAGATGTAGTTCATCTAATCTACATATTTATTTACAGTTATCTACTAAAATGTTGACTTTAATCTTGCAGCTATTTGATTTCAAGCTTTAAAGTGATCTGGTATTCCCCATGGGAATCCAATTGCATCTAAATAGACGTGAGAGTCAAAAGACCCATAAGGGGCTTCTCTCGCTTTACAATGTCTTATTTTTCCTCCCTCTGGCTGATGAAATGCCAGGGTGAAAGGGATAGCCAATTGGACTGAAGTACAAGTGCCACTCCAGTTATTCAGCAGAGTGCCCAGTAAAGGTCCACCACAATACCACCACACATCTGCTCTGGGATGAATAAGGGCTGACTGATTGATAAGCTCTTGAAAATTCTTAAGTTCACTACATCCCTTCAGGTTTCCAAGGAACGCTAAGTTTCCTTCCTATTGTGAGAGACACGAAATGAACTTAGTGTTGGGAGATGGCAGCTGGATGGCCCTCGGGGGCTGAACTTCAGGGTGCCAGACTTTGGGATATAGCAGAGAGAGCTTGGCATGACTTATTACTCCAGGCTGTAGAATCCTGGAAAAGAGATACCATGCAGCCCACGGTCCACTGGAGGACCACCTTAGTGGAAAGGGGACTGTCTGGGCCTCTGGCCTGCCACGTGCACAAGCATAACAATTGCTTTTGTTTAACGTGCAAATGGAATATTTGATCCATTTTAACCAGGCATTTGCATCTTGGTATCTTGTCTTAACTGCCAAAGTTTGTTTTAAGTCTTTAACTTCTATGATCCTCTAGTAAAATGAATGTATGATTTTAGGAAATTACAAAAACCAGTTGGGTCAGTCCATCCTTGCTCTTTAGTGGTCAACAGAACGTTGGACCAACTATGGCATAAAAGTTCTACATTGGGGGGCAAGACTCCTGGTTGACACTGGAGTCTTTACCAAAGTTTCCCCCAATCAAATAGTCCTAATTTACTAATGCCCAGTCTGAGGAGAGTCAGGAGGGACAGAGGTACTTTTCTGAAGTAGAGAGCTGTCTTTGACTTGGCAAGTCCCCACAGGGTATAATAAGGCAAGCATTAAATGCAATAGTTTGAGGCAAAATTGACTTGGTTATGTTAATAACTAGATGGTCAGCAATAGAGTGAGGAAAGAAGAAAGAGTAATAGAATAGATAAAAGAGTTAAATTTTTCTCAGCTTTAGTTTGGTAGGGTTTTCCCCTGGGACTATGGCCCACGACTCTGGAGCGGGTGGAGCTTTCTTGACTGGTGTGATGAGTCCATCCTTTTTCCACTGTATGAACAGCAGTCTTGGTGGTTAGCAGCACAGGGTAGGGTCCTTCCTAGGCTGGCTCGAATTTCCTCTTTTTTTTTCACTTTTTGATGAGAATGTGATCTTCAGACTGGTGCTGGCTTACCAGAAATTGTAGGGGTGGCACATGTGTTAAAAGACTTTTAGTTTTGAGGGAAAGGAAAGTGGGAGATAAACCAAGTATATAATTTTTAAGAAATTGACCTTTTGTTTTAAATGTGGGGATGTCAGCAGTGGACTTTATAGTCCTTGGTGCCTTTCTACTGAGAAATTTCCTTTAGCACCTATTTTTTATTAGTTTTTAGACCAAAGAAGCCAAACAGCTTTTTATATTTGACGCTTCCTGTATGATTTTTATACCAGATAAGCTAAATGTCACCCTTATATTAGTGTGTTATTAATGTTAAACTTAGTTTTAATAAAACTTAGTAGGCATATTTATTTAATTTTTAATGTTAGATCATAAGGTAAGATTTTTATAGACTCTTTTTAACCTTTTATAATCTTTGTTAAAGAGCAGGTTAATGCTTTAAGAGAAACCCATTGTGTTTTTATTTTAATGTTCAGTTCACAGAAAAACTGGATGATACCCCTTTAACTTTAGCCAATATGTTTACACACAGAATTTCCTTTACAATTGACGTTTTAAAACTTGCTTAAACCTTCAAAACAATTTTTAAAAATCTTTTAATGTAGGTAAAAATCCACATTCTTATGCCTCCTTATAATGCTTTTACCAGAGGTGTATTTTACTTTTCTTATACACCTTGCACATAAACTGTTTTCTCAGTAGTTTTACATTCAGGAGGCCTAGTTACTTTTAAATTATACAACATTTCTTGCATCAATTCTTTTTTTATAACTCTTTTTCTTTCATGACTTTTGTAGACAATTCTTCAACATGCCTCAACTTTCTGACTTATTACAAACATTTCTTTCTTTAAACAACCAGTTAATTTATTTCAGGACAAGAATTTACTATATAAGATTCTTTTTACATAAATTCTGCCCCCGCTTTTTTCCCCCTTTTTTTGGGGGGATAACCATTCTTTTCCAAAGCAAACTTCCTTTATGTCTGTGGATTAGACTGTCTAAGGCTACAAGATTAGAAGTTACTATTATACATGTTATACTGTTAACTTTTAGCAAATTTTACTTTTGTTGAAAACCTTGTACGTTTGGGATTTCAATTATCCTTTGCTATTAGTAAGACTTTGTTTAGTCCAAATTAACTTAGAATTGGTATAGACGGCTTTTTCTTTTCCTTCCATTACCTGGGAGGAACCGTCTATCATCCAGTCCTGAAGGGAGTTCCTCCTAGGTCTGGTCAGACCTTTGTATGGCAATTAAGATTTAGATCCCCTGTTAGGAAACCTGCTGGGTTAAGGGAATTTTTAGTGGTTAATGTTAAATCATCTTTTTTTTTTTCCCTTAGGATACTTCTGAACTGGTGAGGTGTGCTCACAATGAGGTTTCCTCTAAAAGTTATTTTTCTACTTTCTTCTGTTAGCAAAGTAGTTGCCGCTACAGAGTGAATGCATTTGTGCCATCCGCAGATTACTAGGTTAAAGATTTTTGATAGGAAGTCTACAGGTTGTCAGTGGCCTCAGTGCTTTCGGGCTACGCACTTGTTTACACTTACAGCAAGGTGGTATTGGAGTGTTGTAGGGTCACAGAGAAGACCTTCAATTATCAATTATAGGTTTTAAATTTACCCTGTCTTTTAAAGGAATAGGGTACACTGTTTTTTTCTTAACTACTTGTATATCTCTTTCTTTCTGTCTTTGACTTTCTGTGTCTTTCTCTTTGACTTTCCTTTTGCCTCTGTATCTTTCTCTCTCTCTCTCTCTGCCTCTTTCTTTCTCTCTCTCTCTCCTTGACTCCCTCTTTGTCTCTCTGTCTCTTCCTCTCTCTCTCTCTGCTGGTCTTTCCTTGCCTCTGCCAGCTGCTTATGCTGCTGTTCTCTCAACCACTGTGAGTGGGTGGGGTCTAAAACCAGCTGTACCCAAGTGTCTATATACGGGAACTGGTCTGGGTGCCCTGGCTTACAAGTTACCTTGTGCCACACCTTTGAAACAAGGGACCTGTCCAGGCTTCCTTCTGATGGCCAACCCACCTCCAATACTGGCCAGTCTATTTCACACAAAGTTCTAGTTTTTCCTGGTGTCATAGTAACACTGTAATCTCCCTTAAATCCTTTCTTGAAATTTTTCAACATAGCTCCTAGTGGTCTTACTTTGTGCCTGGCCCATGCTTCCTGAAGACAAAACACCATGCTCACACTGCAAAACAAAAATGGGTAAAAAGGGCACACACACACTTTTGCAGTTTACACCAAACCAGAATCAAAACCAAAATCAGAGTGTCAGGAAATCCAAGCCGGGTCAAAACCAAAACCAAAGTATCAAGCAATCCAAGTCAAGTCAAAATCAAAAACCAAAGTGCTGGTACAGGCACACCATGGGTGATCAGGCCATGCTTCCACTTAAATGGAGTGGGCAAGTTCCAAAGACCAGTCTTACCAAGTTTTAGATGTCCGGACTCCAAGTGCCAGTTCCTTCATGGTGTTCAGCCACTGCATTGATCCTCCACAGGGGCCTGCTGTGCACTGCTCTGATGAGGCATTCCACTGGGGCAATTGCCTACCTGGGAGTGCTCTCAGGATCTGCTTC
Source organism: Homo sapiens (assembly GCF_000001405.40). NCBI lineage: Eukaryota > Metazoa > Chordata > Mammalia > Primates > Hominidae > Homo > Homo sapiens. Next base: position 60,186,021 of record NC_000011.10, on the reverse strand, counting down.
ACTCAAGCTGGCTGGAGTCCCCCTCAGGTATGCTCCACAGGGCAGGCCTAAGCCACCTAAGGAGCTGTCTCGACCATCCATTAATCACCTTGTTTCCTGGTCAGGGAACCAAGAAATGTAGCAGGACAAGCCACAGACAAAACCCCTCAGACACCGAGTTAAAGAAGGAAGGGCTTTATTCGGCCAGGAGCTTTGGCAAGACTCACATCTCTAAAAACCAAGCTCCCCAAGTGAGCAATTCCTGTCCCTTTTAAGGGCCTACAACTCTAAGGGGGTCCCCATGAGAGGGTCTTGATCAATTGAGCAAGCAGGGGGTATGTGACTGGGGGCTGCATGCACCAGTAATCAGAACAGAACAGAACAGGAAAGGGATTTTCACAGTGCTTTTCCATACAATGTCTGGAATCTATAGATAACATAACCGGTTAGGTCAGGGGTCAATCTTTAACGAGGCCCAAGGTGCAGCACAGGGCTGTCTGCCTGTAGATTTCATTTCTGCCTTTTAGTTTTTACTTCTTCTTTCTTTGGGGGCAGAAACTGTGCATAAGACAATATGAGGGGTGGTCTCCTCCCTTAGAGACAGAGCAAACATGGAACAGAAAGTAGGATGGTGGTTACTAGGGGCTAGGAATAGGAAGGAAAGGGGTGGTTGTTCAATGGGTATAGAGTTTCAGTTCTGCAAGATGAAAAAGTTCTAGAGGTCTGTTACACAACAATGTGAACAAAATTAATACTAGTGGTCTGTACACTAAAAAGTGGTTAAAATAATGAATTATATGTGTTTTGTACCACAATTTAAAATTTTAAAAATAAAAGTTGAGAAATTGATTTAAAGAAAATATTGTTCTGTTTCTAGCACACCTGCCTTTACACAGAACACACAAAAACCCTTTTGCTCCTAGGTCAGTAGCTCTCAACATGAATGTGAGGGGATTTTGTTCTCCCTCCATCAGGAGACATTTGACAATATCAGATACTGTTTCTGGTTGTTACACATAGGGTGGGATTGTGCTGGCATAGGCCAGGGAGTCTGCTAAGCATCCTACAGTGCACAGGATAGCCACCTACTGTAAAGAATTACCCAGTCCAAAGTGGCATTAGTAGCTTTTTTGAGAAACCTGTCCCAGATCATTAATCAGAACGTGTTATTGATATACCAGTCTTCTCCCTTGTAGTTAGGTTGGTAGAATTCAGACTCTGGAAAAAACTGGGAATGTAAAAGGCTGAATGAGTGTAAGCTGAAAGACAAGAGAAAGGAGAATTGTTTTAAGCTTACTAAAGCCAAAATGGAAAAAAAAAGAGGGGGGAGGATTGGGGGGTGAGGAAGACAGTCAACAGACCGCTTTTAGGCCATCATTCCGAAGGGTTCTGTGCTAGGAACCTTACACGTGTTGTCTCACATAATCCTTAAAACTCAGAAATGATTTTAAATTAAATAGCACAGAGAGGAAAACTGACTGGAGAGGGAGCCTTTGCTTAGGTAGGCAACTTTAACTGGTTTATTAGCACATTCCCCTGAAGGGAAAGGGGGTGTGATTGCTCCTGAAGAGACCAAAGAGACTGGGCTCCTTTTTAATCAAAGCTCAGGAGGAGAGCTGCATTCCACTGTTTCACAGATGCTGTGAGGGTGACAAAGATGCAGGGCACCCACTGGAAACACAGACGGCACTCTGCGAAAGAGGAAGGGGCGCCAGGAGCTTGGGTGAGCAAGGTTGGAGGTGATTCTGCCCCTCTCCCCAGGCTTTCTGTGTGAGTCCATTCCTCCTCTCAGATTTATTGTTAGAACTTAAGACAAGCCAATTACATTTCATAATGTCTGTGTCATTCAGACGCTGAGAACTAATCCAGCCTTCTAAATGGTGCTTCTTAACTCCTTTCTTCAACAGGAGAGTTAATGTGTGGAATTAAGTGCAGAATCCATGGCCCTCTGTGGTGACGGTGATGGTTCAGGTTGTGTTTCTGGGTTCATTCTGGAAGCTCCCCCAAGGAAAGGAGGAAGGAAGCTTGCAGGGTGGGGCTTTGCCATTGCCCTGACTGGCTCTGGTTTCCTTGCCTGATACATTGAAGTCAGCTTCCAAAGAATGCCACCCAAGGTTTTGAAGGGGCACAGTGCCTCTGTCCTCACAAAACCAGCCTGCATATGAGTTTACTGAATTCATTTAGGTCCTGCTGAATCTTTCCCATTTGTTCCTTCTCTGTTTCAATATTTCAATGCTTCCCTGGAGGGGCCCAACCTTTCTGGAGGGCAAAGATCTGTTGTTAGAGAAAAAGAGCAGCCAGAGGAGGAAGATGACTTGAGGGTAGGCAGCAGTTGGGCAATCAGTATTGAAAGGTTGCTTTCAGCCTGCCAAGACTTGGGGAATTAGAAAAGCAAGATAAAACAAAACAAACAAACAAACTATATATATAAAAAACAATTTTTTAAAAGTTTTTTTATGTTCTATATTACTATTAGCTATATATTAATGAATGTTCCTTTAAAGCAGTGTAGTCATTATTGCTATTATTATTATTATGGTTAGTTATAGACAGTGGAATATTGTTCTTTCTCTATATTATGATTACTAGCACTATTACTGTTATTAGTTACATGTTATTGAAAGCTTCAAAGCAGCATAGGCTTTTTATAAATATTTTTGCTCATCTTTATGACAATTCTCCAGTGTTGGTATTGCTCCTCTATTTAACAGATTAGAAAACTGAAGCTTCAAGAACAGACTTGCCTAACAACAGGAAACTTGTATGTCTCGAAGTGGCAATTCACACATAAGGCTCCATGACTCCTGAACTCTCACAAATATTAGTTGGCTCTTTTCATGGTTTTACTGAAGTTGCTAGAAGTTTACAGAAAAGGAAGTGCAGGAACATTTCACAAATCTACAATCTGTGAGTATCACATCCTGTATAGCTGTAAACACTGGAATAAGGAAGGGCTGATGACTTTCAGAAGATGAAGGTAAGTAGAAACCGTTGATGGGACTGAGAAACCAGAGTTAAAACCTCTTTGGAGCTTCTGAGGACTCAGCTGGAACCAACGGGCACAGGTAGGTAATGCTGGAAGACTTTTCTCATCTCACTATTCCCTTGCCGTGACCTCATTAGAGGAGTAATTTAACTTGAAACTCCTTGACAGCAGTTAAGAGACACTAGGGCCTTTTGGAAATAGAGTGGGCAAATGGAAGGAGTATCTGTTTTTAACTCTGTGTCCGCTGTATTCTAATTGCATAAACTCAGTGAGTCACTTACCTAAGGTTGTGTAATTAATGGGAGCAGAGCTCTTGTCTCTTCAAATGTGTTTAGACCATTTGTAAACTGGGCGGTCTGTGCTTTGAGAATGGTGCCGTGAAAAGGGATCCAAGCTGAGCTTAGCAACAAATACCACAACCTACTTGGTCTTTATGCTAAAAAGTGGGGAGGACCAACGACGCGAGCCTATGTGTTATGAGTCCAAGACTTGTTCTCATACCACTGCATGCAGCTGTTTCTCCAGCCTGAGTAAACTCAGACACAGGCTGGCAATGCCAGGTGGGAAATTAGGAAGAGGTAGAATGATCTAGAGATTTATGCAAAGGCTTCAGACTCCAGGAAAGCTGAGATCCAAGACTGGTTTTACAGCTTCCCGGCTGTGTGAACCAGGGTGAACAATAAGGGTAACTGCAAATATTTCTTCAGCATTAACTCTGGGCCACACATATATGCAATAGGTATATTATTTGCATTCATAACTTAAACTTTATTTTGCATTTTCTTATTTATTACATGTTTTTACTAACTTACTAACATGCAGAGCTGTTGTAAGGATTAAAAGCACTGCAGGGTAAAAATTAAGAATGTGTCTGGTAAAATATGATAAACATATCTGAGTGCTAATAAATAGTATTATTAAACAAGAAATAAGTAAGCAGAGTTCATTTATTAGTCTGAAAATTCATCAAATATATGGCAATACAGTTGTTGTCAGTAGGACTAGAGGAAAGGGAGGTTGTTGCATATTGCAAATTTTGTGTGACCATTTGCCTCTGGACATTGAGACCTCTCAAGATTCATGTTGCTGCCACCCTGTGATGTGTTTATTATCTATAATGGACTGTGTCAAACATTATGGAAAAATCCTCATGAAACCAAGATTGTGTGGTTTTCACTGTTCCATACTATCAGTTTCTTTCTCTAATGGACAGGCCAAGCCTAGACTAATTGGCAAAGACTGAGTTACTGTTTTTGGAGTCAGAACCTGGGAGCTCTGTACTTTTTAAGAGCTAAATCTATTTTTTCTTACATAGTTGGCAACACCATCATGACATCACAACCTGTTCCCAATGAGACCATCATAGTGCTCCCATCAAATGTCATCAACTTCTCCCAAGCAGAGAAACCCGAACCCACCAACCAGGGGCAGGATAGCCTGAAGAAACATCTACACGCAGAAATCAAAGTTATTGGGGTAAATCTAATTCAGAACGTGTTGGAGAGGGGTTGGGGGAAGTGCCAAGAGATGATATATGTCTTGGGACTGGACATCTGTCGTGAGTGTGGAGACCCTAAAATTTTGCTAGAGGGACTTTAGGGTAGAAGCCACTTGGAGAAAACTGTCCCAGAACTTTTCCACAAGAGGTTGTCTTAAAAATATATTTTCCCTTATTCTGAATATGAGGAATTGATTTTCTATTGTTGTCTTTGTATTTTTACAATACAGTGCTTTTCTATATTTTCTTTTACAAAAGTAATGGTGGTAAATAATGACATATTGTGTGTATGTGTATATATTCCACAACTGCATGCTTAATAATCCAAACTGACTTTTTGCAAATAATTTTTCCCTCACTGCAAATTAGAGGAAATATACAACTCCTTTTCCTCTTTTCTCCTAACGTTTTTGAGAATGGAAATGATATTCACCTTTTGTTTGTCTGTTTCTCCTCTCACCCAGAATTTATTAAAGAAGCTGTATTGCATGAAGGGAGGAGAGAAAGAAGGGATCTATCTTGGATTGGGAGGGAAACACAGAGTTTTGGTTTCTAGAATTGCCTCTGCACTTATGTGATCTGAGGTGAGGCACTCTGTTTGACTGGATTTCAGGACCTGGTGGGACTGGTTTCCTTGCCTCATGTACAATCACATGGGTTTCTATGAGGCTCATGTGACATAAGGTCTAGAAAACTTTTTGGTAAATGATAATAGAGCTGTGAATCTCTGAGGTGGATGTCAGGAAGGAAAACTACCTCCTAAGACAGAGCTTCAGTTATACATGAGAACATGCAGTATTTGGTTTCTGTCCCTGTGTTAGTCTGCTAAGGGGGATGGCCTCTAAATGATGAGAACACATGGACACGTAGAACAGAACAATGCACACTGAGGCCTTTCAGAGGGTGGAGGGTGGGAGGAGAGAGAGGATCAGGAAAAATAACTAATGGATACTAGGCTTAATACCTGGGTGATGAAATAATCTGTACAGCAAACCCCCATGACACAAGTTTATCTATGTAACAGACATGCAGTTGTACCCTTGAACTTAAAATAAAAGCTAAAAATAAAAGAGCTTCCAGAGCTTCAGCTATAGGGTTGTGAACTGCAGTTTCCGAGGAAGTGACCAAAGGGGCAAACTCCATGTCCAGTGGAGTCTGGGAGATGAGGGGAGGGCCTTCTGCACTGCCAATACTGCAGAGAATGTGGGGGCTTTCAGATGTCCCCTGTTTTCAGAGAGATAGAAAGAGAGTTAACTAGTCATGGACTTAGAGGTCCTGAGAGCTGGGAAAGTAAATCTCAGCACTTGCTGTGAGCTGGAAGCAAGTCTCATGAGCAGACCAGGGCCTGAGAGGCAGAAATGCAGAAGCCTTCCTGAGCACCTGCCAGACACCTGAGACTGTGGCTTCTGTGGCAGAGCTGCACACCCTCCAGGATGTCTTTTCATATTTCTCACTCCAGAGTTTCCACAGGGTTTGTATCCTCATTAGGATCTTGCAGAAGGCGATAATGCATTAGTGCCATGGGAGCGGCAAAAAGGCCCTGTCTTTACAAATGCTGGTTTTCATCCTCAATCTCACTTTCTCTTCCCACAGACTATCCAGATCTTGTGTGGCATGATGGTATTGAGCTTGGGGATCATTTTGGCATCTGCTTCCTTCTCTCCAAATTTTACCCAAGTGACTTCTACACTGTTGAACTCTGCTTACCCATTCATAGGACCCTTTTTTGTGAGTAGAGTTTCTGAGGAGGGCAGGATGGGGCAAAGAGGGGAGGAAGATGCCAATAGCTTAGACTTCCCACCTGCCAGCTTGCTATGTTTGATCTGCCAGGAGCAAGGAGTCAACGGTGAATCTTGTTCTCCTGTCGGGTAGGATGACAGGGGTTGCTTGATTTTAGATCAATTTCTTATCAGACTCAAATAAACATTTCTTTTGAAGATCATCTTATTCTTCACATTATCATCTTGAGCTATGATGAAGCTAGTGACTTCTCTCCAGGTTTAGGCGAAAAAAAAATCCATGAATTAGGATAAAGTTGGGAAGGAACATTTTATACAAAAAAAAAAAAGAGCATAAATGGAAGACATCACACACTCACAGAGAAACCACACTGTTATCCCCCCCATGCTTGTGGGGATCATGGAGGAAGGAGAACTTACACCTCTGAGCATTTTGAAAATACTTTTACTGCATTGACTGATTCCCAGGTAAGGCTGAGCAGATATCTATGCCCAGTGATTGACAGGAAATTCCTCTGAAATAGCTGCAAGTCTGGAGTTTCAAAAGGACTTAGTAGTCCTTTCCTCAGAGAACTGCTTTCTCTAAGATGGGGGCTTTCTCATAGGTAAGTTTCCCTTTCATAGATGTTTTTTCCTTCAACTTCCTGCAATTCAGTAGCTATTTGTTTTTCTTACATTTGTGTATTTGATGCACCAAGAAGTCCACCTTTTTGTGTATCTTGTCCATTTTTCTTGTCTTATTAACTAAAGTTACACTTGGATTTGGATTTCATTGGTTTTCCCCAAATGACCTTTTTCTGTTCCAAGATCCATGCCAAGCTACTACATTACACTACATTACATTTTGTCATGATGTCTCCTCAGGGTCCTCTAGGCTGTCTAAGATTTTCCTTTTCCTTGAGAACTTTGATAGTTTTGGGTAGCGCTGGCTGAGATTTTTATAGAATGTTCCTAAATTTGGGTTTGTCTGATTTTTTTTTTTGATGTTTAGAGTATGGTGATGAATTTTTGGGTGGTGATGATGAGGTAAAGCACCATTTTCATCAAGTCGTATCAAGGGTCATGCTACCAACATAATGTCACTGACACAATTAACCTTGATTATGTGGTTGGGGTAGTATTTTCCAGATTTCTCCTCTGTAAAATTACTACTTTTTTTTTTAACCATTGCTTTTATGTCCTTCCCTAGAGAACATCTTACACCAAAACTGTCTCATTTTATTAAAAAAACAAAAATTATTTCCTGGCTTTTAAGGTCTTTTTTTGTTTAGTGGGATATTTTTTGTTTATTAGGATATATTTCTGCTATCTTTTTTTTTTCTGATGTTATCTGAATGTTATATGGACAAAGGGACAAATCTATGTATTTAAATGGAACTTACCTCATTGATCACTGGTTTCTCAGGGATTTTCCCATGAGAGTTGTCTATAAACATTGTGATAGTGACGTCGAAGGTACTCTGTACATGGAATCTGACCTGACCATTTTCTCTTTTATCTTAGTTTATCATCTCTGGCTCTCTATCAATCGCCACAGAGAAAAGGTTAACCAAGCTTTTGGTGAGTAAGAGAGCTATAACCCACAACCCAATGGATCAAAATAAAACTTAGACAGAACTCTTTAAGGCTAGTCTTTCTACTTTGAAAAGTTGAAAACTCAGTTCCAGAGCAGTTGGTTGTTGTTAGAATTAGGAGCTGGGCCTGGATCCTCTGTATCCTTGTTCAGAGAACATTTCTCCAATTATTGTACCCTACATCAAAGTCTGCATTCAGGGGATTATAATATTCCCTCTGCCCATGCCGAAGAATGTATCACAGAGAAATTGTGCCTGTTTATGAGGTTCTTTCGGTGATAACTGGCCTTCAAATTCAGGTTTTCAGTGGCAAGGAAGCTGACAGTGTTATAAAGCGGTCTATTGGTTGGGGTCCATTCTTTAAGCCCAGGTGTTACAACCCTTGAAAAAAAAATGAGTCAAAGTGTTGTTCATGTGAGGTATCCAAAGTAGACACAGAGGCTACTACAGTATACTACATTACATTTAGGCCTGATGTCTCCTCAGGTTCCTTTAGACTTTCTCAGATTTTCCTTTTCCTTGAGGACTTCAATAGTTTTGGGTAGTGCTGGCTGACTGTATCCTTTCATCTATCTCACCAGAAGTATAATACTTTTATTTTGTTTGAGTATAAATTCTTGCACCCTAAAAAGTTGTCCTTAGTCATTTGTATTGGCTAACAAAAAAACAAAACAACAACAACAAAAAACAAAGCTTTACCCGTCTTTATCCCTTATTCCAGCAAAAACTAGAGTTGGAAGTGGCAGGGAGACAAAGCCTGGATTATAGGGAGAATCTTCTCTTGTCTTTAAAGTTTCATTAAGTCTTCGCTCAATCCATTATCTCTCAAGGGGTTGATGTTGGAGATTATGTGAGAGAATGTCATACCATGCAATTGCACCGAGACTCAATTTGGAAGCTCTGGCTACAAAAATCTCCCAAAGCCAGCAAGGAAGTGAGAAACGGCATCCAGAAAAATGCCAATTCTTTTTCTCATCGGTATTTAGAGATTATTATTTGGAACCCTCAGTTAGACTCGGAACTACTAACTAGATCTGTGCTGTTTAATTTAACTTTCTTTGAGGATGGAAATGAAATGTAACTTTCTATGATGATAGAAATGAAATGTAACTTTCTATGATGATGGAAATGCACTACAGCTGTACTGTACAATATGGCAGTCACATGTGGCTATCGATGATGTGAAATATAGTGCAACTGAATAAAAATTTCTCTTAATTTTACTTTAAATATAGATAGTCTATGTGGCTATTGGCAACCATACTGAGTAGCCTGGCACAAGGGTAGTGCTTTCAAACTTTTAGGAGGAAATATATGGGCCTGTTACTCCAGAGAACAATCCCACAGTGAACATGCAGGAAGCTCAAGGATGCAGGATGTGGTCTCGGGGTGGGCTCAGACTTACCAGAGACATCGAGGCTTTAGCGAGTTCTACTCTTGTCACACATTGCACCAGCCCTTTTTGAGATTGAAGAAGAGTGCCATCTCAAGACAAATCTAGCTTATTCTAAGAAATATAGACTCTAGGCATCAAGAATACTACTGGCTACTAGGAGGCCCAGGAGTGTACACTTCAGTCATTATGTTGGGAAATTGGGGTCCCAGAGTATCAACTGGTGAGTTCCTAAAAGAAGAAGTGCCCATGTGGGATTAAGTAACATTCTACTGTATGGCTGTGAGGTGTGCCCTGGAGCCTACCTACCTGTAACTATAGCTCTCAGAGTACTCTTAGCTCAATTCTCTTTTCTGTGTGAGTTGGAGTACAAAAGAAGTCACTTCTGAGGTTAGTTTATCTATTCCCTTCACTTCATAAATGTATAAATGAGAACCAGAGTGGGAAATAAAATCAAGGAACTGATTACCCAAGGGAATAAACCAAGGCAAGTCTAGTACTGTGACTTCAATATTCTGACCTCCAGTTCAGACCTTTTTCTTGTACTTCCCGCTGCCTCCCACACATTACACCATCCTTGGGCCTGCACCTAGACCTCTGCCCACAGCCACCCCATACTGCACTCAGTGTGGCCAATCATATGCCTGCCCATGTTCCAGGGCCTGCCTGAGACTCAGAACCACCCCCTCACTCATCTTTGAGAGGTGTGCTTTTGAGAGAAGCAATGGGCAGGCGAGAGTGAGCTATTAGGTTGGTGCAAACATAATTGTGGTTTTATGGCAAAAACCACAATTACTTTTGCACCATGCTAATACATGATCTATCTTTTCCATGTGGCTGATGCTTCCGCCAGGGGTTTTTGAGTTGAGCGAGAGAGAAACTGCATCTGGTACGTTGCCACCTTCACTTTGGGTCACGCTCTCTTGGTAATGTTGCAGGTAAAGCCTCATGAAAGCCCTGCTATCTGTCCTGGGGAAAGAATTTAGGAGAGTAACATTCTCTACCACACCACTGAGGTCCTGCTTAAGGTGAACCAGTTCGTATAGTCATTCATTCAGCCAAGAATTACCCTGGAGATTGAGAGATTTTTGCTGGACACTGGAGAGGCATACAGCAATAAATGATCAATCCCAGACCTCCTGAGGGGACAGATAAGGGAATAACTTACAATTTAATGGCAAAGATGCATAACAGATTCATGAGTCATTAGCAATGATCCTTACCCAACATTTCTCTTTCAGGTGCATAGCAGCCTGGTTGGAAGCATTCTGAGTGCTCTGTCTGCCCTGGTGGGTTTCATTATCCTGTCTGTCAAACAGGCCACCTTAAATCCTGCCTCACTGCAGTGTGAGTTGGACAAAAATAATATACCAACAAGAAGTTATGTTTCTTACTTTTATCATGATTCACTTTATACCACGGACTGCTATACAGCCAAAGCCAGTCTGGCTGTAAGTATTTTTAGATGGGATGTTCTAATCTTATGAGGTATTCAAAAGCCTTGATTTCTTGTTATTCCTTCTTTTGAAAATCTCTCTATTGGTTCTGGTTTGGGCATCTGGGGGAAAGCCAGGTTTATGTAAATCAAAGGGGACTACAGGGATGAGATTAAGGGGATTACATACTAATAGAGTGGAATTGAAAATGTTAAATAAGGTTGATGATGAAAAACTAAAACTTACTGTTTGTAGAGGTTCTTAATTATCAAACTAATCCAATTTTGGAGGCATAAATTATGAGTTTATCAAAATGAGAATCTTGGTACATGGAGTGGTGAATTAAGAATGGAAACAGAGCAGAAAGACCCAGGAGATCAGAATAGGCCAACAAGGAAACAGTATGTGTGCATGGTAAGGAGTTAATTTGGTTTGAGAAGACATCAGATTCAGTACTAAGAAAAAGAGGATAGGAAATATGGGATGAGAAGATAAGGGCTTCTTCTTCTAATGATCACAATAATGAATAATACTGATCAGGTGAGAATGCAACATTATTGTTGCTTTTTGTTATAGCTGAAAGAAGTGTGATATATTAAATCAGGAGATAAGAAATATAGGGAGATGGAGAGTGTAATTGAGAATGATTGCAGGAGAATTCTATCTCTTTGGAAGAAGAAAAATAATGAAGTTTGGCTAATAGAAATAATATGTCTGAAGTTGAAAGATTAAGGGGCATGTGCATGGTCAGCAACACATTGAGAGAAAAACAGGCAACATAAGAGTAAAGGGACGGCTGGGTCAGTGGCTCACCCCTATAATACAAGCATTTTGGGAGGCCCTGGTGCATGGATCACGAGGTCAGGTGTTCAAGATGAGCCTGGCCATGACGGTGAAACCCCATCTCTACTAAAAGTACAAAAACTAGCTGGGTGTGGTGGCGGGCAGCCGTAATCCCAGCTACTTGGGAGGCTGAGGCGGAGAATTACCTGAGCCTGGGAGGTGGCGGAGGTTGCAGTGAGCTGAGATCACGCCACTGCACTCCAGCCTGGGTGACAGAGCAAGACTCCGTCTCAAAAAAAAAAAAAAAGGAATAAAGAAATTGCAGAATATTTGTTGTCCTGCAATCATAAAAACAAGATAAGCCAAGAACTCAGCTGGAAGATGGACAGATAGAAAGGTCTGGTCAAAGTCATGTTTGTATAGCACTCATTATAAAGAGGGCCTTGCTCCCAAGGTAATGGTATAATGAGAAAAAGTACAAGTAAATGAGGCTGACAGCAATTGGCACAGATTAATACCTGGCACAGCCAATTCCACCTTGGGAAAAATTCTGAAGAGAAATTTCAGAGAAATTTGGTAGTGATAAAGTATAAATTCATGATGGGACGATTTTACATTGGAAATAAGAGAGATTCTGTCAAGTTTGCTTGCTGGAACAATTTCCAGTAATGGAAAAAGTTATATCTTCTCTTTAACTGTGTATAAATACCACAAACCAAAGTTTCATGTGATCAAATTATTTCCGTTTATTATCAGATGGCCAGTTCTGCACAAAGAATGTCTCAGGACAGAAATGATAGAATTCATTCTTGTGAGTTGGTGTTGGTGATTAGCAACTCTGACAGTTTACTACCTTCACTGTTTTTTTCTAAGCCTTACAGTTACACCCCCAAAAAAAAGAAAAAAAAGAAAAAACAACAAAGAAACAACAACAAAAATCAAGAAGAAATACAAAGGGGTTCAGATACATAGACAGGGATGTCAATACTAAATTTTACAAAGGACTTGCACAGTCAAAACCTCCTTGATCCTTACAAATTTCTGAGAAAGAAATGTTAGTATGCATGTTTGATACATGAGGAAACAGGAGCTAGAGAAAGAGAGAGACTTGTCCAGGCTTACACAGCTACTAAGCAGTAAAGGTGAGACTGGAACGGAGCTGCTGATTCTCAGTCCTGGGAGTTATTACGCCACTCTGCTTTCTTACCGAGTGAACAATGTCATCAGAACTATGGATGTCTCAAAGAAGTAAGAAATAAGTGTATGAAGTAGATTAGTTGATTTAATTACTATTCATCTCCCTTTCTCCTCTCAAGGAAATGAGTTAAGGGGTTGAATTAAGACAATTGTGAGGTGTGGGAGGAGCAGTTTTATCTTCCTGATGGTGTCCTTTCTTCATTCTCTAATGGTTGAGGTGGTCTTCATCTCTATGGTCACCTCTCAACTAGGCATGAAGGCTTCAGCTGACCTAAGCAACATCAATCTTTTATTTCTTGACTTTCAGGGAACTCTCTCTCTGATGCTGATTTGCACTCTGCTGGAATTCTGCCTAGCTGTGCTCACTGCTGTGCTGCGGTGGAAACAGGCTTACTCTGACTTCCCTGGGGTGAGTGTGCTGGCCGGCTTCACTTAACCTTGCCTAGTGTATCTTATCCCTGCACTGTGTTGAGTATGTCACCAAGAGTGGTAGAAGGAACAATCAGTCAGTCATGAGATACACATGGGAGGGCATTTGCATTGTGATGGAAGACAGAGAAGAAAAGCAGATGGCAATTGAGTAGCTGATAAGCTGAAAATTCACTGGATATGAAAATAGTTAATCATGAGAAATCAACTGATTCAATCTTCCTATTTTGTCAGCGAAGGGAATGAGACTCTGGGAAGTTAAATGACTGGCCTGGCATTATGCTATGAGTTTGTGCCTTTGCTGAGGACACTAGAACCTGGCTTGCCTCCCTTATAAGCAGAAACAATTTCTGCCACAACCACTAGTCTCTTTAATAGTATTGACTTGGTAAAGGGCATTTACACACGTAACTGGATCCAGTGAATGTCTTATGCTCTGCATTTGCCCCTGGTGATCTTAAAATTCGTTTGCCTTTTTAAAGCTATATTAAAAATGTATTGTTGAATCAAACCCCTATGGACTTATGGCTTTATTTAACTGAATTAAAAAGCCTTGATTTATCCAAAATTGTATTATAGAGTGTAGAATGAATACTAGGGTGATAAATTGCAATTATTTGAAGAACCTGGTGATATGCTCTACTTATCTTGGATTAGCTAAGAATTCTATGTATACAGTTGGAAAAATGGCATATATACATCTATCTTGAACCTGATTGAAGTCTGAAGACCTAACATATTTTGTTTCTTCTAGAGTGTACTTTTCCTGCCTCACAGTTACATTGGTAATTCTGGCATGTCCTCAAAAATGACTCATGACTGTGGATATGAAGAACTATTGACTTCTTAAGAAAAAAGGGAGAAATATTAATCAGAAAGTTGATTCTTATGATAATATGGAAAAGTTAACCATTATAGAAAAGCAAAGCTTGAGTTTCCTAAATGTAAGCTTTTAAAGTAATGAACATTAAAAAAAACCATTATTTCACTGTCATTTAAGATATGTGTTCATTGGGGATCTCTTGATTTGCCTGACATTGACTTCAGCAAAAGCACGGGGCTGTAAATTACCATTTACTAGATTAGCCAAATAGTCTGAATTTCCAGAAAACAAGGCAGAATGATCATTCCCAGAAACATTTCCCAGAAAATGTTTCCCAGAAAACTAGACAGAATGATCATTCAATGGATCACAGTGAAGCAAAGGACACAACTTTTTATTGTACCCCTTAATTGTCAACAGGAGTTAACTGATTTGTTGTGGTGCTCAGACTTTTTTATACAGGTGCTAGTGTTTTATCCTATGTATTTTAACTCATTAGTGCATAAAGGCAAGCCCCATATAATGAAGTCTCAGGGTATATGAAAGTAGCTGGCTTCAAAATAAAATTTTTGAGTGCATATTTTGTTTTAACACTCGTTTTGTTGTTTTTTCCCTTAAACACAGAATAAGTCAACAATGACAGACATAAACCCAAATTGGAACTCCATTTTCTCCCCATCAAATATTCAAACAAAACTAATGAGCAAACAAAAGCTAACCAGGAATACTCATTTTTTATGAAGCATCGACCAGTTCATACTTATTTTCTTATTGCAAGAAAGACCAATTGTTTGTGTATAAATATTAAGTTTCAGCATGTGTGTACACACACACACGTAGAAAAGTATTTCAATTTTACATGAGCTCCATTTCATTGAAAGAACTGGTCATGTTTCCCTTGCTTTTACCCACTGTAGCAGGGGTCATACCCACTGTATCAGATATCCTGATACTCAGCTTTTCTGCTGTTTTCTTTTCCAGGCTGAAACTGGACTGTCAGATTCTTTGATTTTAGCTTTATCTTCAAACTCTCGTTCATTATGTCTTCTCCCTGTCCATTGCACCCCCCACTGACACACACCATTTCTTTTATTTATTTACCTACTGTGGACATTCAACTTTTATTGACGCTTATTGGATACCAGACACTATGTCAAATAAGAGAAACAGAGATGACAGTGAAATTAGGGATATATACAGGGCACTAACTATTATTTGAACACAGAATAAAGCATACCTTCTTCTGCCTAAAAGAATGTAGGGGATAAACAGGTGTGTGTGTGTGTGTGTTTGTGTGTGTGTATGTGTATGTGTGAGAGAGAGTCCTTCTTTTGAAAATCCACATCCCCCATATCAATCACATGGTGCCACCTTCTGCCACAGGAGAGGACTATGACTCAGAGTCCACAATTGGTGTATTCATCTACTGTACTCACACTCCAGCTTTGTTCCTCACCCCCTGCCACCATGTCTTCACCACCACCACAGCACTCTGGATACCAGAAGTCTTACTGATTACCCAGTCAAACTTCTGGTCTTCAAAGTTCCCCCCGGGTCTCTCTTCAGCTTTGACTTGTTTATCAGAGAAGGCATCCAGCCCTTTAGGCAACACTCAAAGCCACTTTTTATCCTAGGCTCAACCTCACTGCCATGTCATCCACTGATATCTTTTCTTTCAAGTAGCAATGCCCCTTCAGCCCAAGTCAAGTGAGAATGATGCCTACCTTGAGATAGAAGATGTATTGAGATAACCTTTGTAAAGCAGTTACCAATATAGCTGACACATGAAAGATGCTCAGTGAACTCGAGTTTTATTGTGTGTTTACTTCCCTTTGCTTTCACTTCCATAGTCCAACTTTCCTTCCCCTTCCACTTCCACCCTCTATGTCTAAAATTAACTTCAACCCCAATACATCGCTGGGATTTGGAACCTGATTATACTCATGAAATCTTTCATTTCTTCAAGAAAGTCTGGGCCAGGCACAGTGGCTCTTGCCTGTAACCCCAGCACTTTGGGCGGTTGAGGCGGGCAGATTGCTTGAGTTCAGGAGTTTGAGACAAGCCTGGAGACCATGACCAAACCCTATCTCTATAAAAAAAAAAAAAAAAAATTAGCCAGGTGTGGTGACACATGCCTGTAGTCCCAGCTACTCAAGAGGCTGAGGCAGGAAAATCACCTGAAACTGAGAGGTTGAGGCTCATTGAGCCATGATCTTGCCACTGCACTCTAGCTTGGTGGACAGAGCAAGACCTTGAAAAAACAAAAAAAAAGGAAAGAGAGGAAAAAAAAGAGAGAAAGAAAGTTGTAGAATGCTCTAAATAGGATGACTCAGACTGTGTAGGAAACATGTTTTCTCTTCCCTTTGCAGGAGAAAGATTTTAGAATTATTGGCCTTTCCCAATTTCTGCACAGTTGACTCTACTGACACCTTATGGTGATAACGAGGAACAACTTTTCTCCCAAGAGAAATAGAAAAAGGCAAAACAAGGTATCTGGAATTCACTGGAGGTATCTAACTTGACCACAGGAAATCACACTTGCTACCTTTGTCCTTTACAGTGTCTCCACATGTCATCAGTGAGGGGAAACTATGCATTTTTCAAAAGTTATTTATTATTGTAAGGAAAGTGGCTGTGCTTCAGTCAGGAGTAGGCCAAGGTAAACATCCGGTATGGTATGACACAGCGGGTTTGGAGCGCAGGTGCACAACCCCATGCATTATGTAACCATTTACTATAATCTGTTTGTGTGAGCTCATACCTGGCTTTGAGCCACTCTGTCTGTGAGTAATATAACTGCACTGCTGACTCTGTAGGACAGGAGAGAGAATAAAGCCACGTTCCAACTGCCTACAATCCAAGTGTTCTTTCAGCTACCCACCACGTGTCCACCAGCTCCCTTCAGAACCCAGCTCAGGTTGGAACCTGTCAATTGGCATAGTCAGTAGGATCCCAAGATGAGTGAGCCCTTGGCCTCAATGATCCCAGGTCAGCCATGTGGCCCCAGCATGTGTTGTGGTACCTGATGGTAGCTGTGCTGCTAGGATGGGCCTTGGTGGAAACATGGGTGGTGGTGGACAGGTCTCCTGTGAGCATGGAGAAGGCACTGAAGTACCTGTAAGCACAGAGCAATGAGAGGACAATACCTTTGCTGGCATAGTTCAATGGGCGTTTTTGACTGTACTACGGTAAGTGCACACTCAGTCCCTGCAGGATGCAGCAAAGGTAGGGGACCTCCAGGCACAAACAGAAACCCAGAGGCCCAGACACACAGCTTGGAATGAGAATTAGAGTCTGCCATTAGTGTGGGCTTGGGCCCACCATCCCAGTCAGAGACTCCTGCTCAGTCTGATACTGAGGAAGAAGAACATCAGTTGCGAGTTTGCCCAGTGGTCCATCAGAAAATAGAGCAGGAACAGTCATTGGGGCCCCAGGGTTGGGCTTGGGGACCCCCTACCATGACAGAGCACATGTCTTACAGTGCCTATACCCCAATTATATTGTGGGAATTAGATAAACAGTGTCAGCAGTGCTTGGGGGAACCCCTACCTGCCTCGATGCCTCATCTTTGGGATGAGGGAGCCAACAGCATCGTCTGCTCTGCCTCTGAAATGGAGAAGTTGGCTTCCATTATGACTCATCCCTCCCTCCGTCAGTGATTGCAGGTGAGCAGGTGGTTAGCACAGGGCAAGGCGACCACACCCTAATTGAATGGCTGATGGTGGCCATTTGAACGATATGGAAAGATGCCAAAGAAATACCAGAAACTGTGAGTAAATGGCAGTCGTATCTAGATTTAGTGCATGTAATTTGGGAGATGGGTGTGTGGCAGGCTGT
Organism: Homo sapiens; assembly: GCF_000001405.40. Taxonomy (NCBI): domain Eukaryota; kingdom Metazoa; phylum Chordata; class Mammalia; order Primates; family Hominidae; genus Homo; species Homo sapiens. Next base: position 60,168,347 of record NC_000011.10, on the reverse strand, counting down.
TCCATCTGACTACCCAAGGGCCAAATGATGAACACTTTACCTCCCACATGAGGGACTTTGTGTTGGGCTCTGTGCCCCTGAGTGCCTTTGGTTCCCTGGCCACTGTCCTCACTCTATGTGGGGTGCTGCATACATAAGGTGACTACTTCCATGGCGGCCCTCAGGGAAGCAGAGGGCTGTAGGTGAGACCAGAGAGTCTGTGCCATAAAAAAGGGGAAAGTTTCCCTACTCCAGGGGGCTACCTCTTGGGACAAAATGCATCCCCAGTAGGTGACCTGCACACAGATGTAGATTGATTTGATTTTGGCTGGGGTTGCGTGAAAGAAAATTGATAAGCAACTCCATGAAGTACTGTTAACTTTGTGGAGGCAATTGTCCCCAGAGCAGCAATTCTGGAAAATGCCTAAGAGGGAGAAGGATGATGCATCCTGCAGGGACTGAGTGTCCCACCCAGACACTCCAGCTCAAGGACTACTAGAAGATGGGTGGAGGTATAAAGCCTTTTTTTTTTTTTTCGAGAGAGACGGAGTCTCACTCTGTCACCCAGGCTGGAGTGCAATGGCGTGATCTTGGCTCACTGCAAGCTCTGCCTCCCGGGTTCACACCATTCTCCTTCCTCAGCCTCCCGAGTAGCTGGGACTACAGGCATCTGCCACTGCGCCCAGCTAATTTTTTGTATTTTTAGTAGAGACGGGGTTTCACCGTGTTAGCCAGGATGGTCTCAATCTCCTGACCTCGTGATCCGCCCATCTCAGCCTCCCAAAGTGCTGGGATAACAGGCGTGAGCCACCACGCCCAGGCTGTTCTTGATTATTTAAAAAATTTAATATCTCAATACCAATTATACTATTTACTGTACATTTAAAATACATTTTCTTATTGCTTTCAGAAGTTTAATTTTATTATTTTTGGTAGGGTTTATTTCTGGGATGTGAAATTGGTTCAACATATACAAATCAATAAATATGATTCACCACATAAACAGAATTAAAAGCAAAAACCATATGACATCTCAATAGATGCAGAAAAAGGTTTTTGATAAAATTCACCATCCTTCATGTTAAAAATCCCTCAACAAATTAGGCATCAAAGGAACATAACTCAAAATAATAAGAGCCATCTATGACAAACCCACAGCCAACAGCCAGCATCATACTGAACTGGCAAAAGCAGGCAGCATTCCCCCTGAGAACTGGAAAAAGGCATGGATGATTATTCTCATCACTTCTATTCAGCATAGTACTGGAAGTTCTAGCCAGAGCAGTCAGGCAAGAGAAAGAAATAAAAGGCATCCAAATAGAAAGAGAGGAAGGAAGTCAAATTGTCTCTCTTCACAGACAACGTGATTCTATACTTATAAAATCCTAAAGACTCCAGCAAAAGGCTCCTAGAAATCATTAACAACTTCAGTAAAGTTTCAAGATACAAAATCAATGTAGAACCATTACTAGCATTTCTATATACCAATAATGTTCAAGCTGAAAGCCAAATTAAGAATGCAATCTCATTTACAATGCTACAAAAAGCATAACATACCAAGAGTAGAGCTAACCAAGTAGGTGAAAGATCTTTACAATAAGAACTACAAAACACTGCTGAAAGAAATCAGAGACGACATGAACAAATGAAAAAACAGTTCATGCTCATGGATAGAAATAATCAATATTGTTAAAATGGCCATACTTCTCCATGAATTTCTTTAAAAAATTGTATATATCGATTTTTATCAAAAGCTTTGTCTGCATACCTCTGTTGAGATTAACAAAGTCTTTTTTTCTTATTTGATGTGTTTCTGCAGTAAGTGATTTTCGAAGATTTTCTATTGTCAAATTATATATGAATAACTGGAATGAGTTCAATTTGGCCATGACCAAATGCTTTAAAAATACATCTTCCTATTCTATTTGCCACTTTTATTTTTCAGTTTCTTACATCTATATATATGAGGGAGAGTGATTTATAATTTCTCATTATCACACTGCTTATATTAGTTTTCTATTGTGCCTGTAACAAATTACCACAAGCTTTGTGACTTAAAACAATACAATTTTATCTTAGAGTTCTGTGGGTCAGGATACAACACTGGTCTCACTGGGCTAAAAATCAAGTTATCTACAGAACTACTTTCCTCTCTGGAGCTTCTAGGGAAAAAAATCCATGACCTTGCCTTTTCTAGCTCCTTGAGGCTGTCTCATTCATTGACTCATGGGCTTTTTCAAGGCTGGCAGTGGCAGATCATGTCCTTCTCATGTTGCACCTCTGACTATTCTTCTATCCTCAATTCTCTCTTAGACTTACCTGGGAAAGGTTCTCCACTTATAAGGACTCTTATTATTACATTAGAATTGCCATAATTCTCCAGGATAAACTCTGTGTTAAGATCAACTGCTTAGCAAACTTGATTCTATCTGTAACTTTTAAAATCATTTGCCAGATATCATAGCATACTCTCAGATTCCAGGGAGTAGGATGTGGATAACTTTGGGTACTATTATTCTTGGTAACATACTGCCTTTTTTGATGTTGTTATTGCAGAAAATAGAAGAAAAATAACAACTGTGTCCTGGCCGACACTGGCTGGGAGCTCATTGTCAGTAGACATGTGGTGAGGCAATGAGTCATAACCAACGTGGGTTTCTTTTTGTCCCATGAAAGATTTGGTGTGACATGAGCTGATGAAAAAGAACTTAATTCAAGTAATAAATTTATTTCTATTTTCACAAATTTGGAAGTTTTAAAATGGTACCCTGTTTCCTGGTTCCTTGAGAAGTTGTGGGGTTGAAAGGTGGGAAATCAAATGCATAATCAGCATCAGCATTACATTAAAGAGTACACGTGCAGGTTTGTTACATGGGTACATTACATGATGCTGAGGCTTGAGGTCCCAAAAATCCCATCACCCAGGCAGTAAGCATAGTACCCAACAGGGGCTCTTCAACCTGTTCCCCTCTCCCTCCCTTCCCCATCGAGTGAGTGGTCCTCAATGTCTATTGTTCCCATCTTTACATTCATATGTATTCAATATTTAGCTCCCACTTGCTAGTGAAAACAATGCAGTATTTGGTTTTCTGTTCTTCCGTTCATTTGCTTAGGATAATGGCCTCCAGTTCCATCCATGTTGCTGCCAAGGACAAGCTTTCATTGTTTTTTATGATCGCATAGTATTCCATGTTTTATATGTACCACAATTCCTTTATCCAATCCACCATGGACAGGCCCCTAGGTTGATTCCATGTCTTTGCTATCATGAGTAGCACTGCAATGAACATATGTGTGCATGTGTCTTTTTGATAGAATGAATTATTTTCCTTTGGGAAAACCCAGTAACAGGATTGCTGAGTCAAATGGTAGTTGTGTTTTTAGGTCTTCTAGGAATCACCACACTGCTTTCCACAGTGGCTGAACCAGTTTCCATTCCCACCAACAGTGTGTAAGTGTTCTCTTTTCTCCACAGCCTTGTCGGCATCTGTTGTTCTGTGACTTTTTAGTGATAGCCTTTATGACTGGTGTAAGATGGTATCTTATTGTGGTTTTGATTTGCATTTCTCTGATGATTCATGATGTTGAACATTTTTTCATATTTGTTGGTTGCTTGTATGTCTTCTTTTGAAAAGTGTCTGTGCATGTCCTTTTCCCATTTTTAATTGGATTTTTTTTTTTTTTTTTTTTTTGGTTTTTGCTTAAGATCCTTGTAGAAGCTGGATATTAGACCTTTGGCAGATGTATAGTTTGTGAGTACTTTTTCTCATTCTTAGGCTCTCTGTTTACTGGTAATTTCTTTTTTTGTTTTTTTTTTTTTTTTTTTTGAGACAGACCCAGGCTGGAGTGCAGTGGCACGATGTCCGCTCACTGCGAGCTCTGCCTCCTGGGTTTGCACCATTCTCCTGCCTCAGCCTCCTGAGTAGCTGGGACCACAGGTGCCCGCCACCATGCCCGGCTAACTTGTTTTTGTATTTTTAGTAGAGACGGGTTTTTTTTTTCTGGAAATACACATAAAAATCTAGAAATATAACACATTATAGAAATACCACAAGACCACATATCTGAGGGGAAATTAGAACCCTCTGTGGGGTTACTGTGCTGAGTTACACCCTAACAAATCTATCCCCAAAGACACCTTATAAGAGTGAACAGGACTTGCTAACCTAAATAGGTGTAGAGCTAGCACTACTCCAGGGAAGTGGAAATAGCAGCAAGTCAGCCAGGAAAAACAATAGAGGTGTAAATGAAGGGAATAATTAGGACACTAGAGCATAACCATCATCAACACTTGCCTTGTATCCTCATTTCGGAAGAACTGCTGAATGCTGGATATGAAAGCTAATGTCTTTGAGAGTCAGTGGACAAGTCTGTAACAGGGACATGCATCTATGCAAAAGCGACAGTGAGACTAACTCACGGAAGGGTATTGTGGAAAGTGGTGTCTTTACCATTGTTCTTTAATGGTCTGGTCCATGTGCCATGGATAACTAGTTTTCCTTGTGTTGCATCTAGCTGGGACTGGACAGAGAAACAACATCATATTGTATCCATGGAGATAGTTGAAAGTGCTGTAAAATGACATCCTGCAGTTGTTTTGTTTTGTTTTTGGTAAAAGCCTATCTAGTGATATCTGGGAGATATATACATATATATATACACACACACACACACATATAAAGATACACATATATATGTATATATACACATGCATGCTCACACACACACACACACACACACACACATATATATATCCAGGTATAAAGTGACATCTGTAATTTACCAATGAGTGGCCTCCAGTCACCACACTTAATTGGGAACATGTTTTCCATGGCAAAAACACAATTCTGTTGCAAAGAAAGAGAAAATTATGCTGTAATTTAACCAATTACACACACAATAGTGTAATGAACATTATGTTAATATCTTTGACTCTGAAATGGGATATCCAAGAGTTTTCTGGTTGATCGACAGAACCAGATGAAAACCAGTTTCTCCCCTGGAATGAGAAAATATATGAGGAGGCTGATATAAAGGCCCAAAAGATATTTTTGTCCAGAAACAAAATGAGAATTTTGCCTTACAAAATTAAACTTGGAAGTAAATGTTTCTATTATCATGTGTCTTGAACATCCAAATAAGTGCTTACAATGGAGAAAAAAATCAGTAAGTTAAAAGACACATATATATGTATATAGATATGTGCATATATATGTAAACATACATATGTGTATAGATATTCACCTATGTAAATTCTTGTGGAGGAATCATAGAATTAACATGATTTGTAGAGGGAATTTAGAGTCCAAGTTGAATTGTTTAAATGTTAATGGATGTCAGGATGTTATTAGGCTTATTGTTTTGTTTCAAATATTACAAAATATTTTATAAGAAAAATCCTGAAAAGATTTTAAGAAGTCCTTGGCAAAAAAAAAAGAAAAAGAAAAAGAAAAAAATACCAAGATGAGAGAGTGGATTGGGAAAGTGTTAGTAGCAAACTGATTTTTGTTTGTTTGTTTACATGATGTCAATCTTTTGGTTCTATGAAACATTTTTCCTACTGCCTTAAATATGATACACAATAAATTAACATTTGCCAACAATATGGTATTTTTCTTGAATTTTTGGAAACTTCTGAAGCATTCACTAAGGAGTTACCATTTTACAAGGATGAGAAAATAGAGCAGTCCAGTTACTGTGGCATAAGAAAAGACTTTGTCATACCTGGGGTTACAAGTCTAATGAAATCACATGAACCGGGAGGAGAGTTTTTCAAAAAAACAGAAGTAATAGTCGGGAAAGTATATTAAATAATTACAACTGTTATGTGATAAGATACACAATAAGGATTTTATAAAATACAATATTATTAAATAAAATCATGTTTTTAAGAAGATCCCTAATTCAGAAGCACTCATAATTTATAGTTAGTTTTTATTACATGAAGCCAGAGAAACATGAGTCCTATTAACAGTGAATCTGGCAAGCGAGACATGCATACTATTCAGGAGACACGGCAATGGAGGGGAGCTAGCATTGACAATGTGCTCTTACATTGATACTGTGTTAGCATGTGAGAAGTGAAGTTAGATTATTATATCAGGGATATATTACAAAACTTAAAAACATTGCAGATACCTATCTGGCAAGGAGAGTGAGATAAATCACAGGAAACTAGTGGCCCATGGGTCTAAGACAAAGTTTCATCACAAATTACACATCAGACAGGTATTCATCCTCTTTGAGGACTGTGAATTAGAGTCCACACACCAGAAAGGACAATAACTTCCATTGGTGTGCCCTGAAGAGATGCAAAGGTAGGAAGAGACCGTGCCTTATAGTAGTCCCATGTTTGATCTTACAAGGAGTCTAAGTGGAGATGATGTGAACGCCAGGCCTGTGGGGGTCACTGTAAACTGAGCTACAGGAAACTTGGGTATGGAAAAATATTGCCTGAAATTTTGCTGCAAATAGTCAGTTCTCTTTCTTTCTGGAATCTGAGCAGGAAGGTAAATGTCCAAATTTCGTTCATCAAGGCTTAGATACTTTGCATAAGGTCAGTAACACTGTGTTCCCTTGCCGAGGATTAGGCAGCTATAGTTCAGTGCAGATTTGTCCTAGCTGACTGCCTGGGTCAATACGAGAATGAGGATGTAAGTAAAAAATCCAGCTCTGCCCTAATCAAAGTTGTGGAAATAAAATATTATGAATATTATTTGATTATTTCAATCAAATATCATTATATTATTATGATATTATTTTCCAGAGACACAAAATCTCTTGCCACTACATTTTGATATTGATCAAGGAAAATATTTAGAAGTGGCTCTCCACTAAGCGTTTTCTCTCCTGGTGCCAACAGCAATACCTGGACATCAGAGGCAGATGCAGTCAAGGGAAGGATCATAAACTTTCTTTGGAAAGAGACCATCTTACTACCAAGCCAGTCGGGGGCTTGGATCTTGCCCTAACAGCAACTGAAGGATTTGAGGCTTTTTCTGAAAAGGCAGCCCCAGGTCCTAGGGGTGAGTGAACACGAGACCAGAGCACAGGCTTAGGGGAAAAGCATCATTTCCTGAGACAGGACTGAGATTTCCTCAAGATATCCACATTTTCCAGGTCACTGAGTATGGTAGAAAACTATCTGAACCTTTCTGAACTAAACAAACCTTACAAATTGACAAAATGAAAAGGGACTGAATAAAGCTGTTCATTATTGGAAGGAAAAAAAACACAAAAATGTTATCATTACTTATGTATTAGGTTGGTGCAAAAGTCACTGCGGTTTTTGCCATTAAAAGTAATGGCAAATATATAAATAAATAATAGTAAGATTAATTGCAGTATCCTGTGTTGGACAAGAGAACAGACAATGCATACATTTTTATCTTCCTGCAAGATATCTCAAGTTTGGAGTCTCGGAGGTGGGGAAGGAATTAATGTGCAATGATGTTAGAAAGGCCTTCACCCTGAGAAGATGCACCTCCTCACAGGATGTTTTTTACTCTCCAGGAGGCTCAGATCCTGATTGGGCTGATGACACGATGCCTGCGTCTCACAATGGCGCTTTTTGTTTCAACTGTTTATGCAGTTGGAGTTCTCCATATAATTAATATGAACTATCATTTATGGGGATCCTTCTCAGTGAGTACTAGTCATTGTTCTACTACTTCTAATTTCAGGTATCTGCAAATGACTTCATCATTTTCTCTTGAAAATCTATGCATTAATTTTAAATACCAAACTTGGACAATTGTTTGGGTAAATAATATTGACAAAAGAGTGGGAGAAGGTAGGAGATTATTTTAGGAAAGGGAGTGCCGATGGAAGCTCTGAGTTGATTCTCTTTAATCAGTTCTTTCCGTCTGGAGCACTGTGGAAATAGCAGCAAATCAGCCAGGAAAAACAATAGAGGTATAAATGAATTGAATAATTAGTACACAGAAGCATAACCATCATCAACACTGGGTTTGTATCCTCATTTAGGAAGAACTGCTGAATGCTGGATATGAAAGCTAATGTCTTTGAGAGTCAGTGGACAAGTCTGTAACAGGGGCTTTGCTGCTGGAAGGAAAGCGACCAAGGGTCTGGTAAGTGTCTTTTGGTTAAGCCTGAGAGTTCTAGCAAGAGACATTTCCTGAGCTGCAAGGATAAGACACATCAAACCTGGCTGGTTCTCTAAAGAGGCTCCCTAGAAATGTTCTCATGTAATCCTAATAAATTTTTCCCCTGTGACACTTAGGCAAGAATGATAGACTTAGCTCTGTGCTATGACATTCCATGTGCAATACAATCCCTGCATTGGAGCCTGATGTAATCAAGGCTTCCTCTATACCAGATGCTTCCTCCCCCCCAACATTTTTTTTTCCAGAGTGGGAGCACTGTCCAAGTTGATATCCAAATTCAAATCAACTGAGTTAAATGTCATTTTGTGGACTCTCAGAGACAGAAAGAACACGAGACTGTATATTTCCAAAAATCTTTTTCTCTCCTTTTCAGATCCAAGGCAGCCTGGGGATGAATACAGTCAGTGCCACCACAGCAGGAACAGGCACAGTTCTGATGGCTGTGGAAGTAATATATATCTTTTTAAGAAGAATTTGTATCTCTACTTATAGCACATTTTTTTCTGTAGTAAGTACTGTTGCACTAATACAATAATATAAATAGGTTTTATATTCAGGAGGTTTCCTTGTGAATTCTCACCATGGAGCTAACTGGAGTCATTGGACTTATACATATTGGACTATCTCTTGAAATTTACAGGATTTGGGCTTTTGAACCATGCCAGGAATAACGTACCGAAAAAAAAATAACCTCTTCTCTCTGACCACTCTGATGTTGTGTGCTTGGACAATGGAAAATGTTGTAAGGACTCAGAGTCCAGGGAGCACTTCCCTCTTGATTTGAAACACTAGCTGAAGAGAAAACAGAAAACTGACAGCTGTAGCTACACCATAATTTCCAAGGATTCTGAGCAACAAGCTAAGATGACTGGGTCATATACATTCATTTTCCTCAATGGCATCCACAGTGAGTGAGAAGTTCAGGGAGTTAAATGCAGGCTGTTGTGAAATAAGAAGCAACTGGTTTTAAAGACTAAAAGATACTTCTAAGCCAAACAAAAGCAAAACAAAACAAACAAAATACTATGAGGTGTAGGGATGGCTAAAACAAACAAACAAAATCAGTTTAGACACTTTGTCTAATCTGCCACTCTTTTTAAATATACATATATATATTTATATATATACGTGTGTATATATATGTAATAATAGTATATCTATATCTATAGTATATCTTACTGTGGTAAGAATATTTAACATGAGATTAGCAACCTAAAGCATTTTTGTGTACAAGATATTATTGTTGACTATAGGTACAATAGTGTACACAGGATCTCCAGAGCTTACTCATCTTGCTTGACTGAAGCTTTATATCTGTTGATTAGCAACTCCCCACTTTTGCTATCCTCAGATCCTGGTAACCAGCATTTCAGCCTCTGATTCTATGAGTCACACTATTTTAGATACCTCGTATGATTGGAATCACGCAATATTTGTCTTTCTGTGACTGGTTTTTATCGTATGCATCATGGCCTCAAGGTTCATTTATGTTGCAGTATATTGCAGAATTTCCTTCTTTCTAAAGCCTTAAAAAGGCCTTTCTTCATTATTGGAAGAAAAAAAGCAAAAGCATTATTTATTTATGTATTAGGTTGGCATATACCACATTTTCATATTTTGGCTACCATGAATAGTGATTAAATGAACATAGGAGTGCTAATATCTCTTGGGGATCCTGATTTTACTGTTTTGGGATTAATACCCAGAAATGGGATTGTTGGATCATATGGGAGTTATTTAAGTTTTTGAAAAAAATTATATGTCTTTCCAGAGCGGCAGCACCATTTTACATTTCCACCAACAGTGTGCAAAGGTACCAACTTCTTTACAACCTCACCAACACTTGCTTTGTTCTATAGTTGCCAGCCTGACAGGTGTGAGATAATATTTTACTGCGGTTTTGATTTTCATTTACCTGATGGTTAGTGATTTCAGTACTTTCCCATATACCTGTTGGTATACTTAGATAAGTTTCCTACTTATCTAACTATAAGATAATTAGAAATAAGAAAATTAGAATTTTCCTATTTCTTCACAGGTTGTGTTTTTTGTACCAAATAACGAGAACGAACGATCTGTAGTCTCTCCTGAACATATCTATGATGATGTGGCATTTCCACAGATCCCAGTGGTTTGAGGTTTCCAAAACATTTGTCCTATTCTCACACTATTGGGTAATCACCATGTACAACTGTGAGACTATATATAGCTGACTATTTGGGAGTTTACACATTAAGAATCCTGTAATGACAAAATATAGTATAATAAAGACATCTTATTTTATAATGCTGATTATTGTTTTGATTCTGTACCATTCCTTTCTCCTACTTCTCCAAGAACCAGGACACAGAATATCATTTCAAAGTTATGAGACCCATAATAGAAATAAGTTGTTAGTTGGTTTGGGTTATTTTGGTTTGGTTATTTTTGTATCACTCCATGTCACAACAAGTATTTCAAAGGAGAAAAAGAAATCCATGTTGGTTGTTTCTCATCCCAACAACTCTATTTGTCCCACTTTTTAATATGTTCTTCCCCTATGACTGAAGTTACAGGATATTTCTACTGCCAATGAATCCTCAGCTGGAGTATAACCTGTTATTGTTTTCCATCTTCCTTGACAATATCCTTAGACAAGAATAATGTGGTATTTAGAATAATAGCCCCACAAAGATGTCCACATCCTGATCCCCAGAACCTTTGAATACATTATATGGCACATGGGTGTCAAAGGTTGCAGAATTAAGATTGGTAGACTCTGACTTTAAAATATGGAGATTATCCTGGATGCACTCCCATGTCCAGTATAATCACATGGATTCTTAACAGTGGAAAACCTTTTCTGCTTGTAGTCATAGTGAGTGATGTGACAATGGCAGAAGAGTTCTTCTCCTTCCTTGTGAGAAGGACTTAACTCAACATTGCTGGCTTTGAAGGGACCAAGAACTGTGATCAACCTCTGGAAGCTGAAAAATGCAAAGAGGTGGATTCGTCCTTGGATCCTTCAAAAAAGAACAATAAAAGTTCAATACAGGCAGGGAAATAATATGCATATCTCACTATGAATGAAGTGTAAGGGGCCAGAAGTAATTTTTCAAATAAAATTTTATAATATATGAAAAGAAAAAATATGACAATGTATCAAGATCAAGATGAACTCATTCCAGATATTCAAATATATTTTAACATTCTAATTTTTAAATACCACATTTACCACAGAAGCAGATTGTTTAAAGTTTAATAGTATAATAATCTCAATAGATGCATGACAACAAATCTTTGGAATGAAAAAGCAAGTATTCATAGTTTTAAAGCAAACTCTTAAAAATAAGGATAAAGGAAAACTTCCTAAGCTAACAAGAAAATTATTTTAAACCTACAGTGAATAACATTATTAGTGATAAAACCTGAAAAGTGTTACATTATTGTCAGCAACACAACAATTATACACACTTCCTACATTTATTCAGGATTATTCTGGGTCCTTTATGTAGTAAAGTAAGACAATTCATAATTAAATATAAATTGTTAGAGAAGAACCAAACTGTCATTAGTTGCAGATAATGAATTTTTTGTGTAGAAAATTTAAATGTATTTATAGAAAAAAATTAGATATAAAATGAGAATTTAGCAAGGAGGATGTATATGGAGGAAATATTAAAATCACTTGTATAACTGTATGACAATAAAAAAGTAGGACTACATGACTTAAAATAATTATATTGTCAATAGCAATAGATATATTAAGTGTCTTAGTCCCTTTTGTGTTTTTATCAAGGAATTCCTAAGGCTTGGCAACTTATAAAGAAATAAGGTGTATTTGGCTCATGCTTCCAAGGACTGGAAAGTTCAAGATTAGGCATCTGCATCTGGTGAGAGTCTCAGGCTGCTTGCACTCATTGTGGAAAGTGAAGAAGAGCTAGCATGCACAGAGATCACAAGGGAACAGTGGAAGCAAGGGGGAAGAGGCGCCAGACTCTTTTTAGAGAAAGTGGAGAAATACATTATGTTTGTTGACTGGAAGATTAGTTATTACAAAGCTATCTATGCTGTGATGAGATTGCAAGCCTTGCTGAAACCTAGATTTCAGCTTCTCAAAAGACCTAGTCAAGCCACGCCCAGACTTCCGAACCACAGGAAATGTGACATAATAAACATATTGTTTTAGACAACTAAGCTTGTGGTAAGTTTCTACAATAAAATTGCATGTGGAATTTTAGTTTTAAAAAATCACTTCACAAATGTTCCATTTTCTTTATTTTTAAAGAAACACCTGTTGTTCAAATTGTTGTTCCTTTAAAGGATTTCTCAATAGTGGCCTCTCCTATCCACCAGCCTGCACAAGTTGTTTCAACTAGTCAGAATGCTCCTCTGTGATATATTTCACAGAGGTAAAGCCCTATTTCTGGTGCATTTTCCTCCTTTTTATCTCTTTATTTTATAGGCTATTTTTATAAATTGTTTTTCCAGCTTTTATTTGTAACTATTCTTGGAATGAGTAGGATTTTATTGTTCTAGTTACTTATAGAATATTTCTTTAGAAAGTGTGTTTTTGCTGACATATTCTGGGCATTTTAAAAATTATTTAGGCAGTATGGCCATTTTCACGATATTGATTCTTCCTACCCATGAGCATGGAATGTTCTTCCATTTGTTTGTATCCTCTTTTATTTCATTGAGCAGTGGTTTGTAGTTCTCCTTGAAGAGGTCCTTCACATCCCTTGTAAGTTGGATTCCTAGGTATTTTATTCTCTTTGAAGCAATTGTGAATGGGAGTTCACTCATGATTTGGCTCTCTGTTTGTCTGTTATTGGTGTATAAGAATGCTTGTGATTTTTGTACATTGATTTTGTATCCTGAGACTTTGCTGAAGTTGCTGATCAGCTTAAGGAGATTTTGGTCTGAGACAATGGGGTTTTCTAGATATACAATCATGTCATCTGCAAACAGGGACAATTTGACTTCCTCTTTTCCTAATTGAATACCCTTTATTTCCTTCTCCTGCCTAATTGCCCTGGCCAGAACTTCCAACACTATGTTGAATAGGAGTGGTGAGAGGGGGCATCCTTGTCTTGTGCCAGTTTTCAAAGGGAATGCTTCCAGTTTTTGCCCATTCAGTATGATATTGGCTGTGGGTTTGTCATAGATAGCTCTTATTATTTTGAGATACGTCCCATCAATACCTAATTTACTGAGAGTTTTTAGCATGAAGTGTTGTTGAATTTTGTCAAAGGCCTTTTCTGCATCTATTGAGATAATCATGTGGTTTTTGTCTTTGGTTCTGTTTATATGATGGATTACATTTATTGATTTGCATATATTGAACCAGCCTTGCATCCCAGGGATGAAGCCCCCTTGATCATGGTGGATAAGCTTTTTGATGTGCTACTGGATTCGGTTTGCCAGTATTTTATTGAGGATTTTTGCATCAATGTTCATCAAGGATATTGGTCTAAAATTCTCTTTTTTGGTTGTGTCTCTGCCCGGCTTTGGTATCAGGATGATGCTGGCCTCATAAAATGAGTTAGGGAGGATTCCCTCTTTTTCTATTGATTGGAATAGTTTCAGAAGGAATGGTACCAGTTCCTCCTTGTACCTCTGGTAGAATTCAGCTGTGAATCCATCTGGTCCTGGACTCTTTTTGTTTGGTAAACTATTGATTATTGCCACAATTTCAGAGAAAATGGCCATACTGCCCAAGGTAATTGATAGAGTCGATGCCATCCCCATCAAGCTACCAATGCCTTTCTTCACAGAACTGGAAAAAACTACTTTAAAGTTCATATGGAACCAAAAAAGAGCCCGAATTGCCAAGTCAATCCTAAGCCAAAAGAACAAACCTGGAGGCATCATGCTACCTGACTTCAAACTATACTACAAGGCTACAGTAACCAAAACAGCATGGTACTGGTACCAAAACAGAGATATAGATCAATGGAACAGAACGGAGCCCTCAGAAATAACGCCGCATATCTACAACTATCTGATCTTTGACAAACCTGAGAAAAACAAGCAATGGGGAAAGGATTCCCTATTTAATAAATGGTGCTGGGAAAACTGGCTAGCCATATGTAGAAAGCTGAAACTGGATCCCTTCCTTACACCTTATACAAAAATCAATTCAAGATGGATTAAAGACTTAAACATTAGACCTAAAACCATAAAAACCTTAGAAGAAAACCTAGGCATTACCATTCAGGGCATAGGCATGGGCAAGGACTTCATGTCTAAAACACCAAAAGCAATGGCAACAGAAGCCAAAATTGACAAATGGGATCTCATTAAACTAAAGAGCTTCTGCACAGCAAAAGAAACTACCATCAGAGTGAACAGGCAACCTACAAAATGGGAGAAAATTTTCACGACCTACTCATCTGACAAAGGGCTAATATCCAGAATCTACAATGAACTCAAACAAATTTGCAAGAAAAAAACAAACAACCCCATCAAAAAGTGGGCAAAGGACATGAACAGACACTTCTCAAAAGAAGACATTTATGCAGCCAAAAGACACATGAAAAAATGCTCACCATCACTGGCCATCAGAGAAATGCAAATCAAAACCACAATGAGATACCATCTCACACCAGTTAGAATGGCGATCATTAAAAAGTCAGGAAACAACAGGTGCTGGAGAGGATGTGGAGAAATAGGAACACTTTTACACTGTTGGTGGGACTGTAAACTAGTTCAACCCTTGTGGAAGTCAGGGTGGCGATTCCTCAGGGATCTAGAACTAGAAATACCATTTGACCCAGCCATCCCATTACTGGGTATATAACCAAAGGACTATAAATCATGCTGCTATAAAGACACATGCACACGTATGTTTATTGTGGCACTATTTACAATAGCAAAGACTTGGAACCAACCCAAATGTCCAACAATGATAGACTGGATTCAGAAAATGTGGCACGTATACACCATGGAATACTATGCAGCCATAAAAAATGATGAGTTCATGTCCTTTGTAGGGACATGGATGAAACTGGAAATCATCATTCTCAGTAAACTATCACAAGAACAAAAAACCGAACACTGCATATTCTCACTCATAGGTGGGAACTGAACAATGAGAACACATGGACATAGGAAGGGGAACATCACACTCTGGGGACTGTTGTGGGGTGGGGGGAGGGGGGAGGGATAGCATTAGGAGATACACCTAATGCTAAATGATGAGTTAATGGGTGCAGCACACCAGCATGGCCCATGTATACATATGTAACAAAACTGCATGTTGTGCACATGTACCCTAAAACTTAAAGTATAATAATAATAAAATAAAATAAAATAATAAATAAATAAATAAATATTTACATGATTTAAAAAAAATAAAAATAAAAAATAAAAATAAAAATTATTTGGGCATCTTGACTTTGCTTCTCTCCTGCTAAATTTATTTTAATGTATTCTGATGCTGTTCTTTTTTCATATTGTTTTAGGAAGAAAAGGAGCCATTTGAATATGGAGTGCATTTTTTTGCATTTACCAACTACAATAAATGTATCTTTTTCAATTCCCCCATAATTGTTAGGATACATTAGAAACAGTTACCCTTTGACAAGTCTAGCATTCTAAGATACGTTCCTTCATAGTATTCTCTTGCTACTTTAATGCAGATTGGCCTTTGAGGTACCTGTCTTGAGCTGCCTACTTAGAGTTAAAACCAACATTTTAGAACTTGTCTAGTGATCTGGCCAGACTCAGTCACTCACATCTACAATCCTAGCACTTTGGGAGGCTGAGACATGTGAATTTCTTGAGCCCAGGAGTTCAAGACCAGCCTGGGCAACATGGAGAAACCCCGTCTCTACAAAAAATACAAAAATTACTGACCCTAACAAAAATGAGGCCCAGAATCAGGTGATATGATATTACAGGAATGGAGAAAAGAGAAACTGAAATCTCTACAGACAGTATGGGGCAGAAAAAAAAAATGAAGAAGTACTGGGTACTCATTTATTTGGAATTTTCCAAACTTTATAAAACCAGTACACTCACATGATCCAAGAAGCTTAATGAATCCAAGTATAAAATATGTGAAGAAAACTATATCAAAGCACATAAAAATAAAATTTCTCAAAACTAATGATCCAAAGAAAATCTTAAAAGTAGCCAGAAGGTGAAAACACATTTTACACACAGAGAATGACAGTAGATTTTTAAAATCAGAAACAATGTAAGTGACAATATACAATAGCAAAATTTCAAAATGCTGAGAAAAAAATTGTCATTGTAGAATTCCATCCCCAGTGAAAACATCTTTCAAAATGAAGACACAATAAAGATGGTTTTAGATACACAAACACTAAAGGAACCCATTACTAGAAGCCTTGCCTTACAAAAAGAAAATGCTAAAACTTTCAGAAGAGTACCAGACGCAAATGAGGAATGAAGGACACCATAAATGAAAACATCAGGAGAAAAACAAGAAGTTTTAATCATTTCTGTATATCTTTAAAAGATAAGTGACTCTTTAAACAAGAATAGTAACAATGTATTTTTACGATTAATACACATGTGTAAGTGATATGTAAGGCAACAAAAGCATCAAGTCCAGGAGGGTAGACATGGGAGTACCATTATAAGATTCTTAAACTACAGATAAAGTATTATAATACCAATTGATTATAGACTATGATAACTTAAACATGTACAATATAAACCTTAAAACACATGATAATAGCTTAACAAAGAGTTATAACTAATGAGCAAAAATAGAAGATAACATATGATCATAAAAATATGTAATTAGTCCAAAGAAGGCAGTAAATAGTGAAAAGGGGGACAAAAATGGTTAGGACAAATCTAAAGCAAATGGCAAGGTAAAAGATTTAAATATAGCCATGTAAGTAATCACAGTAAATGCAAATGACATAAACAACTCAGTTTAAAACCAGGGATTGACAGATTGGATTAAAGGAAATAAAAAGACCAAACTCTATGCTGCTTAAAAGAAATACACTTTAAGTACAAAGAGACAGATAGGTTTTGAGTAAAAGGAGAAAAAAAAAGATACAGTGTGAAATGAAAGTTGAAATGTCTGCAGTGATATCAAATTAGATTTCAGAACAAAGAGTATAACTAGGAATAAAGGAGATCTTCTTATTAGAAAAAATGTAACAAAATAGAAACTGAATTAATAACAATAATAATAATAATAATAATCTCCCCAAAAAGAAATCTCCAGGTCTGGATTATGTCACTGGAGAATTCTATCAAAAATTTAGTAAAGAATGAACACCAATATATGCAATATTTTCCAGGAAATTAAAGGCAAAGGAGAACCTCACAATAATTGTATAAAGCTAATATGACCCTGATAACAAAGCTAGTCACAGACAGTACAAAAAAACTGAACTTCAGACCAGTAGTCTTTATAAGTATACATGCAAATATTATTTTAAAGAAATAGAAGCAAATATTCTTAACAAAATATTCACAAATAGAATTCAGCAATAATAGTCCCCCTTATTCTTATGGGGTAGAAGTTTCAAGACCTCCAGTGGATGCTTGAAACCACAGATAGTACTAGATCCTATATACAATGGTTTTCATATACCTATAATAAACTTTAATTTTCAATTTAGACACAGTACAAGACTACAACAATAACTAAAAATAAAATAGAAATAATATAAATACATTTATAAATAAATTCAAATGTAGCAATTTAAAACTTATTAATTGTTCATATCTAGAATTTTCAATTTAACATATTCAGACTGCCATGGACCACAAGTGGTTGAAACCATGGGAAGTGAAACTGCTGAAAAGGGGGTTACTACTCTATACAAACAGAATTATACATGATGACCAAGTTGATTTATTTCAAAAATGCAAGGCTGGCTCAGTATTCAAAAATCAATCAGTAAAAACTATCATATTAATAACCTGAAGAAAAATGACAGGATTATATCAATTGGTGTACGAAGAAAGAATTTAACACAACTCCACACACATTTATGATTGAAAACCCTAAGAAAATTAAATGTAGGAGAGAACTTTCTCAACTTGATAAAGAGCATATACAGAATATCTACATCTAATATAATTAATTATGGAAGACTGATTTTTCCCTAAGATCAGAAACAAGACAAGGATGTCTACTTTCACCACTGCTCTTTAACTTAGTACTTGAACTTCTAGCTAGCACGATATGGCAAGAAAATGAAATAAAAGGCATATAAGTTGGAAAAAAGTAAATAAATAAAACTGTATTTACATATGAGATGATGGTCTATTTGGAAAATCTCAGGGAATCTACAAAAATATCCCTAGACTAAGTGAGTTAAGGGTGGTTGCAGGATACACAATTAAGATTTAAAACTGTATTCTTATATATGAACAATGAATATGTAAACAGAAATTAATAATAGCCAAGTGCAATTGTTCAAAAATACCTAAGTCTAAATCTAACAACATAAGCACAGTATGCTAAAAACTGCAAAATGCTGATTAAATAAATCAAATAAGTTTAAAATAAATAAAGAGACATTCAGTGTTCATAAATTAGAGCACCCAGCGTAGTAAAGATGTTGTCTCCCCCAAAAGATATAAATAAATTCAAATGTAGCAATTTAAAACTTATTAATTGTTCATATCTAGAATTTTCAATTTAATATATTCAGAGTGCCATGGACCACGAGTGGTCCAGTTTAATGCAATTTCTATCAAAGTCTCAGCAAAATTTTTGTAGCTATAGATAGGATTATTGAGAAATGTATGTGGAAATGAAAAGAATTAGAATATCTGAAACAAATTTTGAAAAAGAAGAAGAAAGTGGGCTGAATAACTCTACTGATTTCAATACATAAATACTTACAGTAATTAAAACTGGTTGGAGTTGGTGGAGCAATACGCATGTCAATGTCATATCTTTTGCCAACTTTTAAATTGGAATGTTGGTGTTTTACTGTTGAGTTGAGAATTCTTTATGTATTCCAGATACAGACTCTTGATGTTAGCTATTTGATAGATACATGGTTTGTGAACATTTTTTTCCCCAGTCTGTAGCTTCTCTTTCCATTCCCTTACCAGAATATTATTATCAGAGCATACATTGTTAATTTTTATAAAGTTCAATATATCATAAAATTTTATGGATTATATTTTTGATGTCTTATCTAAAAATTCCTCCAAAGCTCTATGACCCAAAGATTTTTACCTTGTCTTTTTCTAAAAGTTTTATGTTTTTACCTGTCACTTTAAATTCATGATTTACTTTGTGTTAATTTTTTAATAAAGTGCAAGATTTAGGCTAAGTTTCAATATTTTTCATACGGATATACAATTTCCCCAGCACCATTTGTTGAAAAAGACTATTCTTTCTTCATTGAATTGCTTTTGCACCTTTGTTAAAAATCAGCTGGCCAGGCCGGGCGCGGTGGCTCACGCCTGTAATCCCAGCACTTTGGGAGGCCGAGGCGGGCGGATCACGAGGTCAGGAGATCGAGACCTTCCTGGCTAACACGGTGAAACCCCGTCTCTACTAATTAGCCAGGTGTGGTGGCGGGCGCCTGTAGTCCCAGCTACTTGGGAGGTTGAAGCAGGAGAATGGCATGAATCCGGGAGGCAGAGCTTGCAATGAGCCAAGATCACGCCACTGCACTCCAGCCTGGGCAATACAGCGAGACTCCATCTCAAAAAAAAAAAAAAAAATCAGCTGGCCATACTTGTGTGGAACTCTATCTGGGTTCTTCATCATACACCGTTAATATGCTTATTGCCCCAACAACTCCAACCAGTGTTAATTACTATAAATATATATGTGTTGAAATCAGTAGAATTAGTCAGCCCACTTTCTTCTTTTTTTTTCATGTATAATTGTGAGGGAGTAACAAGGAGAATTTTGTGACAATGGAATGATGCTCAATATTGGTGATTGTTACACAAATCTATGCATATTATAAAATCTCATAAAACTATACATACATTTTATACCAATGTCAATTCTATAGATACATAAGATGTAACCATTGGAAGAAACAGATGAAGGACACATGACATCTTTTGTTCTACTTTAGCAACTTCCTGTGAATCTATAATCATTTGATATAAAAGTGGAAAAATGTAAAATAGATTTGAAGAGACACTTCAGTAAAGAAGATATACACATGATGAATAAGCACATGAAAAGATGCCGTTAGTCATTAGGAAAATGCAGATTAAAAACTACAATTAGGTGCTATGAAACATGAAGCAAAACGAAAAGAACTAACATGCTTTACCTATGAGAATCAGTATTGGCTTGACTCTAGATACTTTCACATCTGTCAGATGAATCATTTATTTCCAGAAACGTCTAACTTTTGGAGACTTCTTAGTTTTATTTAGGAGACTAGATTCGGTAGGGAGATCTGGGTCCATTACCATTTCTCCATGAATTCCCTATCCGTTGAAAAAATGTGCAGATACTGCATTTTTTTCTGACGTCTGAGAAGAGATCCTATTTTTTTTTTTTGCACATGAAAGTGTTTATTAATCAGGAACTTTTGAACTTTCTCCCTAGACCCTTATCCATTGGACTGTCTTCGGGCCTTTTTCTTTAACTTTTATTTTAAGTTCATGGGTACAAGTGCAGGTTTCTTATATAGATAAACTTGTGGCATTGGAACGTGCTGTACAGACTATTTCATCACCCAGGTATTAAGCCTAGTACCCATTAGTTATTTTTCCTGATCCTCTCCCTGCTCCCACCCTCCAACCTCTGAAAGCCCTCAGCAAAATGATCGTTGGGAATACTGGAAAGTTACCGAGACTATTTTTTAATACAGGCACTGTTGCGTTAAAATTCAAAGTAACGCTGGCTTTTTGTTGTTATTGTTTGCTTTGTTTTGTTTTGTGTTGGTGTTTTGTTTTATTTTTTTGAAATCCACTTCTTCTTCAAAAGCAGAACATATATTTTTGAATTGAGATTCAAACTCGTGTCATCATTTTGTTTAATGCAAAGTGGAGGGGACTCCAAAGGCCTGAGATGAAGCTTTAGGATACAAGTCTTGATACGACCATGAGGTGGAATCCCAGCCAACGGAATTCTGTTCTCTTTAACGGGGCCTTGTGATTGTACTGATGATGCTAAACTGCTTGCAACTTTCAATTACTTTTGCTCTCTGCACACTCACCTATACTGCAGATGGCAGTAAAATCAGTTGGGTGAGTAACAGTTGAGAGAATGAGGATGCAATTGATTATTTTATTTAGTAATCTTGCATATAATTTTTCAAATATTTGTTAAGAGGAAGAAAGGCACAGCTGTTGTTCGTGTATAGTTTTTGAGGACCACTCCTCAAACAGTATTTTGGTCATATTTGCCCTACATTTATAAACACCTAGGATACTCAGAAACTCTCAACGGTAACACCAAGTAATTCAATATTATTTGTTAATTGATTCATTAGTTGATTTAATATCTATTGAACACTTATTTGTTTGATACACTGTGCACATGGTAAGGATATGAAAGTAGGCCATTCACTTCAAAAAAACTCAAAGTAGGCTGGGCGCAGTAGCTCACACCTGTAATCCTAGCACTTTGGGAGGCGGAGGCAGGTAGATCACATGAGGCCAGGAGTTTGAGACCAGCTTGACCAACATGGAGAAACCCCATCTCTACTATAAATACAAAAATTAGTTGGGCGTGGCGGTGCACGTCTGTAATCGCAGCTGCTCAGGAGGCTGAGGCACAAGAGTCACTTGAACCTGGGAGGCGGAGTTTGCAGTGAGCTGAGATTATACCACTGCACTCCAACCTGGGTGACAGAAGGAAATTGTGTCTCAAAAAACAAAACAAAACAAAACACTCAAAGTATATAAAGTCAATTGCCCAATGAAGAAATAAATTGGCCCTGGCGTAGTGGTTCATGCCTGTAATCTTAGTACTTTGGGAAGCTGAGGTGAGAGGATTACTTGAGTCCAGGAGTTCAAGACAAAGCTGGGCAACAGAGTGAGACCCCATCTCTACAGAAAATAAAACATTGGCCGGATGTGTGGCACATGCCTGTAGTACTAGCTACTTGGGAGACTGAGGTGGTAGAACTGTTTGAGCCCAGGAGACTGAGATTACAGTAAGTGTTGATTGAACAGTGCACTTCACCTTGGGTGACAAAAAGAAAGAGATAAATTATACTACTGTGATACAGTACATTTAACATGCTGTGAACTAGGACTATATACAAAGTGATTTAAAGAAATTGTCATTTGATTTTCCTGTTCTGCAACAGCTCAGGAGTAGGTAGTCCGTACCCGGGAGTATAGCTTTGCTTTCTTCCTTGTGTGGCTTCTTTTAAGGTATGAAAGTTGTAACTAAAGCTTTTTCCTTTATGTCTGCATCATATGGACAGATCTTTGTCATATAACCACACACAGTTATGAGTGGTGACGAAATCTAGCTATTGACTGAGCAGTTGTATGTCTAGGTTAAAACCAGGAGCTCTATTCAAGGAAGCAAGATCAGAATAAAAATTGCTAGACAATCCACATTCTCTGGCCCTAACACAGTCTTTTCTCTGGCCACCCAAATGTTCAACTCTCTCCCCAAAAAGGAAATGCACTTATTTTCTCATCGAGGTAGAAAATCCAGAGTCTCAGACATTTGTTATACTTAGCACAATCTCAGGAAATTTTTAATGATTTAACATTATTTTTCCTACAATTCTGGAACCACTTTCTTGTTATTTGGGAAATCATGTTGTCTGTACTTTCCCACACTCACAGTCAAAATACCATGATCAATTAGGAGGATTAAAAAGAATAAAAACATCTAGTTGGACAAAGAAATAATTAGTAATCCTGGAGTTACCTATTCATAGACTTTATTTGATTCTCTTAGGCAGGAATTGAGATTTGCTCCCCAAGAAATACAGCAAGATCTGCTTATAATATGGTTTTCATCTCTGCTCATTCTGGCCTTTTACTTATTACCCTCTGGGTATTGGGAAGTTTGCCCCATTTTTCCATCCACTTCCTGATGGTGCAGGGGAACTGGAGATTGCATTACATGACAAATGGTTCCAGGTTTTTGCAATCTAGATCTTTGAGTCTGTCAAAATAAGATATCTTCAAAAATCAGGAATGGTAGAACAGCCTTATTCTCATCAATCTGTAGAATTCATGTCTGGATTCAGTGAGGTGGTTCCAGTTTCAGCCACTGTGCCTCCATTCATGTCAGCAGGAAACAGGAAGAGAAGAAAGAAGCATCCACTTATTTTAAGTGTTTAATTCAGAAATTGTCCTATGAAGGTAATTCTTCTTACATTCAATCAGTCAGGTCTTCAAATCTGACCATAATGAGATGAAAACAAAAATTAAAAACATAGCCACAGATTGCCAGCCATTTGTCCAGATATATACAAGTTATTTTTTTAAAGACTAAGAGAGGAAATATAGCCTTAAGCATTAAAAGAATAAATTTAAGTATATTGAAAACACAAATGTTCTCTTATACCTGAGAAAATCTTTCATATATTTGTCTATGGTATGTCCTTTATACATATGCCTAGAGATAGATATAAAATTACACACACATATACACTTGCATACACACACAAATATATTACACTCCTAATAGACATAAATTAATTTTCCTGGCCCTCATAAATATCCCATATTTCCATGATTTCCAGAAATTACCAGGTTGAATGACCTCCTAAATATCCCTACTTGTGTCATCTAGAATATCTCCTGATGGATAAACATTCTTTTGTCTTCCTTTTCTACAAATCCTGTGAGTACTCGGATGTAGATGGAAACATGTTTGCCTGACACACATCTCTGAATCACTGAGTAGTCTAGTAGCATCAGTCGTGACTGAAGTTGACTCTACCATACACTATCTGGATAATATGTATTAAGTAACACCAGCTCAGCATATTTTGGAGGTAGGCTTTGTAAGTCAGGGTATGTCTTAAAGGACAGGATTATAATAAAACTCTGAGGATGTAGGTAAAATTATTCTAATGATAGTTTGGTTTATTTACAGATTTCTGCATTACTTTTCCCTGAAACCAGCTTCAGAAGGTTCTTATCAAGACTTGAATCAAACTTCATTTTACCAAAACCTCAAGCAGAGAGACTCATCCTCTTAAACTACAATCTCTAAGACAGATGCACAGACATAAGAATACACCTCTGTCACGTAGTTACATAGCGATGGCAACTGGAAAAAAATAAAATAAAAAATACGAAATCAAAAGCTTGTTCAGATCCTTTTCTGGTGGCTGCTTTTATCCTAATCAGCATAGTCTAGATTAAGCCATAGTAAAATCTAAGTCCTGAAACATCAATGCTTCTCAGAACATAGTTATATTAGTCACAAATTCCATATAACCCAGTTAAGTCATCAAGTGGCTCTATTTCATATAATCACACTGAGACTCAAACCAACTGGATTCCACCATCTCTGACACCACTATTTTGAATAGCATAATCCAGGTTTAATGCAGTGGAAGAGAGAGTGGGATACTGGCACATTTTCAGCTAAGTGCTTTGACCTGGAGGCCACATATATCACTTCTGATCACAACTGAGTCACCAGAATTAACCACCTGGCCCGACTTAACCACATGGAGACTGGGATACATAGCAGAAAAGGTGAAGTATATGAGGAGCAATATTATCTCTGTCACAGGCATCCTTTCCAGGAGCCGATTCCAACAGGAAAATTCCATGGAAATAATTTTCTTCTAATTTTTACTAGGCCAATTTACTGATATTTCTTAGAATGTTCATATGTACTTATGTGACATTGTATTCCCTCTCTAAGTTTCTGAAAGTATTCTTTTGATTAACAATATCTTTGATGTAAAGTTCCTTAAACTAATTTTGAAAATAGCTTAAATTTCCTCTTGGCTCTACTACTTTATACCATATGATTTGAGACATTTGCATATTAGATTTTTCATCTAGGGGATAGAACATATTGTGCCTCTCGTTTCAAACTATTATAAAAATCAAGAAAAACTAAAAATGAAAAAATAATTATATTAAGTGCTATGGACATAGTTAAACAAGAATAATCTTAATATAAATTTTGTATTAATATTAACATTATATATGCTGCACTTGCTGCACTTCACTGAATGCCATTTTGTTTTTATATGACTTTCTATAACTGATGACTATGCCACAATTTAATATCTTCAGCTCTGAGATCCTAATTCAGTCTCCATTGCCATGCTAAGCCCCTCTTTCCACCTTCCCTAATGTTCCAGCTTTCCTATAATCATAACCATCTTCAGGGGAAGAATCCTATTAGCGCCAGCTACATCTAAACCCAAAACCAAGGTCATACATCTATTAATCCATGAACCTTTAAAGAACCGCCTAAGAGAGTATGGCAGTAAAATCTCAGTGAATCCTAGCAATCCCACTTAGTTGGTGTCTTTTGTTTGTTTTACCAAGAAAGGAAGTTGTTTTGCTGTGTGGGAGGGCAATTAGCCTGATCACTTTTATCCAACCTTAGGCTTGCTGCTTTCATTCATCCTACTTAGTAGAAATGTATTAGTGATGTAAACAGTGTGCCACTCTATCATGAGACAATAATCTATTCCCCTCTTCACATGAGAATCAACTTTCAGTAACTAGTGGAATATTTCATCTCTCATTCTTATCCTTGTTGCTCTTTCTTTTCCCATCAACCTACTATCCATGTTTATAGCAACTACTCTTCCTTCTCTGAGTAGTGCTTGATAATCTAACAAGTCCCTCCCAATCTAAGCATGCTGCCAGGGCAGCTAACTAAAAATGGTCATTTTTAATCAGTTATGGGTTTGGCAGTAATTTGGGGGTTCTTCATACATCTAATCAAAACAGAATTAAATCTTATTTGAGGCCGGGGCTGGTGGCTCACTCCAATAATCCCAGCACTCTGGGAGGCCGAGGCGGGTGGATCACTTGAGGTCAGGAGTTCAAGACCATCCTGGCCAACATGGTGACACCCTGTCTCTACTAAAAATACAAAAATTAGCCAGGAGCAGTGGCTTGTGCCTGTAATCCCTGCTACTCGGGAGTCTAAGGCAGGAGAATCACTTGAACCCAGGAGGCGGAGGTTGCAGTGAGCTGAGATCGCCACTGCACTCCAGCCTGGGCAACACAGCAAGACTCTGTTTAAAAACAAAAAATCTTATTTGAAAATAATCTATGAAGATTTTTGACTGTTACTAAACTTAAAGTTTGCAAGAGGCTGAAAATGTTCCTGTTTTTTAAGCTTGGCCAGCTGGTTAATGTTGTCTTAAAATCCTTATTTATTCAATATTTTTATAATGTTCTAGTGTGATGTACCCACAACTACCTTTCCTTGTCTCAAAATATTTTCTATTTGTCTGTCTGTTTAAACTATCAGTTTTACATATGCTATCATAAAATACTTGACTCTTGTTTTCTCTCTTTTCTTTCTTAATTCCATCAACTCACAGCAATCTACCTTCTTTGATTAGGAAAATCTACCAATTAACTCTACTCTATGATCAGTATTTTCTGTCCTGCTCTTATTTGTGTTCTCTGATGTTTGTAACTATATATTTTAACTCATTTGATTTTGAAATTTTATTTTGACTTACAAGTTACTGTCTTAGCCTTCATCAATTAAGAATGATAATGTCAACTACAGAAAAATAACGAACATGCCTATGAATTCATTATAATGCCATTATAACTGTAAATATTTAAGTACAGTAACTCTCATAGAAACCCCGATGTCTCTTTCATGAGATTATATCATCTTTGATGCAGGTGCATCTTATATCTATTCCGCATACTTAGAGGTAAATCTTTAATGACCATTGATATTGATTAAGGGATGAAGTAGGAATGTCTTGATACAATTAATATTAACCAAGAAAATGGCTGTTATTGTTAGTGAGCATATCCAAGACCTTTTAAAAAATATAAATACTGATATGCTGTCAAGGACACAAAAAGAATAAAGGCATGATTAGCTCATTCAGGAGAAATACAAACAGTTTAATCGATTAGGAAGCCATTTCCCCATATTCATGGCTTGAAGTAACAGTGTAGAGTCCATGCTCACTGGTAGGAAGTGCTGTCATTTGTCAAGAAATTGGGGCATGAAACATATGGACACAAGAAATTTCACTTCTTTTGGGCCCTAACTCTTAATGCAGTAATGTTTCCTTGGTTCTACCCTTTTGCTGATCCAGACACTTCTGCCCCATTCCCCACCTCATCTAATAATGGACAAGGCTTCCAAATGCAAAACTTAACACTAATATGTTTTCACACAGATGCATAATAAAGGACAGAAACTTGTGTGTCTTATATATTTTGTGTTTTAAAATAAGCCATAAAAGACACAAAAAAGAAAGAAAATATCATAGAACACATTCTAATCATCTGCAGTTTAGGCACTGACTTCGCTACCACTACAGCAGACACTGAATCTAAATGGGAAACAGTAACAAAAATGAGTTCCAGCAGGAAGAGCACAGGCAGCTTAATCACTATATCTCACCAATTAAAATTAAATTATATTGAAACATATCGAATGATTTAGCTAAAGGTGAGTGGACGCCTCAGTACAGATGAAAGCCAAATTTATACAATGGATGATGGCTGCTGTAATCTTCAACTCTCCAAAATTTCCTCTAATCAGCAATCTCCTTGGTTAAATTTATTTCTAAGTATTTTATTCTGTTTTATGCTATTATAAATGGAATTGCTTCCATAATTTTATTTCTGTATTGTTCGTTGCCAGTGTTTAGATCTGTATTGTTCATTGCTAGTGTGATTATTGCCTCTTAATTTTGTGTGCTACAACTTTCTTGAATTTGTAATATGACGGGCCTTCAAAAACTTCATAGAAAATGCATATTATGAAAAAATATGCATGGAATTCTATTTTGAGGGCACTGAAATGAATTCATTCTAACTTGTTATAACAGGTCTGAACAGCATGTAGTTTGAGGCACTAAGAAAGATAAGACATCAGTTTGAATGCAGCCTCTATCAGAGCAATGTAAACCCTGCTAAAATTAAAGCAAGAGCCCCTTGCTTGGGTGGAAGAATGGTGAAATTGTTGATGATTTACAAGAACGTTATGTGGATAATGTCCAAAGAAATCAGAGATTTACAAATGAATAACTCATTTTAAGAAAGGACAAGATGACGTTGAAGATGAAGCCCGGCAGCAGCAGACCATCCATATCAATTTGAAAGGAAAAACTTCACCTTGTTTGTGCCCTATTTGAAGAGGGCCAATGACTAACAGCACAAATAATAGTCAACACCATAGACACCTTAATTGGTTCAGCTTAAATAATTCTGCCTGGAAAATTAAAACTGAGCAAAGTTTCTACTTAATGGATGCTCTTGTCAACTATGGACAAGAG
This sequence comes from Homo sapiens, assembly GCF_000001405.40. NCBI lineage: Eukaryota > Metazoa > Chordata > Mammalia > Primates > Hominidae > Homo > Homo sapiens. Next base: position 60,139,894 of record NC_000011.10, on the reverse strand, counting down.
CAAAGATTTCAATGGAAATTTGAAACAAGTGGGATCAACATCCTGAAACATTTTTTTCCTGATTTAGCACCTTCTGACTTTTTTTTTTTTGTTTCCTAATCTTAAAAAATCTGTAAACACTCATTTTTCTTTCAGTTAATAGTGTAAAACAGATTGCAGTGACATAGTTAAATTTCCAGGACCTTCAGTTTCTTAAGGATGGGCTAAATAGTCTGTATCATAACTTACAAAGTGTCTTGAGCTTGATGGACCTTATGTTAAAATTAAGTTTACATTTTATTTTCAACTTTTAATTCCATTTTCCACAAACTTGTTGAAGTACCTTCCAGAGTTTTTTGTATTCTTTAGAAGCTTCTCTATATAAAATCATGTCATCTGGAGGAAGACTTCTTTCTCTCCATTCTGGATTCCTTTTATTTATTTTCCATGCTTATTTGCTCTGGCTGGAGATCCCAGTAAAATGTAGAATAAAAGTGGTGAAATTGGGTATCCTTCCTGTATTTCTAATTTAAGAAAGAATGCATTTAGTCTTTCATTATTGACTATAATGTTAGCTGTGGGTTTTTCATAAATGCTCTCCATCACATTGAGGAAATTTCCAACCATTCTTAATTTGTTGGCTTTCTATAACAAAAAGTATTAGATTTTTTAATGCTTTTTCTGCATCAAATAAAATGATAATTTTGTTCTTTCATTCTATTAATGTGGCATATTTCATTGAGTTATTCTCTTATGTTTTGTCACCCTTGCATTCCTGAGATAAATTCCTCTTGGTAATAAGATTTAAATATTAATAGGCTTCTGAATTTAGATTAATATTTTGTTGAGAATTTTTGCATCTATATTCATAAGGGATATGGTCTCCAATTTCATGTGCTTGTGGAGTCATTAACCTGGCTTTGGCATCAGAGTAATGATGGCCTTATAGATTTAGTTAGGAAGTGTTCTCTCCTCTTCAACTTTTGGAAGAGTTTGAGAAGGATTGGTATTTAATATTTTCTGAATGTTTGGTAGAAGTCATCAGTGAAGCCATCTGGTCCTGGACTTTTCTTTGTAGGGAGGTTTTTGGTTATTGATTCAGCCAATAGGCGTATTATAGATCTGTTCATATGTTCTCTTTTCACTTGCATCAATATTGACAGTTTATGTTTTTTCTAGGAATTTGTAGGGTAATTAGCATATCCATCACCTCACACCTTTATCATTCCTTTGTGTTGGGAATATTCAAAAATCTCTTCTTTTATGTATTTAAAAATATACAATAAATTATTGTTAGCCACAGTTATCCTACATTGCTACAGAGCATTAGAACTTACTCTTCCCATCCAGCTATAACGTTGTCTCCACTAAACAACCTCTCTCTATACTCCCTCTCCCCTGCCCTTTTCAGCCTGTGGTAAACTCTATTATATTCTATACTTCTATGAGATCCACTTTTTTTAGCTTCCACATATGAGTGAAAACATGTATTATTTATCTTTCTGTGCCTGGCTTATTTCACTTAACAAACTGTCCTCCAGTTTCATCCATGTTGCTGCAAATGACATGATTTTATTCTGTTTTTATGGCTGAAATCCTATATATAAATGTGATATATATATCACATTTTCTGTATGCATCATCTGTTGATGGACAGTTAGGTTGATTCCATAGTTGCCTATTGTGAATAATACTGCAATAAACATGAGAGAGTAAAAGATACCCCTTTGACTACTGATTTCTCTTCTTTTACATATATACCCAGTAGCAGGATTACTAAATCATATGTTACTTTTATTTTTAGCTTTTTGAGAAACTTCCATACTGTTTTCCATAATGGTTGTACTAATTTACATTCCCACTAATCGTCTACAAGTATTTCATTTTCTCTGCCTATTCACCAGCATTTGTTATTTTTCATTTTTTTCATAACATTCATACTAACTGGGGTGAGATGATATCTCATTGTGGTTTTGATTTTCAGTCCCCTGTTGATGAGTGAGGTTGAGTATTTTTTTATACACTTGGCCATTTGTATGTCTTCTTTTGAGAAATGTCTATTTAGATCAATTGTCCATCTTTAATTGGATTATTTGTGGTTTTGCTATTGAGTTCCTTTTATATTCTGAATATTAATTTCACGTCAGATGAACACATTTCAAGTATTTTTTTCATTTTCTTACTTTTATTTATTATATTTCATTTTTTTACCCTGTTGATTGTGCAGAGGCTTATTATTTTGACGTAATCTTGTCTATTTTTGCTTCTGTTGCCTGTGTTCTTGAGGACTTATCCATATATCTTTGCCCAGGTCAATGTCCTTAAGCATTTCCCCTATGTTTTCTTCAAGTATTTTTATGGTTTGGGATCTTATATTAAAGTCATTAATCTATATTCAGTTTGTTTTTTGTACATGGTTAAAGAAACAGGTCTAGTTTTATGCTTCTGCATACGATATTCAGTTTTACCAGCATCAATTACTAATTCAGCCATTATTTTGTGAAATAGATTTTTATGCCTTTTACCATCTCTTCTTTTGAAGCAGTCATAAGGTAAATATTTGTTTGTTTCATGGTGTCCCATAGGGACCATAAGCTTTCTTCATTTTTTTTCTTTTTTGTTGTCTGACTAGATTATTTCAGAAGATCTGTTTTCAAGTTTAGAAAGCCTGTCTTCTCCTTGATCTAGTCTATCACAGCTTTTGACTGTATTTTTTATTATAGTCATTGAATTCTTCAGCTTCAAGATACTATTTGGTTATTTTTAATGATGTATAACTATTGAATTTTGCATGCAGTTCATGAATTGTTTTCTGAGTTTGTTGAATTGTCATTCTGTTTATCTTGTATCTCCCTAAGTACCCTTAAGATTATTATTTTGAATTTCTTTTCAGGCCTTTCATAGATTTCCTTTTCTTTAGGGTTTGTTACAAAGGAATTATTATGTTCTTTTGGCAGTATGTTTCTTCGCTTTTCCTTGTTTCTAGTTTCTCTGTATTGATATCTGCACATCTGGTGGAATGGTTGCCTCTTTCAATATACTAGAGTAGCTTTTATAGGAAAAGTTCTTTTTCTGTAGCTGTGACCTATATTAACAGTCAAGTACAGTGGTGTGGCTTGTGTTCTAGTGAGTGCAGTACTGTAGTCTCCATGTGATTTCTTTAGCTGTAATCAATGTCAGCAGTGTCTGTGAGTGCCTCAGTTGCCTAGACTGTGGGTATTTCTGGAAATGGGGTGTGGTTTTGGTTGAGGAAGAGGCCACTGGGTTGGCCAGTACTAGTTCCTGGGGGGTTGCATGCCAAGTGTAGGGGCTCCACCAGATGCAAGGATGGGGTCACTGACAGAAGTAGTTGCTTGGTGGGCTGGCTCTCAGCCTCCAGGGAAAATGTGCATAGCACTCAGCATCTCCACTGGTCAAGGATACAGGGAGGTATATGCCTGCCAGCCAGTCTTAAGTCTTTAGAATGGGGCATGCATAGTGCTCAGCAGCTCCACTAATCAGAGGGTCAATGATGATGGTGAGAACTGGAGGGCCTGTTCACGGGCCCTGGAGAGCATATCGTTGGCTTCCCCAGTCATGGGGAAAGCACGCCACTGTGCTGGACTGCCTGTTCCATAGGATATAAGGCATTATGTGGGTTCAAGTGCCAGAGTCATAGCTATACTACTAGTTCCAGCTAGGATCATGGCATAGCAACTCTTTGTGTATATGTAGTGGGGTAATGGAAAGGCCCCAGGAATATGGAGGTGCAAGGGATATTTGGCCCCAAGACAGGACACACTCCAGCAATAACTATATTCTCAAAATCGTACTGTGCCACAGCAGCTTGGGTCTCAGGGAGTTGAAGGACACAATGTGAGTTTTCTGTCTGTAGCAATACAGCTGCATGATATTCAGGAAACTTCCTATATTAGGTTCAGGGCCTGTGAGGGCTGCAGGGCTCTCCTGAAGCTATGATTGCAAGCATCTGCTGTGGTAATAGGAACTACTGGGGATCTCCAGCTTACTTTTTTTCACAATGGAGTATTCCTACTGGCTTCAGACCAATCCTGGCAAGATGCTTTACTTCCCACTCTATGCTGCCATCCCAAGTGTGTATTCTTCAGAGGCTTTTTTATCCCTTCCTTGCTGAATTCCAGTGTTGGCCCTTAGTCACTCTACCTATAAAACAATTATTTATATGTTGTTTTGTTCCTTCCTTGCAGAAGAAACACATATTGGACACCTCTAGTCAACCATCTTGATAATGCCTCCTCTTATAATCCTTTTTATTTCTGTAAGATAGGTAGATATGTCTCATTTTCTTTTCTGATTTTATTATTTTTTTGCATTGTCTATCTCTATCAGTCTAGTTGAAATGTCAATATTGTTGATCTATTGAAGAACCAAGTTTTGGTTTTGTTGATTTTCTCTAATATTTTATTTTCTATTACATACATCTATAGTCTAATTTTTATTATTTCCTTCCTTTTATTAGTTTTGTGATTAATTTGTTCTTTTTCTAGTTTCCAGGATGTCAAGTTAGGTCATTTGAGAAATTTTTTTCTTTTTTTAATATAGGTATTTATGGCTATAAGTTTTCTTTCAGAGAACTGCTCTCACTGAATCAGATACTTTTTTAAAATATGAAAACATTCTATATTTAATTTTCACATTTCAGGTTTTAAAGAATAAATTCATAAGTATTAGTCTAATGCTGGCCTTATGCCCTTTTTATCATTTTATTATTGTTAAGTGTGCAATTTAGTGGCATTAATTACATTCACAATTTTGCATAACCATCACTATATTCAAAACCTTTTTTTCCACCTCAAGCAGAAACCATATCTATTAAATAATATTAATAATAATAATATGTGGGGATTATTACAATTCAAAGTGAGACTTGGGTGGGGACAGAGCCAAACCATATCATTCCATCCCTGACCCCTCCCAAATCTCATGTCCTCACATTTCAAAACCAGTCATGCCTTCCTCACAGTCCCCTAAATTCTTAACTCATTCCATCATTAAGCCAAAAGTCCAAGTCCAAGTCTCATCTGAGATGCGGCAAGTTCCTTCTGCTCTGAGCCTGTAAAATCAAAAGCAAGTTAGTTACTTCTTAGATACAACGGAGGTACAGGCATTGGATAAATACACCCATTCTACATGGGAGAAACTGTCCAAAACAAAAGGGCTGCAGGCCTCATGCAAGTCTGAAATCCAACAGCATAGACATTAAACCTTAAAGTTCCAAAATGATCTCCTTTGACTCTATGTCTCACATCTAGGTCATGCTGATGCAAGAAGTGGGCTCCCATGGCCTTGAGAAGCTCTGCCTCTGTGGCTTTGCAGTGTATGGCCACCCTCCTGGCTGCTTTCATGGGCTGGCGTTGAGTGTCTGCAGCTTTTCCAGGCATACAGTGCAAGCTGTCAGTGCATCTACCATTCTGGAGTCTGGAGGATGGTGGCCGTCTTCTCACAGCTCCATTAGGCAGTGCTCCAGTGGGGACTCTGTGTGGGGGCTCATACCCCACATTTCCCTTCCACATTGCCCTAGCAGAGGTTCTCCATGATGGCTCCAGCCCTGCAACACCCCTCTGCCTGGACATCCAGGCATTTCTATACAATCTCAATTCTTGACTTCTGTGCACTTGCAGACCCAACACCATGTGTAAGCCACCAAGGCTTGGTGCTTGTACTCTCTGAAGCAACGACCTGAGCTGCACATTGGCCCATTTTAGCTATGGCTGGGATGCAAGGGACCAAGTCTGGAGAATGCACAAAACAGCAAGGCCCTGGGCCTGGCACAGAGTACCATTTTTTCCTCCTAGGCTCCTGGGCCTGTAATGGGAGGGGCTGCTGTGAAGACCTCTGACATGCCCTGGAGTCATTTTCCCCATTGTCTTGGCAATTAACATTTGGCTCCTCCTTACTTATGCAAATTTCTGCAGCCAGCTTGAATTTCTCCCCAGAAAATTGTTGTTGTTTTTTTATTATTTTCTACTGCATTGTCAGGCTGCAAATTTTCCAAACCTTTATGCTCTGCTTCCCTTTTCAACATAAGTTCCAACTCCAAACCATATCTTTGTGAATGAATAAAACTGAATGCTTTCATTGGTACCCAAGACACCTCTTGAATGCTTTGCTGCTTAGAAATTTATTCTGCCATATGCCTAAATCATCTCTCTTAAGTTCAAAGTGCCACAAATCTCTAGGGAAGAGGCAAAATTCTGCCAGTCTTTTTGCTAAAGCATAACAAGTCACCTTTTCTCCAGTTCCCAACAAGTTCCTCATCTCCATCTGAGACCACCTCAACCTGGACTTCATTGTCCATATCACTATCAGCATTTTGGTCAAAATCATTCAACAAGTCTCTAGAAAGTTCCAAACTTTCCCACATTTTTCTATCTTCTTCTGAGCCCTCCAAACTGTTCCAGCCTCTGCCTGTTACTCAGTTCCAAAGTCAATTCCACATTCTGGGTTATCTTTACAGCAGCACCCCACTACCCGGTGCCAATTTACTGTATTAGTCTTTTCTCAGCTACTAATAAAGACATACTCAAGACTGGGTAATCTATAAGGGAAAGAGGTTTAAAGCACTCACAGTTCCACATGTCTGGGGAGGCCTCACAATCTGGGCAGAAGATGAAGGAAGAACAAAGGGACATCTTATATGATGGCAAGCAAGAGAGAGCTTGTGTAGGGGAATTCCCATTTATAGAACCATCAGATCTCATGAGACTTATTCACTACCATGAGAACAGTATGGGGGAAAACTGCCCCCATGATTCAGTTATCTCCACCTGTCCCCGCCCTTAACACATGGGGATTACTATAATTCAAGGTGAGATTTGGGTGGGGACACAGCCAAACCATATCAAGCACTATTTGAAATGTTTACCTGAAGAAGTCTTAATTATGTGTTTTCTTGAGAAGCCCTCTTCTAAATCTTTCTTTTTGCTCCCACTGTATCTTGCTTATTCTTCTGGGCCTAACCATGGCCTATTTGTCTTTTTCTTATCTCTGTTGAACTAACAGACAACTCTGATGCCTGGATGGAAGGATCATGTATATACAGGAGTGAACTAATATTGATAAATGATTTAGAAAACCTCAAACTTTCAATTGTTGCCTGAAGATACTGTTATAAATCTGAGAGGTGTTATTAGATACAGACTTTTACTTATTTTTTAATATCCTTTTCTGACAAGACTTGAGTGCAGGAGTAGAAGTGAAAATACTGAGTGATTATGTGTGAGAGAAAACTAGTCTTTGTTAACCTGAAATAAGCAAAAGGATCGCAATCCAGTTTTTAAAATTTGTTCAAGCAAAAAGTTGAGGATGGTCATTCAGAAGACAACAGACTTCAGATAAATGGGGTCAGTGTTCTGAAGTGAAAAGTTAACATCTCGCTTATATAGGCAGAAAACAAACAAGTTTAGTATAATTTTTCTATACAAGGCTGGTTTATGAGTTACAAAAATTTAATTATTACGGTTTGCTTTCTTTTTCATAGGGCTTGTTTTCTTTAATTTACAGCTGGTTTTTATATCCTTTCCAATTTAAAACAGCATATTTAATATTCCATCTTAAAACAGTGTGATAGCCATATCTTTGTGTAAGAAATGTAAGAAAAAAACTAAACTATAATGAAGATCAACAGTGAAGGGGGAAAGAGGTTTTCCTGGTGCCCTTTAGTCATTTTCAACATTTTACGAAGCAGTGAAGGTAAGGAACGAGGCTAATCTATAATCAGAGTAACAAAGTTTATAGCTGCCTAGGTTACAGCTGTCTGTCACATGACTCAGACTCCATAATCACATTCCTTTAAGGCTCAAAACAATTTAGAGTTTCAACAGCTTGGATTTTGAATTAATACTTATTTTAACATCTTCATTACCAATCAGTCATCAGCCCTCTTCCTCCTCAAAAGTTATATCTGCAGTAGTACCTTGTTTTCTAAAGCACTGCAATTCAAAGTAAAGTTGTTTTGTCTCCCGAGGCCCACAAAGAACACCAGGTATCCCTGATACTACAACAGGTTGAAGTAAGTCCAGCAACTCAGAACTCCAGTATCATGAGAATCAGCATTGTACCGTTCATGACCTGTGAACAAGTATGTTTTATGAGAGAGTGAAGATTTGGAAAGTATGTATCTCCTCCATAAGAGTATATGGATGGCTGGATGTGGTGGCTCATGCTTGTAATCCCAGCACTTTGGGAGGCTGAGGCGGGTGGATCACGATGTCAGGAGATCAAGACCATCCTGGCTAGCACGGTGAAACTCCGTCTCTACTAAAAATACAAAAAAAAAAATTAGCCTGGCATGGTGGCAGGCACCTGTAGTCCCAGCTACTCGGGAGGCTGAGGCAGGAGAATGGCATGAACCCGGGAGGCGGAGGTTGCAGTGAGCCAAGATCGTGCCAGGGCACTCCAGCCTGGGCAACTGAGCAAGACTCCGTCTCAAAAAAAAAAAAAAAAGAGTATATGGGTAAAGAATTGTTTAGAAAGAGAAAACAGCACTTCTTGGGTTGAGACCCAAAAATGGTTTCTCTTCTTGATTAGCTGCTGAGACACTTGGAACATGATATAAATTCTCCATGGCTTACATTTATTTTTGGTCAACCTATATCCCAGGACTACTAGAGTCAAACAGCGTGAACATGTTTGAGGGAAGTGGTAACATGACAATGCTGGTATATTGCATGTTAGACTTTTGAATTTCCATATTATAATTTTATATTTTTAATGATATTACAATAGTAAAAACAAAGACTGTCTCAATCTCTCCAGCAGTTAAAGATAGAATAGCAGCGTCAATGTTAAACAGTTTCATGCCTGTTGGAAATTGAGGATCACTGGGCAACCTCTTGCCCCATATATCTTTCCCAAAACTTTATGTTAAAATTTCTGTTGTCAGCAATCCATTCTTCTCCCATCCCCCAAAACTATCTCTTCTCTTCTTTCCTAAGAAATGTGCTATCTAATATAAACTCTAGAGGTTAAAAATGGAACGAGAATGCAAATTCTTAGTCAAATAGGGTCAAGTAAAATTATGAACATGCACTCAGGTCTAACTTCTCCAGGAAGTTCTAAATGAGCACACAAGGATATTTCCTTTCTTTTCTCCAATACAGTCCTTACAGTGAGAGTCAGTCTCTAACATACCTCATCCTCTGCTTTTTGTATCTATCCCTACATCCTATTGAGACTGATTGACACCAGAGGGCAGCAGTAATGCATTCCTCTTTGCTTTATCTAGGCCTAGAGCATCTAGCCCAAGGCTAGGCATGCAATGAGTGCATGGACTAACTGATATATGGAAGAGGCCACACACATTGACAGAGATCTTAAATTTAGGTCCACTGAGTCCTCCTTATTTGTACTATTTTCAGAGATAATGTAGGAGCCATTTGCCAAACATTCACTGAAAAATCAACTCACAAAAGGCTGGTTAATTGGAAAAAAAAAAACAAAACATACAAATTTATAACCACAGGGGGATTACTCACTGCTCAACATGGTTCAGAAACTTATATACTATTGATACAGGAGCTAGAAAGAAATTATTTAGGCAGATGTAAAGAAGTCCATGGCAAGGCTTCCTTTTTAACAAAAAGCAGCCCCAAATCATTTCTTTTCTAACAAAGAGCAGCCTGAAAAATCAAGCTGCAGACATAGATAAGCAAGCTGGAAGCCTGCACGGGTGAATACCAGCAGCTGTGCCAATAGAAAAGGGCTACCTGGAAGCCAGGTATGTTCAACATGGAGGCTCCATCTTCCCTTTTCTTTGTCACCGTGTGTACAGTAAGGACCAGGCAACATGACGCTGGCCAAGTAGAGAACTTATCTGCAACCTAAAAGATTAGGGTGGGGCAACCAGCTTCTTCACATGCTATGCAAATGGCACACCTGGTCCAGTCAATCTTTCATCCCCTGTGTAAATCAGACACCTCCTCAAGCTTATCTATAAAACCTTCTGCATTTCACTGCTGAAGTGGCAACCCATTTTCTCTGGGACCCCTCTCTGCTCAGAGAGCTCTTCTCTTTCTTTTTTTTTTTTTTAATTAATAATATGTTTTTGTTTTTTTTTTTTACTATACTTTAAGTTCTAGGGTACATGTGCACAACGTGCAGGTTTGTTACATATGTATACATGCGCCAAGTTGGTGTGCTGCACCCACTAACTGGTCATTTACATTAGGTATATTTTCTAATGCTATCCCCCTCCTTTCCCCCCACCTCATGACAGGCCCTGGTGTGTGATGCTCCCCTTCCTGTGTCCAAGTGTTCTCATTGTTCAATTCCCACCTATGAGTGAGAACATGCGGTGTTTGGTTTTTTGTCCTTGCGATTGTTTGCTCAGAATGATGGTTTCCAGCTTCATCCATGTCCCTACAAAGGACATGAATTCATCCTTTTTTATGGCTGCATTGTATTCCATGGCATATATGTGCCACATTTTCTTAATCCAGTCTATCATTGTTGGACATTTGGCTTGGTTCCAGGTCTTTGCTATTGTGAATAGTACTGCAATAAACATATGTGTGCATGTGTCTTTATAGCAGCATGATTTATAATCCTTTGGGTATATACCCAGTAATGGGATTGCTGGGTCAAATGGTATTTCTAGTTCTAGATCCTTGAGGAATCACCACACTATCTTCCACAATGGTTGAACTAGTTTACAGTCCCACCAACAGTGTAAAAGTGTTCCTATTTCTCCACATCCTCTCCAGCACCTGTTGTTTCCTGACTTTTTAATGATCGCCATTCTAATTGGCTTGAGATGGTATCTCATTGTGGTTTTGATTTGCATTTCTCTGATGGCCAGTGATGATGGAGAGCTCTTCTCTTTCTTTCGCCTATTAAATTTCCACATTTTGGCTGGGCACGGTGGCTCATGCCTGTAATCCTAGCACTTTGGGAGGCCGAGGTGGGTGGATCACCAGAGGTCAGGAGTTCAAGACCAGCCTGGCCAACATGGTGAAACCCTGTCTCTACTAAAAATACAAAAAATTAGCCAGACTTGGTGGTGGACACCTATAATCCCACCTACTTGGGAGGCTGAGGCAGGAGAATTGCTTGAACCTGCGAGGCAGAGGTTGCAGTGAGCCAAGATCATGCCATTGCGCTGCAGCCCAGGTGACAGAGTGAGACTCCATCTCAAAAAAAAAAAAAAAAAGAAAAGAAAGAAAGAAAAAGAAAAAAAATTAAATTTCTATGCTTAACCTCACTCTGATGTGTCTGCCTCCTAGCTTTAAATGACGTGGGACAACAAACCTTGGGTGTTACCCCAGACAATGATGCCACTACATTATGCTGGCCAGAAAGGTTATGGGAGGGGAGAGAAGAGGAATTGTATTGAGGATATTACTAGGAAGAATAAAAGGATCCCTGGGAACAGATTAACTTTTAAATAACTCTCTTTGACAGTGAAAGGGTCTATTCAGGCGTTGTTACATTTTTGGTTTTACAGAAAAGCAAAGAAAAAACCAATTGTTCTTCTTGGTGGATCTGGAATTTAGGCAGATAAAGGCACTTCAACTTCTTTGGGAGAGATGATGGAAGCCCGGGGAAGGTCAGAAAGACCTTGAGGTTTCTTCAGTTCAGCAAGTTAAAGTGCCATAATTTGAGTTATTAGCTTCTGAGCTCCAACATTAACCAGACAATCAGATTTAATTCAGTGAGCTGTAAACACCCTAAGAGCCGTTAGAGAGGCAGTTAAGTCTTCATGCTTCTGGAACCATATTGTAAAAAAAAAAACATATTGTAAAAAACAAACCAAACTATCCTTGAAAAATTCCAGCCCCCAAGCTTTCAAGGAGGCTGATCTGAGTAATAAACTCCTGATCTATAGCAAGGTCTTACAGTCTTCGAGGAAGGAAGTCTCAGCAGACAAGTCTTTCAAAATGTTTTATATTTCAATTATATTATATATTTTTCTTATTGGTACCAGTGTGATAACAGCAAAAACAATGTAGACACTCCATTCAGAGGTGCTAGATTTTAAATTGTAGCTCTAATACTTATTAAAGAAATCATCTCTGGATTTTTTTATAGTTTTTAAGAATGAAACTCCCTTTGCAAAGACTATGACAGTGAGAGAAGTCTAGCATGGCTGATTTCTTCTTGCTTTTAGACTCATACATTGGCTGCCCTTGGTCATTTCTGGGTGTAGGCCAAGCTAACCATGGGAGGAATTAGGTTATAGTTTAACGTTGAAGCAAAAATGATAATAGTGCCTCTGTAAAACAAATCTCCTTGCTCAGAGACAAAACTGCCTTTGTAAAACTAATGAAAGATTAGGATTATGGGAGAGGCCTGAATTCTGCTAAAATGTAGGCAAACCTAGATAATAACCAGCCGTTGTTCTGGAGGTCACAAGATTTGCAACTTCTCCAATTTCTCCTATAGATAATATCACTATTGTAGAACCTAACATGGGTCTTTTGAGATGTTTTTCAGACTTTTGCATTCTGATGACGATGACCTACTAACTCCACCTGGACTCATGACTCATGACTCAACTGATCCTGTGGTCCCCACCCAGAGGCTGACTCTGCACACAGGAACTATTTTTCAAACCCCTATGATATCATCCCCAACCAATCAGCATTACCCATCTCCTAGCCCCTTACAAACCAAACTATCCTTGAAAAACTCTAGCCCCCAAGCTTTCAAGGAGGCTGATTTGAGTAATAAACCCCTGTCCTTCCATTTGGCTAGCTCTGTATTTATTAAAATCTTTACTGTAATACTGCTGTCTACGAATCGGCTGTAGCTGTGCAGTGGGCAATTACAAAAATAAAAGCGTTGTTAGTATCAAACCTGCTAACATATATAAGTCATTCAATGGGGTTGCCTCATATTGGGCTCTCAGAAATATTATTTTCTTTTTATGTTTATAAGTATCTATGATGTTACGATAGATATAATTTGTTTTTGTCCATCCGTGACTCCTAGTTTTCAACTAGGAAGATTCCTATAAGACTTCTCATGCCCCAAGTACTAAAGCAGTAAGAATATCTTTTGTTAAAGTATTTGATTATCCTTGGTTCCTGAAGTCACTCCTAAAAGATAAAGTTGAAAGACAGTCTTTTGTTATTTACAACAAGTGCTTTAAAATACTCCTAAGCTAGAGATATACCCAATGTAAATAAACAAGTTAACGGGTGCAGCACACCAACATGGCACATGTATACATATGTAACAAACCTGCATGTTGTGCACATGTACCCCAGAACTTAAAGTATAATAATAAAAAAAATTGTGAAAGAAAAAGAAAAAGTTGATGAATCTAGGTAAAGGCATATGAGAGTTCATTTTACAATTTTTGTAACTTTTCTAAAGGTTTAAACTTTTTTTAATAAAAAGTTTTTTAAAAAGAAAAAATAAATACATAAAATAAAATACTCCTAAGCTTATGTTAATAAGACAATTTTTAGAAAGCCCTAGAAACAACTGGTTGGAGGGCTGATTCCCAGGGGAATGATTCATTGTGCCCAGAGGGTTGGATTTTTTTGTCTCAACCCTCAACTTCCAGGAAGGGGAAGAGGGGCTGAAAATTCAGTTAATCACTAATGACCAATGGTTCAATTAGTCATGCCTATATAATAAAGCCTTCATAAAACCCAAAAGGACAGGTTTTGGAGGGTTTCCAGGTAATACATAGGCTTACAAGAAGATGAACAAGAACTCATTGATGTGCAGGAAGTTTAGCACATTCCATGAGGACAGAAGCTCCTGTGCTTGGGACCCTTCTGGACCTTGCCCTATATACCTCTTCACCTGGTTCTTTGTTTGTATTGCAAAAGAAACTAAACTTTTTATTGTGAAATGCAATCTCCCTTTTAAATTATCAGGCCCAGAGAGACATTGAAATTAGATTACAGTCATGTCCCACCCTCTCCTCCTTGAGCTAAGTAATCATTTCTAAGCCACCTGCTATAAGGACTCTAGACTCAATTAACATAATGATGCCATATGCTGGCAGCATAAGTCGAACCTTATAGCCAATCATGAATCAAGTTATCTCTGTAAACCAACACAAATTTCTGAAAAGAGAACTTTTGTAATCATCTCCCCTAATTCTACCTTTTTTCTTCAAAAACTTGAGCCTTTTCTTTGATCTCAGGAGCACTTCCCAGTGTTTGCTGGGCTTCAGTCCTCAACCTTAGTCAAAATAAACTCTCTACCTATATTAATTTTGTCTTGGTTTCTTTGTTTAGGTCAACAGTATCCTTTATTATTTCCTTTATAATACACTGATAAACATGTTTCCCTGAGATCTGTGAGGTGCTCCAGCAAATTAGTTAAGTCCAAGACTGGGGGCATGGGATCCCTGATTTATAGTGGGTCAGTCAGAAGTACAGGCAAAATAACCCAGGGCTTCTGATTGGCATTGGAAATGGGAAAAAGTCTTGTGAGACTGAGCCCTCAAACCATGGAATCTGATATTATCTCCAGTTTAGATGATGTCTCAACAGAATTGAAGGACAGCCAGCTGGTGTTCACTCCAGAAATGATTGCTTGCCTTTTTGGTGGGGAGAAATCCCCACACGTTTGGTCGCAGAAGTCTATATGTTGTGTCTCTGGTGTGAGAGCAGAGGAAAAACAGTTCGAGTTGTTCTTTCTACTTGGTACTATTTTGGAAGAAGTATGTAAAACAGCAATCTATCTTAAAAATAGTTTCCTGTGATTTCCTGCCGTGTCTGACCCTCAGACCCTGACTGAGCGACGGATGAATGGAGTATGCCAGACACAGGTTTCTTGCCTGGCTGCATGGCTAGGGGACTGGGCTGCTCAAAGACCCTGAGGAGGGTGCCATAAAGAGTCAGCAGCCGCAGCCTCGACAAGCTAGCTTTGGGGGCATTTATTCAGTACAGATTTAATCACAAAGGCCTTGAGTAATTAACACGGTTGGGCCCCCCTCCCCACCCCTGGGGAGAGCAGTCCTGCACGCAGATAATTAAAGGCCAGGTTCCAAGGCCTAAGTAAACTAACTTATCTATATCAATTCCATTGTGCTTCCTTGTTATCTACTCCGAGAGAATTCAGCTGCCTTCAGCTATATCCTTTCCCCAAGCTTTTGCAAAACCTCCTGGCCTTCCAAGAAGATTTGCTTCTTTCTATAATTTTTCCCGCCACCCTGACCGATCTCCTATAATTTCCAACTTAATTTTTCTTGAAATCTAAATTGTTGTCCCAATTAATTTGAATTAAGTTCACTGCCCAGATAATTTTCAAAATGTCACTGCCCAGTATACATACATGACAAAGCAGGTTATGGTGGTAACACAGGTTATGGGAGAAAAGAGGAAAAAGAGGAGGCCTGACTAGCAAAGTTGGTCTTGTTATGTAGATGAAACTTCACAGGTAGTAGCCCTCAGAGAAAACAGGTAGTAAATCTTTTTTTCAGACCTTTAAAGATATCAGCCTATCTATCAGTTAATCTTTTCTGGATTTGCACAAGGGCTGGCCTCAAATAAAACCTGGCTGCATTAATGTAGATTTTCTCTGCAGTTGCAGATCCCCTCCCTCAAAAGACAGCTTTTCAGGGCTACTTCTGTTTGCTGGCTCTCTGAACAGACATCTCAAAATACATCAAAGAAGTATAAATTGGGGTAAAATAGTTTTATTTTCTTCAAAGGCAGGTGAGAAAGCATTTGTAGCTGTAGCCACAAATAGTAAATAGACACTTGGTGCTAGGAAATCTGGATACACTTCCCTAGTAAATAAAATTCTGACTCTCTAGGAGGAATCTTTCATATTTTAATCTTTATTCAATTTTAAGACACTTCTTTCCCCTACCCACATTCTCAACTACTCAATATGTAGTATTTTATGGAAAAAAAGGCAATGGCAACAGTTTTTCTGTAAAATGAGAACTAACTCATTTTTTCCATTATCCTATCTGTCAACCAAACTATATTTATAACCACACATGTGGCCTTTTATTTTATTACAGGGTAATATTTTATTTCATTCTACTTATAAACATTTCTGTTCCCATGTGTTGTACTGAACGCCTGTTGACTCCAATAGGAATGGCACCATGTCCAAGAGGCTGAGGAAGAGACCTGGAGCCTGTGAACAAGACGTAGGGATCATTGGGGACTTACATACGGGGTAGTCCAGGAGCAGTGAGTTGGACAGGAAAACTGCTCCCATGTGTGAAAACCATGCAGGATATATTATATTTTCACTTAGCCACCTCCATCTGCCAACCTCCACCTGCCAATCTCCATTTAACCCAAAACAAAGGGCCTCAATCCCCTGTATTGCCTGATTCCAAGCAATGGGCCTGGAGTTTGGAGGTTCTTCATGGATAAGGAGTGAATCCCCAGGTTGGCCATTCCTAGATTCCTTAGCTCAGAACACCAAACACACATTCTTAGACTATAGGGCCATTCTCAGCATGTGCTTGAATTACTGCTGTCAGGTACGTGTTCCATATACTATGTAAAGCTTTCTCCCTCTATTTGAGACTCCGTTTTTTCTTGCATTATTAACGACTTCACTTTTGAATTTATCACTTTTCTGTCTTACATCTTTTAGTTCTTTCCCTCTCAACTTGATTATTTGCATCAGAATAGAGACATGTCTAAAATTTTAATTTTTTATTTTTACAAATTCTGATCTATTAACTCTCTGAAATGCCCATGTGAAAGGAAAATAAAATCTTGGGACCCCCCCAGATACACCATGCCAAAGAGAGAAGCTAAGCTTGAAAACTCAGTCATGCAAAAACTGCCTTCCATTTTGTTCCTAAATAGCTGCAAGATAGAAAGCCACATATTGCCCCAGGTAGCCTCTTTCACAAATTGTTCACAAAGAAATTCCTTGTGGGCTGGAAAACCTGTACCCTAAAGGGAGTTGTCTTGAATTTCACCCTGACAATGTAAATTAACAGCTTATCTTTGCAATCGTTGGACAAAGATAAAGAAACCATCCCTCCACCCATCCTGAGACAAATACATATTTGACTTCTTCCTCTACTCTATGTCTATTTTTTATGTTATGTAAAATGAAGATTTACTAAGCTCAAGATGAACGCATAATTGACTGTTCCTCTGTCCTCTCCTTTCACATGTAACATGTGGATTCAGTGAGCACTAATCAAAGCCTCACAAGGATATGAACACTTATCTCACTACTTACCCTCCTTCTTTTTTTCTTTCCTCTTCCCCCTCTGCCATTCTTTCCCCCTTAAATATTGAAGTCCTCAAAGCCTTTTTGGAAAAAACACAGGTCACACATCCTGCTGTACCTTGTGTCTTTTTTCCTAGATGGATCCTCAAACATAGTGAAATAAACCTCTGAATTGATTGACACCTGCCTCAGACACACTTTTTGGTTTATATCCATTCTCCCCTTCTTTTCATTTCCTGCTTCAAGGAGGTTCATGTGTTATGCTGCCCCCGCTTTAATCATCAAAATTTTCAGAGTCCATAATCTGGATCCTATTTGCATCTATAACCTGATTGGCCTCCATTATGGAATTAATCACAAAGCTCAGAGCAAGTCAAGAGAATGACTAAGAGCAAGAACGTTGGTCCCATCTGGACCCTACTTGAAGCTCTCTTTGCCCAATTTGTTTCTTCATTTATAAAGTAGAGATAATAAGATTCTGTTTTTTTTTTTTTTCTAGTTGTGAGAATTAAATCAGCAGTCCCAATCTTTTTGGCACCAGGGACCAGTTTTGTGGAATACTATTTTTCTATGGACCAGGGCAGAGGCAATGGTTTCAGGATGACTCTAGTTCATTAAATTTATTGTGTGCTTTTTTCTATTATTATTATTATTATGTTGTAATATATAATGAAATAATTGTACAACTCACCGTAATGTAGAATCAGTGGGAGCCATGTTTGTTTTCCTGCAACTAGGTGGTCCCATCTGAGGGTGATAGGAGAGAGTGACACCCAAAGCATGCTGCTTATGTCCAATCTACTCTGTAATATCATTTTGGTTGCTGTCACTGCAGAAAACCCTGCTTCATAAAGATAGGATGTTTGAAATGGAAGCAGGCTTTTCAGTGCTTTTGTGGCAATCTCAGGAGATTCTGCCTTGACTTTAATTCAGAATGTACAGAGATTTGAAGTTGTCTCAGACATAATTTTAAGGCCATCAACTCACTTTTAAGTAGATCAACTTTTAAGTACATCACTTTTAAGTATATTAATTTACTTGGCACTATAAAGCCTGCCAACAGATGCAGCTTAATTGTCACTTGCCACTCACTGATAGGGTTTCCATAGGAGGCTGCAAGCAATTGATTTATTATGGTCTGTGTGCAGTCAAACCTCTCTGCTAATGTTAATCTGTACTGGCAGCCACTCTTCAGCACTAGCATCACTGCCTCAGCTCCACCTCAGATAGTTAGACATTAGATTCTCATAATGAGCACGGAACTTAGATCCCTCACATGCGCAGTTCACAGTAGGGTTTGCACTCCTATGAGGATCTAATACAGCTGCTGATCTGGCAGGAGGTGGAGCTCAGGCAGTGATGTGAGCAATGGGAGTGGCTGTAAATACAGATCAAGCTTCCCTGGTTGCCTGCTGCTTACCTCCTGCTGTGTGGCCCAGTTCCTAGCAGGCCACCAGTCCATGGCCTGGGGGTTGGGATCCCCTGGATTAAATGACCCAATTATATAAACATAGATTTTTGTCTTTTTCCTTCTTTGGTTGATCATGCTATGTAAGTGGCTGAATTGTAAATGGGCTTATGCTTTTTTCCACCACCTTCAGTGAACTATTTTTAAAAATGAAATAAAATCCACTTATGAGAGGAAGAAGAAGAAATCTGCTATTTTTATTTAATTGACTTATACTTGCTTCCCCACCTTCCCCAAAATGCTTAGGTACCAGGCAACCCCCTGGAATTTGTAGCCTGGCAATCTCAGTCATCTCTTTCTTTCACCTCGCTCATCTAACCATTTTCTCATTATCACTGAATTCTGTAAGACGATCACAAACCAAACAATGGGTAACTGCTGGCTTACACATGTAAAAGCTCACAAGTAGGACAGATCTTAAGAATAGTTTGCTGCAGAAATTCAAGGTATGACAAGTGCTCCACATCCAATTCCCTACACTTCTGAATTCTGCTCTTCTCTGAGTGGTGGCTTCATCCTCAGGCTGAATGCCTTTTTAAAATCACCAAAGATTTCAGAGGTCTAGCCCTCAGATGTGTGTTCCACATAATAGAGGAAAAGAAAACCTCTTGTCCAAGCATTTCAAACTCTGGTCCATGTTTGCCTGAATCAATCAATATGGTCAGTGGGACAGACTTAATTGATTATCTCAGCAATTCTCAAATGGTTCGATCTTAAAAGTTTTCACTCTTAAAAATTATTGAAGGTCCCCAAAAGCTTTTGGTTTTGTAAGTTGTATCTAACAGTTATCTACTGTATTAGAACTTAATAATGAGACATTATAAAATGTTTATTAAAGATAGTAATAAACCAATTACATGTTAAATAACATTTAATAACATATAATAAGTTTTCTAGAAAACATCTAGATTCTTATTGTGATTCATTGTTTAATCTGTTGTAATACAATAGTTAAGGTAGCTTCTAAAATATTTGACAATTCACTTGTGAGACAAGAAGAGTAAAAAGGGTAAGTAATGTTTTAGCATTATTGTGAAAATAGTTTTGATATCATGGACCATGAAAAGGTCTTGGGGACCCTCAGGGTTCTCTGAACTAAATTTTGCTGTATTCACTTATCCTTAGAGACATGCTATCCATTGAACTTGGAGATGACAGAATCATCCTGAAAAGTTCATTTTGTACTTTCTCATAGGAAAAGGAGGCTATTTTGAAAGAGGGACTCAAATCTGGTAAATAATTAAGTGTAAAAAAGAAAAAGAAATCAGAGTAGGTTCCCATTCAGCTGTATGATTCAGTGGTGTATAAAATGTCTTTTTTTTTTTAATGCTATTTTTGTCATCCTAACTACCCTATAACTGTGGTTTATCAAGTGTGGCAAATATACCACACAATTGCAAGATGCTAATAAAAGAGGAAACTGTCGAGGGCAGAGGAGTATTGGGGAACTCTCTGTTCTCTGCTTAGTTTTTCTATAAATCTAAAACTGCTCTAAAAATAAATTATAAAGATACTTTGAAGGCTGAGGCGAGAGGATGGATTGAGCCCAGGAGTTTAAGCTACAGGAAGCCATGCTTGCACCACTGCAATGAAGTCTGGGCAACAGAGTAAGACCTTGTCTCTAAAAATAAATAAATAAATAATGAATAAATAAATATTAATTTAAATATAGAATATATTAATTGGAAAGAAATACTAATTAGCAGAAGACATGATCCAATACTTCAATGCCAATACAAAATTGTCTCTATATACTAATAATAATCTTAATATTAAATATTATACAATTTACAGAGGCATCAAAAATATAAAATAGGTATAAATCTAATGACAGATGTATATGACGGTTAATATTGAGTGTCAACTTGATTGGATTGAAGGATGCAAAGTATTTTTCCTGGGTGTGTCTGTGAGGGGGTTGCCAAAAGAGATTAACAATTTAGTCAGTGGACTGGGAGAGGCAGACTCACCCTCAATCTGGGTGGGCACCATCTAATCAGCTGCCAGTTCAGCTAGAATAAAGCAGGTGGAGGAACGTGGAAAGACTAGACTGGCTAAGTCTTCTGGCCTCCATCTTACTCTTTTGTTGGATACTTCCTGCCCTCGAACATCAGACTCCAAGTTCTTCAGTTTTTGGATTCTTAGACTTAACACTAGTGATTTGCCAGGGGCTCGCAGGCCTTCGGCCAAAGACTGAAATCGCATTATCAGCTTCCCTACTTCTGAGATTTTGGGACCCGGACTGGCTTCCTGGCTCCTCAGCTTGCAGGCTGCCCTTGTGATCATGTAAGTCAATTCTCCTAATAAATTTTCCTTCATGTATATACATTTATCCTATTAGTTCTGTCCCTCTAGAGAACCCTGACTAGTACAATGTAAAAATCTCAACACAGCTTCTGAGATCGTCTCTCTATCCTTCAAATGAAGGGACCAGACTGGTTTTATGGTGTGTGCAATTCTTGTTCCTTCAGCTTAGGATTCTCCCTCAGACTTTCATTTATGGCTCTATGGCTTTCAAAATGCAGATTTCAGCTCACACATCGCTTCCTCAGGTTCTCTGTCTACTGTATAATAATAATTTTGAGCTTTAACTACATTATCATCATTATCATCAACATTATCATCACTTTGCCATCATTATATCTGAGTTTCATACATATATTGTGACAGCAGTTTTTCCCACAACGATGTGAGACAGATACTGTTACTATCTCCATTTGCAGGTGAGGGAACACAAGCAAAGTAAGATTCAGCAAAAGGCCCAGAGTCACACAGTTACCAGGCTCTTACCCCATCTACTGGTTACTCTCTATCCTATTACTTAAATAGATTTTCTTCACAGTATTATTCACTTCCTAAAATTATATTTATGATATATGTATAACTGTATCTATGCTTTGTGTATACATGTATGAATGCATTTAGTTTTAAACGTGCTTATTTTCTGATTTGCCTACTTTAAGGGCAGGGAACTTCTTGTTCAAGTTTGTGTCTTCCAGAGTGAAAATGAGCCCTAGGAAGGAGCCCTTCATAAATAATTTGTGAATTGATGAATGAAATCAATAGTAATCTCCTCATTGCTTCTGGGCTATATCTTTGTGGATTTTATTTTAAAAGAGAGATGTGATTATTACCTTTGTCAGGTAATTAGAATAGCAATAAGTGTGTGTGTGTGTGTGTGTGTGTCTGTGTGTGTGTATGTGTGTGTCTCTATCTTCCCCTCCCTACTACCCATCCAAGCCTCTAATAACCAAAACGCTACTCTCTTCTTCTAGGAACTCAATGTTTTTTTGGGTACATTCTCATCCCTAGGCACTCTTCTAAATAGTTTACATTTATTAACTCAGTGACTTCTCACAGGGACTTTATGAGATAGGTTCTATTATACACATTTTACAGAAGAAATTACAGGCAGATGGAACACAGGAGAGAAAGTTGTTTATCTGGCTCATTCCTTGTAATTCTACTTTAACATGGAGTAACTCATTCTATTTGCAACTTAGTGTATTAAATGTTTATCCAACTTTTAGCAGTGTAGTAGTCCCAAGTAGACAGGGTCTCTCTAATTTGAATATTTAATCTTGGCTTTTAAATCACTAAGCTTGCTTTGAAAAGCTTTTTTATTGTTCTAAGTGCTTCCCCAAATGCCATAAATAACTAAGCTGTTCTGGAATCCTGTCATCTTTCATTTGGGTTTTATAAATCTTCTGAATAATAGGCATATGTGTTAAGTTCTAAGACTCAATAAACACTGTTTAGAATTATTCCTTTTTTATTGTGTAACAATATTGTCTGCTGGAGAAAATCTCACAATCCACTTTTTCTTCCTTTTATTTTTAGTTGACACATAATCATGCATATTTATGGGGAACAGAGTGAGATTTTCATACCTGTGTATATTGTATAGTAATCAAATAAAGGCAATAAGCATATCCATCAGCTCAAACATTTATCATTTCTTTGTATTGGGAACATTCAAAATTCTTTTTTCAAACATATAAAATAAATTATTCTTAACTATATTCACCCTACAGTGCTAAAGA
Source organism: Homo sapiens (assembly GCF_000001405.40). Classification (NCBI taxonomy): domain Eukaryota; kingdom Metazoa; phylum Chordata; class Mammalia; order Primates; family Hominidae; genus Homo; species Homo sapiens. The sequence goes on along the minus strand of NC_000011.10, from coordinate 60,117,268 downwards.
ACACTAGAACATATTCTTCCTATCTAGCTGCAATTTTGTATTCATTAACCAATCTCTCCCTAACCTCCCCTCCCTGCTACTCATCCAAGCCTCTAATAACCACAATTCTACTCTCTCATTCTAGGAACTCAATGTTTCTTTAGATCCCACATGTGAGTAAGAACATGCTCAACATCCTCTTGGATGCCACAGATTTTACCTCTCAGGGTCTGTGTTTTCAAAATTTGGTTTTTCATACTGATTTTTTAAATCATTCAGGAGTCATTTTTTTGTGAGTGACATATTTCCAACTTGAACCAGTTTTACAACAAATAGGACTTGTTAGCTCCCATTTTTGGTAAGACTCCTGAAATAAGCCTAGGTGATAACAGGATGAAAAACATTTAGAACAGCCAACAAGAATCTCTTGCCATTTCTTGTCTTTCTGACCCACTTCACTGTGACCTACTTTTCTCTCACCATAGGAGAGCTTTGTTGATAAGGCAAGAACAGCAAGTTTCAGGGTTTTATCAAAGACATTCTAACACAGCATCTACAGAATAGTACAGTAGTTCATTTTCACATTAATCTCCTGTCACAAACAATGATAGAACAAGAATGCAATTGGCAACTTACAGAAACATTATTCTTCAATATGGTGGTTATCCACCAGAGAAGAGAAAAACATGAATTTCCAAGGAAAAATAATATGAAGATCTGTTCCTCTCTGACTGAGTGAAATTTCCCAGTTTTCTACTGGTTTCTCAGATAAGATTGAGAATACTGAAATTGCATTCTCAGGCCCACAGTCAGGCTTATTTTCAAATTCGGAATTCAAAAGTGAGTTCGAGAAGTGCACCAATGTTTCTAAAACTGAAACAGAAGATTACAAAATGGAAAATTAAGAGTTCACTCTTCCACCCGGGGTCAAGTCTCTCCTTTATGGCTCAATCACCCAGTGCCCTTGGCATGCCCTTGTCACGTGCCATTTTCAGGCTAGATCTTCAGGTGAATATGAAGATATGCTGCCCAGGTGCCCCTTCAAGGAAAGACTTACTTCCCAGTGGTGAGGAATGCAGTGAGCAAACTCTGTATTGGTCTGCCTCAAATTTAGATACATGCTTCAACTCATGTCAAAACCTCCCAGGCAGGCCACATCAGATGACTGAGGAAGGCAGAAGTATAAACAAGCTTGGCCATTTCTACATGGTAAGAACAGTATGGGCCAGGTGCAGTGGCTCACGCTTGTAATCCCAGTACTTTGGGAGGCCGAGGTGGGTGGATCACGAGGTCAGGAGATCAAGACCATCCTGGCTAATACCGTGAAACCCCATCTCAACTAAAAATACAAAAAAAAAAAAAAAAAAAAAAATTAGCCGGGCATGGTAGCAGGCGCCTGTAGTCTCAGCTGCCTGGGAGGCTGAGGCAGGAGAATGGCGTGAACCCAAAAGGTGGAGCTTGCAGTGAGCTGAGATCACGCCACTGCACTCCAGCCTGGGTGACAGAGTGAGACTCTGTCTCAAAAAATAAAAAAATAAAAAAATAAAAAAAAGAACAGTCTGAAGGGTAATCGTCCTCACCCCAGAGTCCCCTGCAGATTAGTCAGGTCTTCTCAGGTGTGCATCTCATTTCACACTTCAACAGTTTTGCTTCTTCCACATGGATTTTCATGACTGTTACAGCACCCAGAGGTCCAAATATCAAGGCAACTCTTCCTGAACACTTAGAACTTGCTCTGGATTTACTCTGCTTTGTGTCTTTGGGCTCCTTTGGATTGCCAGCTTCTCAAAAGAGATGTTGTCTTATATGTGTGACTTTTAATAACTTATAAAACTTATACAGCTGGCACAGATGAGCATGCAATAATTGTCTGAAGAATTAATAGGGTAATTATTTAATTTTAGAAGTAAATGGGAGAGATATGGTCACAGATAAGCTCCTCAGAATGAAGAAGCTATATGGCAGCAAAACAAAACAATATTGTCCTCTTTAAAAATATAATTAAATACCTCATTATTCCTAAAAGGAAGCATTTAATACCAATCATAGTCTAGAGTACCTAGAGAAAGAAAAGAAAAAGTATTTGGAGAAGGAAAGGCTTTTCCAAAATATCAGCACCAGAACATCAAGATCACTTGTGAGTCAATTTTTCTACTCTATGTCATTATTAGAGGGGGTTCCTAGTGATAGGCAGATCATTTGTGTATCAGAATTTCAGTTGCCTGAATTGGCATTGACCACACTCAGTGTTTCTTAAACTAGACAGGTGTTCCGTGGCGATAGTCTGTGCAATCCTATCCCCAAACTTCGAGAAATCTGAGAGGCCAAAGAAAGAGACTGACATATCCAGTTTATCAGAAAGAATCATTTAATAGAGACTTAAGAACAGAAGCCATGACTATGTCACATACAGCAAAGTGACAAGATGATGGATTGCTGTGCCATTGCCCCCAGACTCAGGGTTTATATACTATAGGGAATGAATGTGTACAAAGACACAATAGGAATGGGACTCGGCACTCCCAATCCCACTAATGCATTTTTTTTCAGACCTGCTGGTCCTGCATGCTGCCCCTGGGGTGCTGGGACACAGCCCAGGGAGAGGGCAGAATGCAGTGCTCATGGCAGAGCAGGTGGCCCCCAAGGCTCCACACTGCTGCTGCTGGCTGGCCTAGCACTGTCGGGCAACAAAGGGCAGAGGCTTCAACCTGCAACTTCCCTATTTCAATTTGGCCAAGAGTGCCTGCATCACCTCCTCCATAACCTTCAATAAAGAAGCCCCAGCATGCCCCACCCCACCAAGGCCTGTACTACGAACTGGTAAAGGCCCTATAGCTGCTGGAGATCACAACTAGACCATCCAGACTGTAAACCAAAAATAAAATCCTAAGTTCCCCAACTGACTTACAGATCTCACTTCTTGGCCAAGGGTATTCCAAAATAAACCTGAAAGTCTAGTTCAGGCTGTGATGGGAAGGGAGGTAGGACAGGCCTCATTATAATCTCCTCCCTTTGAAATTCAAGCACAACTGACCAGCATTAACATTTAATACAGAGACCTTGAGAATGACAAAACAGACTCTCTGTAGCAATAAGACACCAAATTCCAACCCTCTCTAGTATAGAATCACATGACAGCATAAACCAAAAATAAAATTCTAAGCTTCCCTCTCACCCCACAAATAACTGAATAGACCACTCTTTTTGGCCAAGGACATTCAAAAGTTAGCCTAAAACACAAATTCAGGCCATGATTGGAAAGACTGGTTGGATATGCCTCATTATACCCTCCTCCCTTTGGAATTCAGGCACAACTGACCAACATTCACATTAAAACAGTGACCTTAAGACTGGCAAAGCAGACTCTTTGTAGCAATAAAATGCCAACATGACAGATAGCAGGCCCTGAAAGAAATCAAAGTATTTTACCCCAAAATATATTTCCTTGATGTTTCTTGAAATGGCCCTGCAAATCTGTCTCTTGTGGGGAAAATCTACATTCTGTAGACAATCCCTTTCTTTTTCCAGCTCTTTTTCCTGATCTAAGAGAGAATCAAGGAATATTCTGGCACCTTGCAAAGTCTAAAGAAACACAATCTATTCTCTCTGAAGCCTGCTACCTGGAGGCCTCATCTACGTAATAAAAACCTTGGTCTCTACAACACCTTATCTTAATCCAGCCACTGCCTTCTACTGATTCCAGGTCTTTAGATAAACTCTTTTAACCAATTGGCAATCAGAAAATCACTGAATCTACCTACTACCTGGAAGACTCCCAACCAACACCCCTCCTTCTCCCTTTTCCATCCCCCATCCCTGCTCCAAGTTGTCTTGCCTTTCTGGACCAAGCCAATATACATCTTACATATATTGATTGATGTCTTATGTCTCCCTAAAATGTATAAAACCAAGCTGTAGCCCAACCACCTTGGACCTATGTTTTCAGGAACCCCTGGGGTTGTGTCATGAGTATATCCTTAATTTTGGCAAAATAAACTCCTAAATTGATTGAAATCTGTCTCAGATACCTCTGGTTTACAAAAGCCAGCAAGCCCTGAAAGAAATTGAAGTATCTTATCCCAAAATATATTTCTTTAACATATTTTACATATTTTGACATGGCCCTATAAAGCTGTCTCTTGTGGAGAAAAATCTACATTCTGTAGAGAATCCCCTTCCCTTTCCCAGTCTTTTTCCTCGTTCAGGAGAGAATTAACTAAGAGTGTGGCACCTTTTAAAGTCTGATAAACTTTTACAGTCTATTCTCTCTGAAGCATGCTACCTGGAGGCTTCATCTGCATAAGCATCTTGATCTCCACAACCCCTTATCTTAACCCAGACACTCCCTTCTATTGATTCCAAGTCTTTAGGTAATAAACTCTTTCAACCAAATTGCCAATCAGAAAATCTTTGAATTCTCTCCTTCAAGTGTTCCCACCTTTTTGGTCTGAATCAACGTACATGTTACATGTATTGCCTGATGTCATATGCCTCCCCAAAAGATATAAAACCAAGCTGTATCCCAATCACCTTGGGCACATGTTCTCAAGACCCCCTGGGAGGCTGTGTCATGGATCATTGGTTCTCATACTTGGCTCAGAACAAATTTAAAATATTTTGCAGTTGACAAGATATCTTTTCATTGACAAGACCTTGCACTCTCACTTCTTCTAGAGCAGCCCTCTTGATGGAAAAACCTTACAAGCCAAGATAAGCCATGCTCCGACCCTGTCCCATACATTTCATGCAAGGTCCTCTGATTGGAGGACCTTTGAAAAGCTAAAACAAATGGCCTTCCAAAATAGATTTCACTCAAAGAAGTTAACCCTATCACCCTCATGTGCACAACACCAGAAGGATGACTGGTCTTTACCTTTGCCTCATTATAATACTAAAATCCCTACCCAGGGAGAGCCTTATTTGCCATTTTCTAATCATGTCATGTATGTGTTAGCATTACTCCTTACTAGATTCATGCACCCTGCACTGCATCCCACACATGTGGTGATACTCACCTATCTCATGAATTATGCATGTCACTCTCCTTAACCCGCTTATGCCTGAGGTTGCAATTTTTTGAATTTTTGCAATCAGACCTTGGTGATGACCTTGAGCAATAGGATACGAAAAACTCCCACACTCTTAGCATTCCAATAATGGAGCATGAGGCATAAATGTATTAAGGCACCACAATGCACAGCCTTTAGGGAGACAGCATGAAACCTTTAACTCCAGTGCTGGCTCCCTTTTGTTCCAACACAAGCCCTTAATAAAGGCCTTGACTGGGAAACTTGTTGGGCCTCATGCCACTTTCTATTACATGAGAGTCTAAGAACCTGTGATTGGTAACAATAGGACAATTGAAGTCGATTCACCAGGGAAAGGCAAGAACACTGTGTAAGTCTCCTTCAAGGCAGGATTTATAGTAACAGTAGATAAAGTAGAAATCTTAGAGGCATTCCCAGAACAGGGGTCAATCAGAAGTCAACATGCAACCAAGCAGCCTAGCAGCCCAACAACATAGGCTCAAGCTGCATTTTAAATGTTTTTTCTTTTCTTTCCTCTTTCCCATCCCAGTCTGAAGATATAACTTTGAGACAAACTGCATATGTGTTACCTCTCATCTTTAAATCCAGGCTCAAAATGTGCTGTGAACCTCCACTCCCTTTCATTTCCCATACTATGCTCCCATGCCTTATGCATATTTATTTACCTACATGCTTGTTAAGCACACACCATGCTCTCTTATCCGGTCCTGCCTTTCCTTGGAAGCTTCATGGGTCAGATCCTTATAGGCACCAGGCACTTCCAGAATTTTCTCCAGTAAAAGATTACTTCAAGGATGGAATCCACTCCAGGTGACTATAAGACGTACTGCAACTAATTTATAACCTGGCAGGATCCACGATGGTGCCAACCCCTTCACCAAATGAGACAAAATAATTCAAGATGAGACATCGGAGCAAGTCATGCCACCTGGCACCTCTTAGCCCCTTCTCTCTTCTGTATTCCAAACCCTTCCTTTAAAAAACCCTGCTTACCCTCCACAAATCGAAGAGTTGAATTGCTCTGTACTCTTCCCCTTACCTAGCACGGATAATAAAGGAATATCCTTCTTTCTTATCATAATGCATTATTATTTTAACGTCATTCCTTAAGAAAGAAGTTCAGTGAGCAGCCAGACCCTTTTTGCTGGTTACAAACATGGTGAATTAGCAGCCAAGGAGTTGCTTTATCCCCCTCAACAGGCTCACTCTTTTGGCAATTCTGATTTAATATGTTTGTTTTAGACATTGTGGTCAGACAAGTTTGGAAAACACTGCCATAACAGAGTCCTATATTTCTCCACACACATATCTTCAGGTACACCTTTCCCAACCACTGCCCCTCCTTCCCCCATGAATGTGGAACCCAAGCCTGCTCTGTCCTCCTCAAAGTCTCTACAGATACAATGGCATGCATTTATTTTTTATTTTTATTTTATTTATTTATTTATTTTGAGATGGAGTTTCACTCTTGTTGCCCAGGGTGGAGTGCAATGGCGTGATCGGCTCACTGGGTTCAAGCGGTTCGCCTGCCTCAGCCTCCCAAGTAGCTGGGATTACAGGCATGCTCCATCAAGCCCAGCTAATTTTGTATTTTTAGTAGAGATGGGGTTTCACCATGTTGGTCAGGCTGGTCTTGAACTCCCAACCTTAGGTCATCTGCCCTCCTCGGCCTCCCAAAATGCTGGGATTACAGGAGTGAGCCACCATGCCTGGCCATGCATTTATTTTCAATCTTGTCAATTAGTATGGTCAATCTTTTTTCGTTATTCTCCCTTTAGATTTATCTGAAGAGGAGAGAGATACCTGTGGGTCTGAGGCTCATGTATCACCTGGGATTTTAAATTCTCCTTGAGAAATTGCTGCATTTTGCTTTGAGGAGACAACATAATTCCAAATGTCTTGGTTATCCTTAACTGGGAATTTTGGTGTTTCTCAGACTGCTAATTTTCATCCTATTTATATTAGTTTGCTACGACTGCGATAACAAAGTACCACAGACTGGGTGGCTTAAACAATAAAAATTTATTTTTTCATAGTTCTGGAGGCTATAGCAAGCCTAAAATCAAGGCTTTAGCAGGGTTGGTTTCTTCTGAGGACTGTAAGGGAAGGATCTGTTCCAGGCCTCTCTTATTGGCTTATAAATGGCTGTTTTCTTTTTGTCTTCACATAGTCTTCCTTCTGTACATGTCTGTGTCCTGAACTCCTCTTCTTATAAGAATATTACTCATATTGAGTTAGGGTCCACCCTGAATATCTCATTTCAATTTAACTACTCTTTAAAGAACCTGTCTCCAAATATGTCACATTCTGAGGTCCTGGCGCTTAGGACTTCAACATATAAACTTTGAGGGGAACACAATTCAGGCCATAACACCTCTGGAAGCAAGAGTCTTTATTCTGTAATAAAACCTAAGATAATCAAGTGTGATACTCCATATTCAGAGTATCATCCTCCCTTCAGAGAGGAATTCTAAAAGAAGTAGACATCTTCCTAAAGCTACAAACTCTAATAGAAGATGAGCCCAAGATATCAGGTGATACCAGAGACCTGGAAATAGGTGATTTCCAGGGTCTGGAGTGTGAGGTGTAAAGAAGTTATTTCTTGTGTCTAGGTTTAAAAAAAAAATGGTTATGTAGAGATAGCTACATAGAACTGCACCACCAATTAATGCTCCATGTTTTCTATCTCAAGAACAAATACGTAATCATTTGGAAGATAGTATTCATTAATTTCACACCTCCCATGGCTAAGACAGACAGTTTAAGCCAAGTAGGAAGAGCACAGATACTAAAGTCAAGCCAGGCTGGGTTTAAATCCCAGGTCTATATTCTCGTGGCTAAGTGGCCTTGGGCAAATTGTTCTTATTTTTGTTATGTAAAGACGCTTACAGCTTTAAAAAAGGGTATTGCTTACCTCAAGAGTTTGTTTCATGGATTAAAATGAAGTAACACAAGTTAGGCTTTCAGCAGAAGGCTGGAGACATAATGGAAATTCAAGTAAGTTTGGCTTTATTCACTTTCTTTCTTTTTTTCGGGGGGTGGAGGGACGGAGTCTCACTCTGTCACTCAGGCTGGAGTGCAATGGCACCATCTCAGCTCACTGCAACCTCTGCCTCCCAGGTTCAAGTGATTCTCCTGCCTCAGCCTCCCAAGCAGCTGGGACTACAGGCACATGACACCACACCTGGCTAATTTTTGTATTTTTAGTAGAGGCAGGGTTTCACTATGTTGGCCAGGCTGGTCTTGAACTCCTGAGCTCGTGATCTGCCTAAAGGAGGAGACCAACCCTCATATTGTCTTATGCCCAATTTCTGCCTCCAGAGAAAAAAGAAGTAAAAACTAAAAGGCAGAAATGAAATTCACAAGCAGACAGCCCGGCGCCACACCCTAGGCCTGGTAGTTAAAACTGACCCTTGACCTAATCAGTTATCTATAGATTACAGACATTGTATAAAAAAGCACTGTGCAAATCCCTATCCTGTTTTGTTCTGATCTAATTACCAGTGCATGCAGCCCCCAGTCACATACCCCATGCTTGCTCAATCAATCACAACCCTCTCACTGCGCACCCCCTTAGAGTTGTGAGCCCTTAAAAGGCGCAGGAATTGCTCACTCAGGGAGCTCGGCTCTTGAGACGGGAGTCTTGCCAAAGCCCCTGGCTGAATAAACCCCTTCCTTTTTTAACTGGGTGTCTGAGGACTTTTGTCTGAGGCTTGTCCTGCTACATTTCTTGGTTCCCTGACCAGGAAGCGAGGTGATTGGTGGATGGTCCAGGCAGCTCAAGCTTGCCCTGTGGAACATCCCTGTGGGGGACTCCAACCAGCCCGAGCTACGTGGATCCTGAGAGTACCCTTGGGTAGGCATCTGCCCCGGTGGGACGCCTCGTCAGAGCAATGTGTGGCAGGTCCCCGTGGAGGATCAATGCAGTGGCTGAACACCGGGAAGGAACGGGCACTTGGAGTCTGGACATCTAAAACTTTGTAAGACTAATCTTTGAAACTTGCCCACTCCACTTGAGTAGAAGCGTGATCTGATCACCCATGGCATGCCTTTATTGGCACTTTGGTTTTGGTTTGAATTGCTTGACAGGACCAGTCTTAGGATCTTGCCCACTCCATTTGAGTAGAAGCGTGGCCTGATCACCCACGTTGTGCCTTTATCAGCACTTTGGTTTTAGTTTTGACTTGGTTTGAATTGCTTGACAGGACTGGTCTTAGGAACTTGCCCACTCCATTTGAGTAGAAGCATGGCCTGATCACCCGTGGTGTGCTTGTACTGGCACTTCAGTTTCTGTTTTTGACTTGACTTGGATTGCTTGATACTTTGGTTTTAGTTTTGACCTGGCTTGGATTTCTGGATACTCTAATTTTAGTTTTGATTTTGGTTTAGTGCAAACTGCAAAAGTGTGTGTATGCCCTTTTTACCCGTTCTTTGTTTTGTGGTGTGCATGTGGTGTGAGCGCAGTGTTTTGTCTGGAAGAAGCATAGTTCAGGCACAAATAAGACCACCCTACTAGGAACTATGTTGAAAACTTTCAAAAAGGATTTTAAAGGAGACTATAGAGTACTATGACACTAGGAAAACTTGAAACTTTGTGTGAGATAGACTGGCCAGCAGTAGAGGTAGGTGGGCCATTAGAAAGAAGCCTGGACAGGTCCCTTATTTCAAAGGTATGGCACAAGGAAACCAGACCAGTTCCCGTACAGAGACACTTAGTTACAGCTAGTTTTAGACCCCCTGCCCCTCAACACACAGTGGTTGAGAAAACAGCAGCATAAGCGGCTGGCAGAGGCAAGGAAAGACCAGCAGAGAGAGAGAAAGGAAAGAGACAGAGAGGAAAAGAGGCAAAGAGAGAGAGGAATAGACAGAAAAAGAAGGAGTCAAGGAGACAGAGAAAAAGAGAGGCAGAGAAAAAGAAGAGACAGAGGCAAAAGGAAAGTCAAAGAGAAAGAGACAAAGTCAAAGAGAAAAAAAAAGAAAGAGATATACAAGTAGTTAAGAAAAAAAAGTGTACCCTATTCCTTTAAAAGACAAGGTAAATTTAAAACCTATAATTGATCATTGAAGGTATTCTCTGTAACCCTATAACACTCCAATACCACCTTGTTGTCACTGTAAACAAGGACATATCCCAAAAGCACTGAGTCCTTCCTATCAAAAATCCTTAACTCAGTAACCCGCAGATGGCCCAAATGCATTCAGTCTGTAGTGGCAACTGCTTTGCTAACAACAACAACAAAAAAAAGGTTAAAAAAAAAAAAAACTTTTAGAGAAAACTTCATTGTGAGCACACCTCACCAGTTCAGAAGTATCCTAAGGAAAAAAAAAAAAGGAGAAAAAAGGAAGGGTGAAATTTATATAAAAAGAGTATTATATGGTAAATTCTTGTCCTGAAATAAATTAACTGGTTGTTTAAAGAAAAAAATATTTGTAATAAGTGAGAAAGTTGAGGCATGTCAAAGAATTGTCTGTGGAAAGTCATGGAAGAGAAAAATGTTATAAAAAACATTTATGCAAAAAATATTGTATAATTTAAAAGTAACTAGGCCTCCTAAATGTAAAACTATTGAAAAAAAAAAACAGTTTATGTGCAAGGTGTATAAGAAAAGTAAATGTACATTTTTACCTACATTAAAAAGTTAAAAAAATTATTGAAGGTTTAAGCAAGTTTTAAAACGTTAAATGTAAAGAAAATTCTGTGTGTAACCATATTAGCTAAAATTAAAGAAGTATCATCCAGTTTTTCTGTCAACTGGACATTAAAGTAAAAGCCTAACAGGTTTTTCTTAAAGCACCAACCTGCTCTTTAGCAAAAATTATAAAAGATTAAAAAGAGTCTATAAAATCTTACCTTTTGGTCAAACATTAAAAATTAGATAAAGATGTCTACAAAGTTTTATTAAAATTAGGTTTAACATTAATAACACCCTAATATAAAGATAAAATTTAGCTTATCTGGTATAAAAATCATACAAGAAGCATTGTTAAAGTAAAATGGTATTTGGCTTTCTTTGGTTTAAAAATTAATAAAAATAGGTGCTAAAAGAAATTTCTCAGTAAAAAGGCACTAAGGACTATAAAGTCCACTGCCAAGGTCCCCACATTTAAAACAAAAGATCAATTTCTTAAAAATTATATACTTGGTTTATCTTCCACTTTCCTTTCTCTCAAAATCTAAAAGTCTTTTAGCACATGTACCACCCCTAGAATTTCCGGTAAACCAGCACCAGCCTGGAGTTCACATTCTCATCAAAAGGTGGAAAGAAAAAAAACTCGAGCCAGCCTGGGAAGGACCTTACCTTGTGCTGCTAACCACCAAGACTGCTGTTCACACAGCAAAAAAAAAAAAAAAAAAAAAGGATGGACTCATCACACCCAAGTCAAGAAAGCCCCATCCCCTCCAGAGTCGTAGTTCATAATCCCAGGGGAAAATCCTACCAAACTAAAGCTAAGAAAAATTTAACTCTTTTCATCTATTCTATTACTCTTTCTTCTTTCCGCATTCTATTGCTGACCATCTAGTTATTAACATAACCAAGTCAATTTCATCTCAAACTATTGCATTTAATGCTTGCCTTGTTATACCCTGTGAGGACTTGCCAAGTCAAAGACAGTTTTCTACTTCAGAAAAGTACAAGTCAAAGACAGTTTTCTACTTCAGAAAAGTACTTCTGTCCCTCCTGACTCTCCTCAGACTAGGCATTAGTAAACTAGGACCATTTAATCAAGGGAGATTTTGATAAAGACCCCATTGCCAACCAAGAGTCTTGCCCCCCGATGTAGAGCTTTTATGCCATAGTTGGTCCAACATTCACTAAAGAGCAATCATAGACTGCCTCAACCGGGTTTTGTAATTTGCTAAAACCATACATTCATTTTACTAGAGCATCATAGAAGTTAAAGACTTAAAACAAACTTTAGCAATTAAGACAAGATACCAAGATGCAAATGCCTGGTTAAAATGGATCAAATATTCCATCTGCACATTAAACAAAAGCAATTGTTATGCTTGTGCACATGGCAGGCCACAGGCCCAGATTGTCCCTTTTCTACTAAGGTGGTCCTCCAGTCGACCAGGTGTAGGCTGCATGGTAGCTCATTTCCAGGATTCTACAACCTGGAGTAATAAGTCATGTCAAGCTCTCTCTGCTATATCCCAAAGTCCGGCACCCTGCGGATCAGTCCCCGAGGGCCATCCAACCTCCGTCTCCCAACACTAAGTTCACTTCGTCACTCTCATGACACAGAGGAAACTTAGTGTTTCTTGGAGACCTGAAAGGATGCAGTGAGCTTAAGAATTTTCAAGAGCTTATCAATCAGTCAGCCCTTGTTCATCCCCGAGTGGATGTGTGGTGATATTGTGGTAGACTTTTACTAGGCACTCTGCCAAATAACTGGAGTGGCACTTGTACTTTAGTCCAATTGGCTATCCCTTTCACCCTGGCATTTCATCAACCAGAAGAAAAAAAAAATCAGACATTGTAAAGCGAGAGAAGCCCCTTATAGGTCTTTCAACTCTCATGTCTATTTAAATGCAACTGGAGTCCCACAATGAACACCAGATGAATTTAAAGCTTGAAATCAAATAGCTGCAGGATTTGAGTCAATATTTTAGTAGGTGACAGGTAATAAAAATGTAGATTAGATAAACTACATCTATTACAACCAACATCAATGAGCTTTTCATAAGTTAAAAAGAAAAACTCATGTCGGCCCCAGCCCTGAGGCTACCTGACCTGACAAAACTCTTTACACTCTATGTGTCAGAAAAATAAAAAATGGCAATTGGAGTTTTAACCCAGACTGTAAGGCCCTGGACAAGGCCAGTGGCCTATCTCTCAAAACAACTAGAGCAAGTTTCCAGAGGGTAGCCCCCACGGTCTAAGAGCCCTAGCAGCCATGGCCCTGTTAGCACAAGAAGCAAATAAACTAACCCTTAGGCAAAACCTGAATATAAAGGCCCCCTATGCTGTAGTAACTTTAATGACTACCAAAGGACATCATTAGTTAACAAATGCTAGATTAACCAAGTACCAAAGCTTGCTATGTGAAAATCCCCCATAACCATTAAAGTTTCCAACACCCTAAACCCTGCCACCTTGCCCCCGGTATCAGATTGCCCAGTTGAACATAACTGTGTAGAGGTGTTGGACTCAGTTTATTCTAGCAGGCCCAACCTCCAAGACCATCCTTAAACAGAAGTAGACTGTGGATGGGAGCAGCTTCACCACCCCTGCAAAGTGACTCTGAAGAAGACGACAAGCCCTGCTCCAGTCACACCCGGAAGCTGACTGGTCCACGCACGGCCAAAGCATGAGAAAACTCATCACAGTACTCTTTTTCCTTAAAATTTAGACTTTTACAGTAAGGACTTCAATTGACCTTCCTCAGACTGAAGACTGTTCCCAGTGTGTACATCAAGTCACTGAGGTAAGACAAAAGGTTGCTACAGTCCTATTATTTTATGGTTATTTTAAGTGTACTGGAACTCTAAAAAGAACTTGTTTGTGTAATGTTATTGTATACAAGGTATGTAGCCCAGGAAATGACCAACCTGATGTGTGTTATGACCCATCTAAGCCTCCCATGACCACAGTTTTTAAAATAAGATTAAAGACTGAGGACTGGTGAAGGCTCATAAATGATACGAGTAAAGTGTTAGCCAAAACAGAAGAAAAAGGGGTGCCCAAACAAGTCACCTTGAAATTTGATGCCTGTGCTGTCATTAATAGTAATAAGTTAGGAATAAGGTGTGGTTCTCTTAATTAAAAAAGAGGCTATATGGCAGAAAATAAGTACATCTGTCATAAATTAGGACTGTGTAGAAATAAATGTAAATACTAGTCTTGTGTCATTTAGGCCACTTAAATTAAAAAAAAATAAAAAGGATCCAGTCCACCTCCAGAAAAGAAAAAATAGCCTTTCCCGTACTAAAGGACAATGTAACCCCTTAGAGCTAGTAATAACCAATCCCCTTGATCCTCGCTGGAAAAAAGAGGAGCGTGTGACCTTAGGAATCGACGGGGCTGGACTGGATCCTCAAGTAAACATCTTAGTTCAAGGAGAAGTTTACAAATGCTCTCCTCAGCCAGTGTTTCAGACTTTCTATGATGAACTAAATGTGCCAGTACCAGAAATTCCAGGAAAAACAAGAAATTTGTTTTTGCAATTAGCTGAGCACGTAGCCCAGTCTCTCAATGTCACTTCATGTTAGGTATGTGGAAGAACGTAATAAGAGGTCAATGGCCATAGGAAGCCTGAGAATTACTACCTACAGACCCAGTTCCTGATGAATTCCCGGCTCAAAAGAATCACCCTGATAATTTCTAGGTCATAAAAGCCTCAATTATTGGACAATATTGCATAGCTAGAGAAAGAAAAGAATTCACTCACCCCGTAGGACGACTTAGTTGTCTAAGACAGAAACTGTATAATGGTACCACAGAAACAGTCACTTCGTGGAGTTCAAATCACACAGAGAGAAATCCATTTAGTAAATTCCCAAAGTTGCGAACCGTTTGGACCCATCCAGAGTCCCACCGGGACTGGACAGCCCCCACTGGATTATACTGGATATGTGGGCATAGAGCTTTTGCCAAATTACCTGACGAGTCGGCAGGTAGTTGTGTTATTGGCACTATTAAACCATCTTTCTTCTTACTGCCCATAAGGACAGGTGAACTCCTGAGCTTCCCTGTCTATGCTTCCCGCGAAAAGAAAAGCATAGCTATAGAAAATTGAAAAAATGATAAATGGCCCACGAGAAAATCATACAATATTATAGGCCTGCTACTTAGGCAACAGACAGTTCGTAAGGATACCAGATCCCCATTTACATGATCAACCGAATCATAGTTACAAGCTGTCTTAAAAATGATCACTAATAAAACCGGCAGAGCCTTGACTATTCTGGCCCGGCAAGAAACTCAGATAAGAAATGGTATCTATCAAAATAGATTAGCTCTCGACTACTCGCTAACAGCTGAAGGAGAGGTCTGTAAGAAATTTACCCTTACTAATTGCTGCCTACACATAGATAATCAAGGGCAAGTAGTTGAAGACATAAAGATATGACAAAACTGGCACATGTGCCCGTGCAAGTGTGGCATAGATTTGATCCTGAGGGCATGTTTAGAAAATAGTTCCCAGCGCTAGGAAGATTTAAAACTCTTATAATAAGAGTTATAATAGTAATAAGAACCTGCTTATTGCTCCCTTGTTTGCTACCTGTACTTCTTCAAATGATAAAAAGCTTCATCACTACCTTAGTTGACCAAAATGTTTCAGCACAAGTGTACTGTATGAATCACTATTGATCTGTCTTGCAAGAAGACATGGGTAGTGAAAATGAAAGTGAGAACTCCCACTATTGAGTGAATGTCTCAAAGGGAGGGAATAAATGAGGAGACCACCCCTCATATTGTCTTATGCCCAATTTCTGCCTCCAAAGAAAAAAAAAAAGTAAAAACTAAAAGGCAGAAATGAAATCCACAAGCAGACAGCCCGGTGCCACACCCTAGGCCTGGTAGTTAAAGATCGACCCCTGACCTAATCAGTTATGTTATCTGTAGATTACAGACATTGTATAAAAAAGCACTGTGAAAATCCGTATCCTGTTTTGTTTTGATCTAATTACTGGTGCATGCAGCCCCTAGTCACATACCCGCTGCTTGCTCAATCGATCATGACCCTCTCAGGCGCACCCCGTTAGAGTTGTGAGCCCTTAAAAAGGACAGGAATTGCTCACTTGGGGAGCTCGGCTCTTGAAACAGGAGTCTTGCTGATGCCCCTGGCCGAATAAACCCCTTCCTTCTTTAACTCAGTGTCGGAGGAGTTTTGTCTGTGGTTTGTCCTGCTACACGCCCACCTCTGCCTCCCAAAGTGCTGGGATTATAGGTGTGAGCCACCACAACCAGCCCGGCTTTATTCACTTTCTTACTCTCGTATAGGATTTGGAATTCCAGTTCAAATTTTCCAGTTTAATTGTTGATTTCTCATGGTACCTGCTCATGCCAGAAAAACTCTGTACGTTCTAGTAACATCTTCTATTTGCCTAAGTGGATCTTTCTCTCCTCTCTCCCTTTTTGCACATGAACTTCTGAAGGACAGCATTTATAGCAATTCATATTTTCTGTTCTGTGTCTTAGCAAAATGTCTGGAATCTAACAGGGCATCGGCTCTTATTCAGGTCTGTTGCCATATCCATAGAATCATGTTAGATAAAATATCAATTTATTTACAAATGGCAAAACATGGCAGCACCATTGTCTATCCTAGGACACTTGTCTCTAAAAAAAAAAAAAAAAAAAAAAAATCATTGAACAATAGCATACCATGTAAGAAACCACTCTTAACATTCTCATATAGACCAATTGCCAGCCCTCCTTCTGCCCAGCCTAAATCTATCCCCAGGACAAGGCCTTACAGCAGCACAAAACAGATTCCAATCCAAAAATTTTATATAGGGCCACCAAATAACAAGAGGAAATGAGCTGTTTTCTCTGGGCACCTTTTACGCACTGTTTAGTGTTAGAGCCAAAAATTGATCTTGGCTCTCTCTCTTCCTTCTGTTTTTTACAGATTGAGCCTCTTGTACTGTTTTTCAACCAGTTCCTTCCTGATAGGCAGACATGGTGGGTTAAGATATTTCTCACTGATGAAGAAAGTTGATATGCTTTTACAGGTTTCCCAAAACTCATCTGATAGCATTTTCCCTAGAGCCTCTTTCCATCTACCTCTCTGCCTTTTTGGGACTAAGATAACATCATTTTGTAATATATGTTTTTTACAGTTCAATTTATTTGGAAGTAGTCTATGTGAAGGTTACTAATAATTACATTCCCTGATCTTACCCAGGGTCTTAAGCCCACTTTTTCCAACCGGAGTTAAGGGATAGGTGAATATTGCCAAACGTTCCTGAGAAGCTGACAGTGTCTCTTTTCCTAATTTCAAGTTCAGGATTACACATCAATGTCTATAAATGAAAAAACAGGTTCCATTCATCATTCGAGAAACCGGGCTAAATGATTTTTGAACATGCACAATATTATGTTTAATATATCCATTTAAGAAACAGAAGAAAACTAAGATAGAATAAAATGATTGGCCAAGATCATACAGCCAATACCTAATATAGCTACTGCAATTTGCTTCTGCGTATATTGTATTCCAAAATCCACCATCTTAATAATCCATGACCCCCAATATTGTTCAACAAAACCCTATGCTGGAACTCCCAGATAGAGGCTATTTGGAGATGTAAGTTCAGCTCACTTAACTGTTTGTAGAGTGAACAGAGGTTTTCCAGTGGAGGGAAATACTCATGTAACACAGAGAGATACTAACGAGGGAGCCTCACACTCTGGGATATATAGATTTACCCCAACACTCTAAATCAAGTTACAATTAAAAATATGGTACCCTGTCTCATTAGTTGTTTATATAAGTAGATTCATGTCTATAGCGGGAATTGTTACCTATTATATACTTATAATGGGAATTATTTGGGAAATTTTCTTTCTTTTTTTATTTTTTATTTTTTTTGAGACAGAGTCTCGCTGTGTCACCCAGGATGGAGTGCAGTGGCGCAATCTCGGCTCACTGCAAGCTCCCGGGTTCACGTGATTCTCCAGCCTCAGCCTCCCAAGTAGCTGGGACTACAGGTGCCCACCACCACGCCCGGCTAATTTTTAGTATTTTTAGTAGAGACGGGGTTTCACCGTGGTCTCTATCTCCTGACCTCGTGATCTGCCAGCCTCGGTCTCCCAAAGGGGAAATTTTATTTCTAAGACAATTTTTAGGAAAAAAACCCTTTGATTAGCATTTTTCAGAGGGATTTAGAAAAATATTATTGTTGCAGGTGTCCTGCTACACCACACACTTCTTTTTTTTTTTTTTTTTTTTTTTTTTTGAGACGCAGTCTTGCTCTTTTGCCCAGGAGGGACTGCAGTGGCGCTATCTCGGCTCACGGCAAGCTCCGCCTCCCTGGTTCATGCCATTCTCCTGCCTCAGCCTCCCGAGTAGCTGGGACTACAGGCGCCCGCCACCACGCCTGGCTAATTTTTTGTATTTTTTAGTAGAGACGGGGTTTCACCGTGTTAGCCAGGATGGTCTCGATCTCCTGACCTCGTGATCCACCCGCCTTGGCCTCCCAAAGTGCTGGGATTACAGGCGTGAGCCACCACGACCGGCATCACTTCTTTACCCAAAGTGGAGAGCTACTCCTTTGAAAATATGTCCACCAAATAGTTCTGATTGCTGTTGCTATCTCAACCACAAACTAAGTAATTGTGATTACCAAAAATCCTAAATATTGAAAAATCACAGAATATGGGAACAGAAAGACCAGTTAGGAATCTTTTGTTCCAAATTTCTCATTTTCAGATGTAAAACCTGAGGTTCACAAGGAGAAAAAACTTTCTCAAGTTTACATAGCAAGTAAATAAGAGTGAGGACTGACTGGTCAAATATGACTCATGCTCCAGTTTCCTTTCAACTCTATTCCATCAATTATTGACAAAAGATGGCTGGTGATTGTCCCTACATTCTGTTTTCTGGCTATGGGTTGTTTATAGAGTGTGCTGGTGATTGTTCCTACATCCTGTTTTCTGGCTATGGGTTGTTTATAGAGTGTTCTGTTTGATAAAGAGCTGATGAAAAGGAGGACTTCAGAAACTGCTCTTGGTCTTTGGCATCATTTTATTGATGCCTTAATTCCCCATTATCTTTGATAAGTACCTAAATCTTGCATGCCAACACAAACACAGATAAGAAATCAAGTTACATTATTCCAATTTATTGCACAAATACAGGTAATTGAGAATACATAAGGAGGTCACAAGCACACTAATAATTAATGATACAATACTGCATCGTGGGATAGAGTAGTTATGGAGCAAGAAATTAAGGCTGGATGAAAAGGTGTTCATTCAGTGGTCTTCATGGAGAAGATGACATTGAAGTTGAAATTTAGAAAGACAATTTGGGGCAGTGATAGTGTGAAGAGAACCCCAGCATTGTGCTCTGTGTCTGCCTGAGGTGGGCATACTATAAAAGGCAGGTAGGGTGGGGCAACTCTCAGAATGATCTTGAGAAAAAATTCATAAATTGTGTGTTGTGTATAAGAAATATGTAGTCAATGATGAAAATATAAATTGAGTGAAATAAAAGAGATATCATATACTATACAACTGTAAAGATATAGATTGGATCCACTCCTAGAGGTCCTGGTAAACCAGGGTTAAGAGTCTGTATGTGAACATCCATGCCATGGAAGTGATGTGATTAATACCTACAGATGATCAAGAGTAGAGATGCAGCTTAGCATGATACACAGTGAAAGGGTAGGGTTTTTATTCTGCTGTCAAATTTGGAGAAACAAAATTGTATTTTAGAAAAATGAGAATGGAAAACCTCAGGCCCTACAATTAAATAAAGCATACCAAGTCACTTAATTATTTGTTGTGTGATTGTCGTGATCACTTTCACAATCTAGGGAAATTAACATCTACCTGTCACCTTTTAATCTTGGCATCCTCAATACATAAAATGTAATTATTTCATTAATTGTGACTAATACTCTCAGACTGATTTTTTTCAGTCCATCTGTAGGACTCTTATACTTAGGCTAAAAACATAAACTATCTTTTCCTTCTTTTATAAACAGAATTTTTTCTTAGCTTGCTTTTCTTCACTACCTTCTATTCATAATCAACTATCTTATTTCTCACATATGCTCCCATTCTCTTTCTCTAAAGGTCTTTGCAAATGTTTTATTCATTTACTCATCACAATACTCATGTGTGGAATTTCTCAGCACCTTTTGCATTCATTCACTATTGCTGTTTTCTCTGCCGCATATTCATGCCTTAGGTGGAGTTGCTTATCACTGTGGACTTTTCTCTTGCCCAAGCCTAGAGATACTGTCTCTGATGGATACTTATTTTCTCTTTATCTAATCTTTCTCTATTTTGGGCTACCTGCTCTCTACAGTTTCACAATGCATGTTTATGACTAATTATTGTATCTTCTAGGCTAGATTTTATCCTTAGTTTTTCCCTCCAATTATAGGCATGTGAAGTTTAGCTTAGCTTCACTTCTATCTCAAAATAATTCTCTTAGAGTGTTAACTTGCTTCATTTAATAATGATTTCTCTTATAATGACACCAAACCTGTATCAAATTTTATCTTTACCAGAACTCTGTATTGGATGTCATCAGGCCCTCTATGGCTGCATTTCCCTTTGTCTCCCCAAAATCAAAGCCTAAAAATGAGCTTAATTTAGGTCTATTTGTACTCTTCCTCCACTTTTCAGATTTCTGACTTTTTATCTTTTTTTTTTTTTTTTTTTTTTTTGAGATGGAGTCTCCCATTGTCACCAAGGCTGGAGTGCACTGGTGCGATCTCGGCTCACTGCAACCTCCGCCTCCCAGGTTGAAGCGATTCTCCTGCCTCAGCCTCCCAAGTAGCTGGGACTACAGGTGACTGCCACCACACCCAGCTAATTTTTTTTTTGTATTTTTAGTAGAGACGGGGTTTCACTATGTTGGCCAGGCTGGTCTCAAACTACTGACTTCGTGATCTGCCCACCTCGGCCTCCCAAAGGGCTGGGATTACAGGCGTGAGCCTCCGCGCCCGACCCTTTTTATCATTCTATCAACATAACCAGTGTTCTCCTTTCATCTTAGACTCAAACGCTTAATGTATTAGTCAACCAGTTGCTTGTCTAACTTTATTCTTTAATTTGTTAACAAAATCTACCAGTTACTCTTTTTCTACATGTTTTAGATATAACCATTATTTCCATTTCCACTCACTTTATTTCAGCTCAGGTCTTAATTTAGTCTTCTTTTTTCACAAATGTTTCACTAAACATTTGTGAAATGTTAATCTCTGCACTTATAATTTCCCTGTTTTTAACCTATTTACCTCCCCAGACAACGAGTAACTTAATAAAATTCCCCACTTCCTACTTGTCAATCTGCAAATAATATCATGTCAGTGAATGTGCTGGTGATTCAGGCAATTATACAGATCTTTATAAAACTTCATGTCTTGGCAAAAATGTATTATTGACTGGTGGTAAAATATTTGCATAGGAAGTTATATATAGTGTAAGTAATACATATGTGTGTGTGACTGTGACTGTGTGGGTATGGGTGGATGGTACAAATCATGCCCAACTGTAACTATTAAGAATGCTAAAAAAAAAAAAAAACCCTAAGAACCAAATATTATCAAACTGTCAAAGTTTAACTCAACTTTCAGCCAGCCTTCTTTTTTTCTGTATTTGCACAGTTATAATCAAACAGTTAAATCTTGCTTACTACATGTTGACTTTCCAGCAGAGATGTGTGTGGTCATAATATAAAACAAGAAAAATAGGAGTCTATCATATCTACAAATAGAAGGAGA
This sequence comes from Homo sapiens, assembly GCF_000001405.40. Lineage (NCBI taxonomy): Eukaryota > Metazoa > Chordata > Mammalia > Primates > Hominidae > Homo > Homo sapiens. The sequence continues at coordinate 60,095,827 of NC_000011.10, read as the reverse complement.
ATATTAAGGTGGACAGAAGCAGCAGAAACAAAATATTCTTATCAGGCGAATAAATCTAATGTAAAACCAGCAGGCTGTGGAGAGAATAGAAATTTTTCCAGTAGCCCCTTAACAAGACCTTGGCCTTCTGGATCCTTGGCTGTGAATCAGAGTGTTCTGGACACGTGATTCTTATAAATCAATGGGAGGAGACATTTCCCCTGGGTCTTCCAACTCACTGTAAGTAGCTGAATATATGTTTAATTCTTCATAAACACGATCCTCTGGAACCTGATAAGGGAAAAATCATTTCATATCAATCACCACAAATTTCCCATCCCTAGAAGTCTCGCTCAAGAGACTTACCTCATCTACTTTTGTCTTTCTGGGTCTCACGCTCTCTGTCATTAAACTCTGATTATTTCTTTCATTTCCAGAAAACCAAACCAGACTAGCTGGCCAAGTGGGCCCAAAAGAAATCATGTCAGTCAATGACAAGTTGGTGAGGTTATTCCTTAGTATATCTGCTGTCTTATTTATCTATCTTTGGAAGAGAGTGATTTTTTAAATTTCTTTTATTTTTTTTGAGACAGAATCTCACTATGTCACCCAGGCTGGAGTGCAGTGGCCACGATCTTGGCTCACTGCAACTTCCGCCTCCCGGGTTCAAGCAATTCTCCTGCCTCAGCCTCCTAAGTAGCTGAAATTACAGGTGTGTGCCCCCATGCCCCACTAAGTTTTATATTTTTAGTACAGACGGAGTTTCACCATGTTGGCCAGGCTGGTCTCCAAATCCTCACCTCAAATTATTCTTCAGCTTTGGCCTCCCAATGTGCTGGGAAGTATGGCTCTGTCACCCTGGCTGTGGTGCAGTGGCATGATCTCGGCTCACTGCAACCTCCATCTCTTGGGCTCAAGCGATTCTCCTGCTTCAGCCTCCCAAGTATCTGGAACCTCAGGTACCTGCCACCACGCTGGGCTAATGTTTCCTTTTCTGTTTTTGTTGTTGTTGTTTTGTTTTGTTGTATTTTTTAGTAGAGATTTGGTTTAAGATTTGGTTTTAATTGAAGATTTGGTTTTGCCATTTGGCCAGGCTGGTTTTGAACTCCTGACTTCAAGTGATCCGCCCTCCTCAGCCTCACAAAGTGCTGAGATTACAGGCGTGAGCCACCGTGCCCAGCCTGGAGGAGAGTGATTTTAAAAGGTGGCTAGACTTGAATGCCTCAGGAAAGTGGACAGATGGAGAGAGTATGTTTCTTCCATCAGACATGGGCAAGTACATGAGCACAAGGTGCTGGTGGTTCTTATCAAAGGTGTAATGGACGGGTGAGGCAAGTGGAAACATTTGGTAGTCATGAATCAGAAAGGAAAGAAAACTGAGGTTTTAGAGCAAGTTGGAAAGGAAAAGTCAAGAAACAAAGGAATAAAACAGAAACAGGAATAGGCGGCTACTTCTGGGGCAGAAAACAAGGCCAGATACCTGGGTGGTTTCCTCACAAGCCTTCTGCACATCCATCTCTCATGCTCCACACACTTTAAGGCATTTTCTAACATTATACAGATCCTATTATCCCAACCCTCATTCAGAGGGATATATTATGAAATGTGTGCTACTTATGGGTATAAAATGTGATTTAAAATGTGAGATTTGTAAACCAAAGTAATAAAACTTGGAGAAACTATTTTCTGGAAGAAATGTTTCAGAAAACCCAGGCCATATTTTTAAGGAATAAAGCTCCAATTCGTTAACCTGTCATTCAAGATTTTATATCGGGCTTCTATCTACCTTGTTTCCTTTGAGTTCTTCCCCAGCTCCACAGATTGTGAGTGACACAGCACTACCAAGTCCCAGAATGGTGAGAAACAGCATCATCACTACAATTTCCTATTGAACAGCAACAAATGACAAACAAAAAGAGTCACATGGTATTCGCCCCAAAAGTTTATTTTCTTATAGCATCTCCTGTTTTCATCTCCCTACCATCTGACCAGTCCTTTTAAAGTGACACATACACACACACACACACACACACACACACACACACAAACACAGGCACAGAAAAACCCAGAGATCGTCACTTGCAGTAGATAACTTTAACCCCGAGGAATTTGCCTGGGTTGAGGGGAGTGGGCAGCCAGCATCTCCCTGGGCTGTGTGAACTTACAGAACCACTATACTGTGTAATAGAAGTTACAGAAAAGGATGGTGTTCATGGAACAGGAGAAGAGGGCTTCTTACTTACATTAGGACCCAGAATCTTAGTCTTCCCACACAAAAAAAAATACATACAGTGGAAAAGGAAGCCATAAAGCACTTGGTCTCAAAAAATTTCTGGCAACTGTGGATGTGGATATAGGCCAAGCTCTTCTTCAGGTTGATGATCAGGATGGTAATTCCCGTTCCCCCAGCTATGCTGCTGGCAGTGTTTGCTCCCAGGCTTCCTCTCACCTGATAATAATGAAGAACACTCAGACCTGGGCCTGCACTTGCTGGCACATTCAATAAACCTATCTTCATTTCAGGGCTGGATGCATCCAGTAAATTCCACATTGCTTCCAAATTTTGGTTAAAAAGGGAAACCCTGAAAATGTCCGCATTGTTTAATGAGCATATATTACTTTCTCACTGGACTGCCTTCAGGAACCACATGAACACGTACGGTCTTTCCTCAAATATTCTCCTTAATTGAAAACTAATTATTTATTTGATCATGTGAATATGCCTACAAGGACAATGCCGGTGTGAGGACACTTTTTTTAGAAGAAACGTCAAGGTAAACATAAACTTCATTGTATGTTAAATGGTACAATTTATGTTTCTAATGATTATATCCAACTTCTGTTGCAAAAAGCCTTAGGACACAAAATAGATTGAAACAAAATCATATATCCACATTCACAAGTAATATAGGAGACAAAGATGTGTTTCCCTTAAGACTCTTAAAACTCTGTTCTTCTTATCTTTTCAAGGATGGACAAAGACAGAAACGGGCAACTCACCAGATATGTTGCATTTCTCCTTTCAGATATAATTGACAACATTCCAGAAATAGAAAACTGTTCAAAAAGGAGGAAAAAAAAGCCACAATGAGTTTCTTGTTTTCAATGTGTCCTTTTTAACCCCATCTTCCAAACATAGGTAACATTTGGGGTACTCGATAAAGTTACTTATTAATGTCACCTGTGAGCCCAATATTTTCTTATTCTTATTTTCTATAGAGTGCTTCTCAGAATTAAATGTGTATACGAATAAGGCTGGGTGTGGTGGCTCATGTCTGTAATCCCAGCACTTTGGGAAGCCGAGGCGGGGGAATCACCGGAGGTCATGAGTTCAAGACCAGCCTGACCAAAATGGTGAAACCCTGTCTCTACTAAAAATACAAAAATTAGCCAGCCACTGTGGCATGCACCTGTAGTCCCAGCTACTAGGGAGGCTGAGACAGGAGAATCACTTGAACCCGGGAGGCAGAGGTTGCAGTGAGCCAAGATCATGCCATTGCACTCCAGCCTGGGCGACAAGAGTGAGACTCCATCTAAAAAAAAAAAAAAAAAGTGTATATGAATCATATGAGGGTCTTGCTAAAATGCAGATTCTTATTCATTAGGTCCTGGATGGAGCATGAAATTCTTCATTTACATGAGGCTTCCAGGAGATGCTAACCCTGACAATGCAGGGGTTACTCTTGGAGTAGCAACGTCCAGCAACATCAGGGCATGAATCGATTAGACCACCACTCTCATTCTATTGCAATCGTCTATTTGTATGTGCGTCTTCCATCAGCCCCTTTAGGCAAGAAACACGTGTCTGTGGCATGCATATTTCCAGAGTCTGACATATATCATGTGAATATAGAGTAATTATGAAAATGTACATGATGATATTTTTACCAAACATTTACATATTTGATATAAATATAAGTCAATAGCACAAATTCAAAGCAATCTCCTAAAGACTCAGATTGTGAGTTTGATGGGTTGAGAGACACCTCATAAGCTGTGTTTGAAATAAAAAGACAGTAGAGACAAGTTTCAATTATAACAGAGGTACAGGTTCAAGGAGAGTCCTGAACAAGTCATCTGAGCACTAAGGATTTAGCAGACTACAAAGTCAATGTGACATAGTCTAGAATTAAAATATATTCTTGTGAATGAAGTATCGATATAAAGAAAAAACTTGAAGAATCTCAAAATAACTGTGCAGCGAAGGAAGACAAACAGTAAAGAGAACATACTTATATAAAGCTCTAAAAAATGTAAGTTAATTTATATTCACAGAAAGCAGATCAATGTTTTCTTGGGAACGAGAGGACAAGGAGTGGAGGGAGGAAGAAAGAGTTACAAAGATACACAGGGAAGCTTTTGGAAATGATGGATACATACATTGTATTAATGTGGTGATGTTTTCATGTGTGTCTATGTGTGTCAAGGTTAGCAAATTGTACATCTGAAATACTTGCAATTTATTATATGTCAATTAGACCTTTAAAAAGTTATATACCTTATTATCTCACTCATCCACCTATTTTTCCAGATAGAACGATGAGTAAAAGAGATACCAGGAGAAAATACCTAAAAGAGTTTCTAGGGCATAGAAGGTCACCATATGCCCTTTGATCTTAATGTTTCTCACCCCAGCAATCTCTTTCCTCATTTTTCATGAAGACAACTTTATTTTCTATTATTATTATTATTATTTTGAGACAGAGTTTCGCTCTTATTGCCCAGGCTGGAGTGCAATGGCACAATCTCAGCTCACTGCAACCTCTGCCTTCCAGGTTCAAACAAGCCTCCTGCCTCAGCCTCTTAAGTAGCTGGGATTACAGGCATGCACTATCACACTCAGCTAATTTTTTATATTTAGTAGAGATGAGGTTTCACCATGTTGGTCAGGCTGGTCTCAAACTCCTGACCTCAGGTGATCCACCTGCCTCAGCCTCCCAAAGTGCTGGGATTACGGGTGTGAGCCACCATGCCCAGCCTTTGTTGTTATTTTTAGTTGACAGATAAAGTTGTATGTATTTATCATATAACTTTATTGATGAATAGTGCTAGAAGTATGTTCCTGGAGTTGGATTCTGAAAGTTTAGGTTCAATTACTATTAGTCAAGTGGCCCTTAGGCAAGTCATTTAACTTGTATTAGATTCAGGTTTCTCATGGGATAAAACTGTGGGCTAAATGTTTAACCCACCGTTAATTGTAAAAAGAATCTTTTGTTGTTGTTAATGAGCATATCTATGTTATATATGCTCACATATAATTTATAATTAAGAATTATAAATATCATGTTAATACTGGGAATAAACAACTGGTTAGATCTGAGAAAGAGAAAAACCTATGTTCAGTGTTATTTCAGAAACAATTATAGATATATACTCACAAATATGGCTCCCCAGAATGGATAACCTGCTTTAAATGATGAAAAAATGTCTCCCTCAATGTGTGAAATATCAAGTACAGAGCAGACAACTGTTCCAAAACAAAGGCATATCATAGCAGTCAGAATTTGTGTTACCTATAGAAAAACACATGAATTTCATGAAAATCAAAAAAATTTTCCCGAGATTGTATCATTTTTTAATAATAGAAGCCAAACATGAGAAACTGCGTTAGTGTCCTAGACTGTCCTGAGAAATGATCCACACGTAAGATTTTCCAGGATACCCTAGCCACTATAAGAATTGATACAAGCACTACCTAATGCATGGAAGGCCAATACTTTTCTCCATGCGCCTTTATGTACGTAGTCATGTTGAACATCAGTAATTGTTCTTTACATCTAAGTAAAGATAAAGATTATGAATCCTTCACTCCTGTTGGCCATTCTCGTCCTAGCAATTTAAAGTCTTTATGAGGAAATGCTTCTCTCTTCCCAAAAGGACCCAGTTAGTGTCAACTCTTTATCTACCATGTTTTTTAAAGGACCTAACACCTCTCATGAATCCAAGTGGGAAAACAGTTGATGCAACTCAATATTCTTTTCTAGACCCAACCCTTACTCTAGTCAAAGTTGGAGGAGGCTCACTCACCCCCAGGAACTCCTGCTCTTTTTTCAAAACTGTCAGCCATGTATGCAGTGGTGGGGATGAGGCCGACTTCAATAGTCTGCCTGAAGATACTTCCTGGGGAGATATTTCCAAGACTTCAAATGCAGGCACACTGTGAAATTTAAAAGCAATTCAGTCATGAGAACATTCTGTAACTCCCTGTGCAACATTCTCGACAGACAGAAAGGGGAGTTTTGTTTATTTTTTCAAAGCCATCCTGTAATTCAAATCTTCATTGTAATCACCAAGAAACTAAAGCTCAGAGCATCCAAGTAACTGACCAAGAACACCTGAACACTATCCAAGTGATTAGATGGGACAAAATGGAGCAAAATCCATGCCAAATTTTCCTATTCTTAATCCAGTGTTACTTTCAAGTTCTTTCTCATTCATCTATGTTGACAAGTAAAACTGAAAATAAACACATTTACCTATGCATCTCACAATCCTTTTAACATAGAAATGTATCTGAATATATTTTGTCAGTAACAAACCCCAACTTCATGTGCACAGAATACAATGAAGGAATGGCTTTGAATAGCTAGATGGGACTCTATTACTATTTTCATCTTCAGAGAAGCATCCCACAGCTTATGGATTATAAAGACCAATCAAGAAGCAGGTTACTTTATCAAGTATTTATAAAAGCATGTGTGAAGGATATGTGTCCCTCAGCACATGTCAGACCCAGAAGCCAGAGATCTACATACACAGTATGAACTCTCCTGTCTCATACCCAGAAAATGAGCTTCTAATGTGAGAAAATCTATTTCCAGTTTGCAAGCTGAGTAAAAATGTTCCTCTCCAGGGAGAGAGAACCACATGGAAAGTACAGCAAGTAGCTTCCTCATACCCAATATATTAATTAAACTAGATGGATCCATGCCTAAATCAATAAAGTTTCATCTCCTAAGCACCGTGACTATGACTTCCCCTGCCACTAAGTGACTGAGGGTAGAAAAAAATAATACCTTGTACCTACCTGGAAGGCTCCTGTGGGAGAGCAAGATTTGCTCTCCTATTACTTTCTGTGTCCATTTTTTCATTAACCGAGCTGTCCAGGAATAAAGAATATTATTATATTGAGACTTGGTGGATTTCCTCTTACTGCATGCTCTGAATAGGCAGTTGAAATGGGTTACCTCATGACATTGATGATTCTCTTTATACATAAGTCATTTGCCAGACAGATAAGTTTCTTGGCTGATTAAGATCAACAGGCTTTTACTTGTGATGAATAGAAAAATTAAGAAGTCTACTAAATAAAGACTAATATGAAATAAGAAAATTTGAGACTCCTGGAGCATAATTTTGCCTGAGACTAGCAGGATTTACAGAACCTGAAAATGAGACATTTTAGTAGGAGTTGAGAAGGTGAGAAAGAACTGCAGAAAAGAAAGAGATGTGCCCTTCTTCTGGAATTGTCCCCACTTGTGTCCCAATTCAGCCATTTCTATGGCAGAAGTTATCCAATTGCACCTTTGAAAAGCTTGTCTTCCTTGTTTAAGGCATGCTTGGTTTCACACATAGACCCAAAACTGAAGTGCTGTTGTATGTGAGTGAGTATGTGTTAGTCTCTAAATCTCCAGATCCATCTCTGACTTTAATATCTATCATCTTTCTCTCTCTTTCCGTCTTTTGGAAACTGTTTACATGATTCGCTGCAGCAGATGGTCTTGGAAATACAACAGGCTGCATTCTAACTGCTGTGAACCATACCTGATAGTGTGTAAAAGCTAAGAAGACTCCATTGTCTGCTAAATTATTAGACTGATGGTGCTTAGATCTTTACAGTGGCAAGAATGGGATAGTGAGAACACTGAGAGACATGAACTTTATAACAAATCCCATGAGCAAATCTAAACAGCATTGGATTGAGTAGTATGCCTAAATTAGAATTAGGGCTAAACCATGTGATCATTGAAATACCATAACTAGCTAGACCATAGCAAAATCAGTACAGATAAAATTCAGAGAAGGTTTTAATCTCTTTTATTTCAGTTTAATTATAAACATAACCTTGAATGGCTTTCAATAATATTTAAGATACTAAAAATCACACCTCTAATCATGTGTGGTTTTTTTGGTGGGGGTGGGGGGTGAAAAAGAAAATCTTTTTGCAGGAAACTAAGATATTTGCATAAACAGAGTATACTAAAAGACATATTGGTATAGCTTTTGTATCTAAGTTTATTAACTCAGGTGTCATCTTCCCATGGTGTCTTCAGGAATTGGTGGACCTAAACAAGGTGCTATTGGAATTAAGGAATAGAACTTTCTCACTTATACGTTCATCCAAAAAGAACTTAGTGTTCCATGCCAGGCACTGCCCTTATCACTGTGCATGCACAGATGAATGCCAAAATCCCAGGTCCTTCTAGTCCACAATCAAGCAGAATAGAACAAAGATAAATGATATATTATTACCCAATATGTTGGAGGCCAGAGGATGTTGGAACACATAGAAGGGTAAAACAATTCTGCCTGATAGGGGATATGTAGAGTTCAGGGAAGGAATTCCCAGACAAGGTAACATTTGAGAGCAGACTTAAAATTAAAATGATAGCCTCGATAATTTTCTATTTTCTTTTTTTTTCTTTTTTTTTTTGAGACAGAGTCTCACTCTGTCACCCAGGCTGGAGGGCAATGGCTCACTGCAACCTCCGCCTCCCAGATTCAAGCAATTCTCCTGCCTCAGCCTCCCAAGTAGCTGGGACTACAGGAGTGTGCAGCAACACTGGGCTAATTTTTTTGAATTTTTAGTAGAGAAGGGGTTTCACCATGTTGGCCAGGCTGGTCTTGAACTCCTGTCCTCAGGTGACTCACTCACCTCGGCCTCCCAAAGTGCTGAGATTACAGGAGTGAGCCACTGCGCCCAGCCACGAATTTTCATTTTATCTTTCTTTTTCTTTTCTTTTCTTTTTTTTTTTTTTTTTTTTTTTTTTTGACGGAGTTTCGCTCTTGTTGCCCAAGCTGGAGTGCAATGGCGCGATCTCGGCTCACCGCAAACTCCACCTCCTGGATTCAAGCGATTCACCTGCCTGAGTCTCCGGAGTAGCTGGGATTACAGGCATGCGCCACCACGCCCGGCTGATTTTGTATTTTTAGTAGAGATAGGGTTTCTCCATGTTGGTCAGGCTAGATTGAACTCCAGATCTCAGGTGATCCACCCGCCTCGGCCTCCCAAAGTGCTGGGATTACAGGCGTGAGCCCCGGCACCCAGCCTTATTGCCTCCTTCTTAGTGAAATTACCCCACACCTGCTGGGAAAAGTCCTGAAGTCATGGTTCTGTGTGGCGTTTTCTAGTAGCTTATAGTAGTTAATTATTTGTGCAGCAAATAATCACTAATTGAACTTGAGATTTAGACTGGAAACAAACTGAAGATGGTCTTTGGTGTTTGCACACGATGCTGTTTTGTGAGAACTGTCAACAGAACCTTGCAAAATGCAAATCAGAACCTGTCATACCTTACGGCCTCCAAATTGTTTCCTATTCCAATTTTCACAACCACCTCCTTGCCCCTTCGTAAGTTACCTATTATCTTCTATGCCCACACTTTGGTTCCCTTCAGCCATGTTTTATCATCTTTCACAATAATGAACATTGAAACATATGACAAAATGACTGGCTTTTTTGGTGAGGCAAAATTATCAAGATGAGTTTTAACTATGCTGCTACCTGAAAGGAAGAGATAACAGAGCTAACACCCCTTCCCTACCATGTATCTTTCCTCCTCTAGCACGGTCTTTGCACATGCCTTTCACCCACCCCACATCTCTGGCTTCCTCTTTGACAAGCAAGGTTTCCTCTTTAAGTTACATACTAGATTTCTTTCTTGAAACTGACAAAAAATTTGCTTTTGTATCCATTAACAATTGTTTTCTCAAACTGAATGCTCAATTTACTTAAAATAAATATGCATGAATTTGCATGCTACAAGTTGAAATTTATGCTGTCTCAGATTAAAGCCTTAAAAGTAAAACCTAAAACCATAAAAACCCTGGAAGAAAACCTAGGCAATACCATTCAGGGCATAGGCATGGGCAAAGACTTCATGACTAAAACACCAAAAGCAAATGCAACAAAAGGCAAAATTGACAAATGGGATCTAATTAAACTAAAGAGCTTCTGCTCAGCAAAAGAAACTATCATCAGAGTGAACAGGCAAACTACAGAATGGGAGAAAATTTTTGCAATCTATCCATCTGACAAAGTTCTAATATCCAGAATCTACAAGGAACTTAAACAAATTTACAAGAAAAAAACATAAACAACCCCATCGAAAAGTGGGCAAAGGATATGAACACACACTTCGCAAAAGAAGACATTTATGTGACCAACAAACACATGTAAAAAAGCTCATCATCACTGGTCATTAGAGAAATGCAAATCAAAACCACGATGAGATACCATCTTGCGCCAATTAGAATGGTGATCATTAAAAAGTCTGGAAACTGAACAGATGCTGGCAAGGATGCAAAGAAATAGGAACGCTTGGGAGTATAAATTAGTTCAACCATTGTGGAAGACAGTGTGGCAATTCCTCAAGCTTCTCCTTGGTGAAGGAATGAAAACACTGGGCCATAAGTCCAGCATTCTAATTTTTCTGGGGGCTGCCAGGGCGTTTACTTCTGTTTTACCTATCTCAGGCAATGGCAGACAGGACCTGGCATACCCTAGACACAGGGGCATCATTAAGAACAAAGGCTGCAGTTTGAATAGCAAGCTACTACATGCCACATTCCCCGCTTCCAGCTCAGGGCAAAGCAAATAGGCAAAACAAACAGAACAACACTGAACCACAACTGCTCCCTTTCCAAAAAAAAAAAAACAAAAAAAAAACCCAGCTCCCTGAGAAGGGAAAGAAAAAGAGAGAACCATATGTTCAACAGTCTGATTTTTCTGAGGGCTGCCCAAGGCACTGGCTCTACCTCAACTGTCTCAGAGCATTTATGGGTCCTGCCATATTCCAAATGCCTGGGAACCACTGAGAACAGAAATAACAGTCTGAGATAGCATCTGGACTTGAGATGCTCCCAGAATGTCTGGACTGGCAGATTGGTGAAGTGCTTCTCCTATATGAGTCCATTCTATGAGACTATTGTGCAAACATCAACACAAGAGTCAAGGACAACGAAGAAACAGAAAAATATGCTCCAAAAAATAGAATAAGTTTCCAGAAACTGACCGCAAGGATACAAAGATATGTGATATACCTGACAGAGAAATCAAAATAACCATCGTAAACATGCAAAATAAGGTCAGGAGAACATGCATGAATATGAGAATTTCAAGAGACATAGAAAGATTTAAAAGTATCTAATAGAAATCATAGAGCTGAAGAACACAATAGTTGAAATGAAATTCACTAGGTAGGTTCTACAGCAGACTAGAGCAAGCAGAAGTAAAGGTCAGTGAACTTGAAGAAAGTTTATTGAAATTATCTACAGAAATGAAAAGAATAAAAAGAGTAAAAAAAAAGCTTAAAAGGGCTGGGCTTGGTGGTTCATGCCTGTAATCCCAGCACTTTGGGAGGCTGAGACGGGCAGATCACAAGGTCAGGAGATAGAGACCATCCTGGCTAACACGGTGAAACCCCATCTCTCCTAAAAATACAAAAAAAAAAATTAGCCAGGCGTGGTGGCAGGCGCCTGTAGTCCCAGCTCCTCAGGAGGCTGAGGCAAGAGAATGGCATGAACTCAGGAGGCAGAGCTTGCAGTGAGCCGAGATTGTGCCACTGCACTCCAGCCTGGGCAACGGAGTGAGACTCTGTCTCAAAAAAAAAAAAAAAAGAAAAAGCATAAAGGACTTATGGGACACCATTAAGTGGGTCAGTATAGAAATTATAGGATTCTCGGAAAAAGAAGGGAGAGAAAAAGAAAGCTTATTCAAAAAATAATAAAGGAAATTTTCCAAATCTAAGGGCATCTAGAAATCCCCTAATGGGCACCTACGATGCCCAGTGGACCCCAAATAAGATGATACCAAGATATCCACACTGAGATACATTATGATAAATTATCAAAGGTCAAGGGCAAAGTGAGAATTTTGAAAGCAGCAAAAGAAAAGTGACTTGTTAATACAGTGGTGTCCCCATAAAAATATTAGGAGAATTTTTCAGCAGAAACTTTGCAGACCAGAAGTAAGTGGGATGATATATCCAAAGTGCTGAGAGAGAAAAAAAAATACCAGCCAAGAATACTACTCTTGGCAAAACCATTCTTCAGAAATGAAGGAGAGATGAATACTTTCCTAGACAAACAAAAGCTGAGGAAATATATCACCACTGAACCTGCATTACAAGATATGCTGAAAGGAGTTTTTCAAGTTGCAACAAAGAACAATTAAAAGCAATATGAAAGTATATGAGAGTATAAAATCACTTTTTCTTTAAAGTAAAGAGCAAGGCAATGATGCCCATTTTTGCCACTTCTGTTCAACATAGTACTAAAATTCCTAGCAAGAAAAATTAGGCAAGGAAAATAAATAAAAGGTATTCAAATTGGAAAAAAGTAAAAGTAAAATTATCTCTCTTTGTAGATGGCATAATCATATATGTAAAAATCCTAAAGACTACATATACTCACACATGTGCACACACATACACTTTGAATAAATAAATTCTGTAAGTAGCAGAATACAAAAATCAGTGGTGTTGCTATACACTAACAACAAACTTCCTGAGAAGAAAATTAAGAAAATAATCTCATCTAAAATAGCATCGAAAAGAATAAAATACTTATGAATAAACTTAATTAATGAGGTAAAAGACCTGTACACTGAAAACTATGAAACACAGAGGAAAGAAATTAAACACAAATAAATAAAAAGACATCCATGTTCATGGATTGGAAGGCTTAATATTGTTAAAATTTCTGCACTACCCAAAACAATTTACAGATTCAAAGCAAATTCTATCAAAATGCTAATAGAATTGTTTACAGAAGCTGATAAAAATTCTAAAATTCACATGAAACCACAAAGGGCCCCAACAGCCAAAACAATCTTGAGAAAACACAAGGCTAGAGACATCTGCTGATTTCAAAATGTATTAAGAAACAACAGTAATTAAAACAGTATAATGCTGGCATAAAGACAGGCATAAGACCTACAGAACAAAAGAGCCCAGATACAAATCCACACATATATGGTCAACTGATCATCAACAAGGTTGCCAACAATACAGAATGAGAAAAGGAGTCTTTTCTACAAATGGTGCCGGGAAAACTAGATATCCTACATAATAGACTGAAATTGATTTTTATCTTACACAATATACAAAATTCAACTTAAAATGAATTGAAGAATTAACTGTAAAGAAGACCCAAAATTGTAAATCCCATAAAATAAAACATAGAGGAAGAGTTTCGTAACATTGAAGTTGGCAATAATGTATTGGATAAGACACCAAAAGCAAAGAAACAAAAGTAAAAATAGGTAAGTAGAAATAAATCAAATAAAAACTTTTTGCACAGCAAAGGAAACAATCAAAAAAATGAGGAGACAACCTATAGGATGGGAGAAATATTTGCAAATAATCTATCTGATAAGGGATTAACATCCAAAATATATAAGAAACTTTTACAACTCAGTAGTTAAACAATCAAACAAACAAAAACAATAACCCAATTTAAAAAGTAGGCAAAGTACTTGAACAGACATTTCTCCAAAAAAGACATACATATGGCCAATGGGTAGATGAAAAGATTCTCAACATCACTAATCATTGGGGAAATGCAAATCAAAGCCAAAATGAGATATCACCTCATCATACCTGTTAGGATGACCATTATTAACACATAAATAAATAATAAGTATTTGCGAGGATGTGGAGAAATTGGAATTCTTGTACACCGTTGGTGGGAATGTAAAATGGCACAGCAGCTATGAAAAACTGGAGGTTTCAGCAAAAATTAAATATAGAACTTCCATATGATCCATCAACCCTACCTTTCTATATTTAAGAGAATTAATACCAGGATCCCATGTTCATTGAAGCATTATTCAGAATAGCTAAGATGTGGAAACAACCTAAATATCCATAAATGGATGTGTGTTAAATACATACAATGGAATATTATTCAGTCTTTTTTTTTTAAAAAAAGGAAATCCTACCATCTGCAACAAAATGGATGAACCTGGAAGACATTTGCTAAGTGAAATAAGCCTGTCACTAAAGGACAAATACAGCATGATTTCATTTGTATGAGGTATGTAAATAGTCAAATTCACAGAATCCAAGAGTAGAATAATGGTTGCCAGTCCCTAGGAGAGAGACATAGAGAGTTGCTAATTAGCAGTCATAAAGTTTCAGTCAAGCAAAATGAATAAGCTCTAAAGATATAATGTATAACATTGCACCTATAGTCCATAATGTAGTGTACATTTAAAAATTTGTTAAGAGGACTGTTAAGTGTTAACTCATGTTAAGTGTTCTTACCGTAATAAAAAAATTATGAAGTTGTACACTATTTGTACATTTTTCTGTACCTTTCACATACCTCAATATAATGTATTTTGAATAAAATATCAATTTGTCTTTTCCTCTTTCAGGCATGTCCTATTATTTATGATCTATTACAAATTTTCATTACTATTTTCCATGGCAAGTATCTATTTAGCCACAATTTTTGTTTTTGTTATAATGTGGGTGGCTGGCTGGAGGTTTCCATGTTTGCTTATTCCCCTGCCCCAGCTTTTAAATATGTAATTGACACAGGTTGTATATATTTAAGATGTACAATGTAATGACTTGATAAACATATACATTGTATAATGACTACTATAATCAAATTAATTTACATATCCATCACCACCCATGTCATACCTTATGTATTAGTCTGTTCTCACACTCCTATAAAGAACTGCCTGAGACTGGGCAATTTATAAAGGAGGGAGGTTTAATTGACTCACAGTTCCACATGGCTGGGAAGGCCTCGGGAAACTTACAATGATGGCAGAAGGGGAAGCAAATATGTCCTTCTTCACATGAGGGCAGGAAGGAGAAGTGCTGAGGAAAGAGGGAAAAGCCCCTTAAAAAACCGTCAGATCTTGTGAGAACTCACTCAGTGTCATGAGAACAGCCCCCTCCATGATTCAATTACCTCCCACAGGGTCCCTCCCACGACACATGGGAATGATGGAAACTACAATTCAAGATGAGATTTGGGTGGGGACACAGCCAAACCACATCACCTTAGAAACCCAGAACTTGTTAGTCTTTTTTTTTTCCTCCATTGGACTTTTATTTGAATGTAATATTTGGGACAGTTATTCAAAAGGACAAATATTTTCCAACTTAATCTAAGGTCATAATAAAACAAGCAACAAAACAGTGTTTGGGATTTCAATTTCTCACCCTTATAATCAGGACTCAATGCCTCCTGTCATCAATATTTATTGAGCATTTACAATGTGTGAGGCACAATAGAACATAGAGACAACATTGTCCCTGCTCTTGAGGAGATTACATTCTAAAAAAACAAAACAAAACAAAAAAATGCCTCTTTTAAAATGGTTGGTTTGGTGTTTTCTGCAGAGTATTGAGAAAATATTCTGTAGAGCGAACTTTGGATATAACTTTACCCCATCATTATTTAGAGAATAGAGGAAGAGAAAGAGGAAGGATTTTAAAGGCAGACAATGACAGAATATTCAGGATAGATAAGGTTTAAAGAGAGATAAACACAAACTAAGGAGAGGTTTGTTGCAGTAAATAGGATGAGGGAAATAGTTTATGGGATGCAGGCAAAGGAAGCAGAGTGTTTTAAACACTGAGTGGAGCCAGACAGATCATGCGGCCTTTTTCCAAGTAAACGGCCACCAAGTAGGAATGGTTGGTGACAAGAGAGAAGGCTAAAAAAGGAAGGTAATCTTGTGCTCCTGAAAAATAGAAAGAATAAAGGATCAAAATCAAAGGCAGCCTATAATAGTATCTATAAATTATTCTTAAAAAATCAAAAGTGATTTGGAAGCCCAAAACTTACAGTTAATGCTACCCAATGTCATGATGGACCAAGAACATTGTGGCTTCCTAAGTTAGAAAATGCTGTATATTAAAATTTAAAAAGGAACATATTACTTTTTTCCAATCAATCCCCTTCCACTAGAAAAAACAGAAACTCATTTTTTTCAGGGTGAGGAGGAGCAGAGGGGAACATGGGGCATGGCTGCAAACAGTAGTTATGTTAGTAGTATTTTTGCTATGATAAATTTTGTGTTTAAACTTGGTAAAATTTCATTAACTGCCAAGGGAGAATGAGGAATAAATTTCAAAAAATGGACAATTTCCTTTAGAGAAATTTCAGAATCAAAAGACTAATTTACATGAAAAGCTATAGAGAAAGCAGCTGGAAAGTCTATTTATACAGCGTTTATTCCACTTACATGAACATAATACATGTGTTATTAACAATTATGTTGGATTGTCCATAAAAATTTCATAAGATATGAAACAAAACTGTGCATCATGTCCAGTTACTTCTCTGTTAACTACTTTTACAGTACATGCATGTGAGGCAAGTATCAAAAAAAGGCATAAAAGAAAAAACACTTTAACAATTAAATACTTTTTTTTTAATTTTACTGATTTGCTTGATGTACATGAAGTAATGACTATCAAGCAATTCGCTTTTACTGCATCTTTACTTTTACATTTGTTCTTAGGTTGCCTAAAACATTTAAATACAAAGATAATGAGCGTAGCAAAAATACTGAAAGCAAACAGCAGTGAACTTTACAAATATGGAATATAAACCACTTCTGCCCGTATCCAGAGTAAATTGGTCTCAGCTCTGTCTAAAGGAGCACTTCTGCAGCTGTAGTCAAATGTGTGCACGTTGAGATTGAGTACTCTGCAGATATATGTGGTTTAACATGTGATATCCATAGCATATCTGTTTCTACCACAGCCTTGTAAGTGCTCCAGACCTTAAAGTACCCACAGTTACTATATCTGTGACTGGAACGAATTATCCCTTTTATTCCCCATGGGGACAAATCAATATGTAGGCAGTTTTCTTCACTCAGACATGGAAGCAGTTTTAACTCTGGACATTGTGAAGTCACAATGTACCAAAAGTCCTATGCCAAACATTTATAACTTGTATAAAAATTCCACATCCCCATATTTGCCATCTCAAGATGAAAAAAGATAACTCGCTAAATGTTGACTGGCTCTAATCTTCTAATATTAAACATAAAAACCACATGGGAAATATTAAAATTTAAATAGAAATTCCATATCTTGGCCATTCTGAATATTGCTGCAATACACATAAACCTGTCATAAAGCTAAACAAAAAACTATTTGTGGGACAGCATGGATGACAAATGGTCTACTGTGTAAATTTTAGGATGAGGCAGAAAAAAGTCGGAGGGCTGGTTAACTTTTTCTTCCTCTTGCTTCAGTTTCATCTCCTTGAGTATCCAATGTCCACAGTGTCAAGTTGTCTCTCAGTAACTGCATTAGCAGGCGATCTTTGTATGACTCTTCACTTAATGTATCAAGTTCAGCAAGGGCTTCATCAAAAGCTGCCTTTACAAGTGAATGAGATTTCTCTGGGGAGTTCAGAAGCTCATAATAGAAGACAGAGAAGTTTAGAGCCATACCCAATCTGATAGGATCTGTTGGTTGCATTTCCTTTTTGGTGATTTCACAAGCTTCTTGGTATGCTTGTTGTGACTGATCTAGGATCCCTTTTGTGTCATAACCAGCAGCAGCCTCAGGCCAAGTAAAAATAGTAGTCTCTTTGTTGTTGTTGTTGTTGTTGTTGTTGTTGTTGTTGTTGTTGTTGTTGAAATGGAGCATTGCTCCCTCCCCCAGGCTGGAGTGCAATGGCGCGGTCTCGGCTCACTGCAACCTCCACCTCCCGGGTTCAAACGATGCTTCTGCCTCAACCTCCTGAGTAGCTCAGACTACAGGCGCATGCCACCACGACCGGTTAATGTTTGTATTTTTAGTAGAGATGGGGTTTCACCATATTGGCCAAGCTGGTCTCGAACTTGTGATCTCGTGATCCGCCCGCCTCGGCCTCCCAGAGGGCCGGGATTACAGGCGTGAGCCACCACACCCAGCCCTCCTTCATTTTTAAATAGAATATTTTGCTCTCTGCTTCTGAGGCATTGGAGATCAAGAACTTTTCCAAAAGACATAGTACATAGCACATCATTGTAGATATCTCTTAGCTCCTTCTCAATTTTCTCTCTGTATTCTCAAGGCATCTGCTGTTTTTTTCTCAGCACCTTCTGTCTTTTGCTCAATACTTGAGATGACCCTGCAAGATGACCTACAGACTCCTACAACATTTTTATAAGGAACTGAAAGACGATTCCTCTCCTCATTGGATAATTCGCCTTCTTTCTCAGTTAGGGACTTCATGCAGACTGCAGTGTCATCATATTGCTCAGCTTACTCGCCAGTTTGTCCTTCTGAACCAGTTCATTTTTATCCATGACTGGATGCTCTGTGTCCGGAGTAGGTGGAAGTAGACGGACAGGGGTTCAGCAGTCTCTAGGCAGCAGCAGCCGCAGCAGGAAGCTGAGATTCTGTCCCTGGATCTCGCTGCTCGAAAGCTCCTGTTTATTTTGTAACTGAAGTTTTGTACCCTTTAGCCAAACTTCCCTCCCGTCCCCTGCTCCCCAGTCTCTGATAATCATCGTTCTACTCTCTGCTTTTATTAGTTCAAATTTTTTGGGTTTCACAAATAAATGAGCTCATACAGTATTTGTTTTTCTGTGCCTAGCTTATTTCACTTAGAATAATGACTTCCAGTTCCATTCGTGTTATCACAAATGGAAGGATTTCCTTCCTTTTTATCACTAAAAAATATATTCCATTATATATGTATTCCACATTTTCTTTATCCATTTATCTGTTCATGGATAGTTAGGATGTTTCCATATCTTGGCCATTGTAAATATTGCTGCAATGAACGTGGGAGTACAGATATCTCTTCAGCACACTGATTTCAATTCCTTTGGATATATACCAGAAGTGGGATTGCTGGACCTATTTTTAACTTTTTGAGAAACCCCCACACAGTTTTCCCTATGGCTGTACCAATTTATGTTCCTACCAACAGTGCACAAGGGTTCGCTTTTCTCTATACCCTGGCCAACACTTGCTATCTTTGGTCTTTTTGATAATAGCTCTTCTAACAGCTGTGAGGTGATAGCTCATTATGGTTTTGATTTGTATTTCTCTAATAATTAGTAATGTTGAGCATGTTTTATGTAGCTGTTGGCCACATGTATGTCTTCTTTAGAAAAATGTCTATTCAGGTCATTTGCCCATTTTTAAAAATAAGGTTATGTGGTTTTTTTCTTCTGAATTGTAGGAGTTCCTTACATATATTGCATATTTACCTCTTATCAGATAAATGGCTTGCAAATGTTTTCTCCCATTCTATATATTGACTTTTCATTTTGTTAGTTTCCTTTGCTATGCAGAAACTTTTTAGTTTGATGTGACTCCAGTTATTTATTTTTGCTTTTGTCACCTGTGCTTTTGGTGTCTTATCAAAAAAATTATTGCCAAGACCAATGTCAAGGAGATTTCCCTATGTTTTCTTTTAGAATTTTCATCATCTCAGATCTTACACTGAAGTCTCTAATTCATTTTGAGTTAATTTGTGTATATGGTATAAGGGTCCAATATCACTTTGTTCCATGTAAATATCTAGCTTTCCTAACACCATTATTTTTGTCTCAAATTTCCCAATTCTAAAACTATCTTGATTTTGTATACTTGTTTGATTTTCACTGGCACAGCAGTTATCCAAGCTCATATTATTGTCCAACTTTACACTGTTAATACCATTCTTACTGGGTTTCTTTTTTACATATTCACTTATGTACCACTGGGTTTCTTTTTTACATATTCACTTATGTACCAGCCCTCTCAAAGCTGTTATTCATAATGCAGCCATAGTGACCTTTCAAATTGGCATTATTAGTAATATCACCATCCTCTGAAATCCATTCCATAACACCCATTGCTTTATGACTGGATCTCTGCCTTCACTCCTTCTCACCCTACTGCCTCCATATGAATAGATATATAGATATAGTATTTTCCAGAATATCATATGAAAAGACTATATCTATATATCTATTAATATGGAAAATAGTTTGGTTGTTACCAGAGTTTGGGGTGGGGAGAGAAGTTGATTTTCAAGAGATTACAGAAGGGAACTCTTAGGATGATGAAACTGCTTTGTATGGTACTATGGATACATAACTCTATGTTTCGTTAAAACTGATAAAATGATGTTTTGCAAATAATGAACTTTACTGTAGGCTAGTTTAAAATAAAAATTCACCAAGATACCTATGGAATGCAGGATGAAATTTAAACTGTGAAAAATAAATTAAACAACATTAGAAATGCATGCCAACCTCACCGAAAGAGGTAGAGGTTAAAAGGAGCTGGCCTAAGTACCTATAAAAAACAACTACTCTGACTGCATACCTTAAAGCTAAGGATAAAAAGAACTGTACACAAACAGTGTACTCTAGGTGGTAAATTTATTTCTCACAAAAATACTGGTTAGCAATTCTGAAATGAATTTACATGTATACTAATGTTAAACAGGTAAGGAAATAAATTGTGGAAATTGTTGCCAGATTTATTATATTCAGAAAACAGGTTATAAATAAGCAAGGTTGAGAGGTTGCTAGAATGGACCCTGTGTGGCCATATTTGAGTGGAATTTATCAGTAGGAATTCATGATGGAGAGAGAGAGATGGATAGATACATACATATGATAATAAATATAGACATGTGCATGCATGGGTCAGTGTACATGCATATATTTCTTAGCTTTGTCTCCTGAGGGGGGCTAAAAGCAGTGACATACAGTAGCAATGAGCACATCTTGCCTCCAGGTCAGGTTTTCTAAATATAGTTCTCTAAGTAAAGAAACCAGGGCTCCCTGAAGAAATGAAAATTCTAGGTCTGTAGCAGGTGAAATAACATGAAGAATCCTGTAGTTCCAGAAAATATGGAAGTGCTAAAAAGGGGAGAGTGGGGTGCAGCATGTCAAAACTACACAGGAGCCAACTCAGCTCCCAATGGCCAAAGCTGGAAAACTTTGAGAAACAAAACAAATATTGCTCATAACCAAAAGAATAATATAAATATTCATGAGTACATAACAATATAAATACTTTAATAAACAAATGAAAGAAGATACAAATCTTCCTTACTGAAACATTTAAATGATAAATAAAGGAGAAATGAGGGAAACAAAATCACCTTTTGAACAACACAATGGTATTTGCTGCAGGCAAAATCTACACATGAATCCTAAAACTTGTGGTTTTTCCCCATCTCTGTGGTGTAAATCCTCCCATCAGAGCTAACTTCAGGCTACCCAAACTATGTTGACCTGTGCTCCCTGAAAATTTAAAATTGACTTCCACAAACCAATATAAGCCAGTCTCAGGACATTCCTGTGTAAATTTCTTTCTTTTTTTTTTTTTTAGATGGAGTCTCACTCTGTTGCCCAGGCTGGAGTGCAGTGGCGCAATCTCAGTTCACTGCAACCTCTGCCTCCCAGGTTCAAGCGATTCTCCTGCCTCAGCCTCCTGAGTAGCTGGGATTACAGGCACATGCCACCACACATGACCAATTTGTGTATTTTTAGTAGAGACGGGATTTCACCATGTTGGCCAAGCTGGTCTCAAACTCCTGATCTCAAGTGATCCACCCATCTTGGCCTCCCAAAGTGCTGGGATCACAGGTGTGAGCCACCGTGCCTGGAACCTGCATACATTTTCAATTGCTTCTTAAAACTCATAGTGCTGCCCTCTCCCTCTCCCTCTCCCGCTCCTGCTCCCGCTGCCGCTCCCCACGGTCTCTCTCTCCCTCTCTTTCCACGGTCTCCCTCTGATGCCGAGCCAAAGCTGGACTGTACTGCTGCCATCTCGGCTCACTGCAACCTCCCTGCCTGATTCTCCTGCCTCAGCCTGCCGAGTGCCTGCGATTGCAGGCACGCGCCGCCATGCCTGACTGGTTTTCATATTTTTTTTGGTGGAGACGCGGTTTCGCTGTGTTGGCCGGGCTGGTCTCCAGCTCCTAACTGCGAGTGATCCGCCAGCCTCGGCCTCCTGGGGTGCCAGGATTGCAGACGGAGTCTAGTTCACTCAGTGCTCAATGTTGCCCAGGCTGGAGTGCAGTGGCGTGATCTCAGCTCGCTACAACCTCCACCTCCCAGCCGCCTGCCTTGGCCTCCCAAAGTGCCAAGATTGCAGCCTCTGCCCGGCTGCCACCCCGTCTGGGATGTAAGGAGCCCCTCTGCCCCGCGGCCCAGTCTGGGAAGTGAGGAGCGCCTCTTCCCAGCCGACATCCTGTCTAGGAAGTGAGGAGTGTCTCTGCCCGGCCGCCCATCGTCTGAGATGTGGGGAGCGCCTCTGCCCCGCCGCCCCGTCTGGGACGTGAGGAGCGCCTCTGCCCGGCTGCGACCCCGTCTGGGAGGTGAGGAGCGTCTCTGCCCGGCCGCCCCATCTGAGAAGTGAGGAGCCCCTCCGCCTGGCAGCCGCCCCATCTGGGAAGTGAGGAGCGTCTCTGCCTGGCAGCCACCCTGTCCGGGAGGGAGGTGGGGGCAGCCCCCGCCCGGCCAGCCGCCCCATCCAGGAGGGAGGTGGGGGGTCAGCCCCCACCAGGCCAGCCGCCCCGTCTGGGAGGGAGGTGGGGGGCGCCTCTGCCCGGCCGCCCCTTCTGGGAAGTGAGGAGCCCCTCTGCCCGGCCACCAACCTGTCTGGGAGGTGTACCCAACAGCGCATTGAGAACGGGCCATGATGACGATGGCAGTTTTGTGGAATAGAAAAGGGGGAAAGGTGGGGAAAAGATAGAGAAATCAGATTGTTGCTGTGTCTGTGTAGAAAGAAGTAGACATGGGAGACTTCATTTTGTTCTGTACTAAGAAAAATTTTTCTGCCTTGGGATGCTGTTGATCTATGACCTTACCCCCAACCCTGTGCTCTCTGAAACATGTGCTGTGTCCACTCAGGGTTCAATGGATTAAGGGCGGTGCAAGATGTGCTTTGTTAAACAGATGCTTGAAGGCAGCATGCTCGTTAAGAGTCATCACCACTCCCTAATCTCAAGTACCCAGGGACACAAACACCTCGGAAGGCCGCAGGGTCCTCTGCCTAGGAAAACCAGAGACCTTTGTTCACTTGTTTATCTGCTGACCTTCCCTCCACTATTGTCCTATGACCCTGCCAAATCCCCCTCTGTGAGAAACACCCAAGAATGATCAATAAAAAAATAAATAAATAAAAAATAAAAAATAAAAAAAATAAAAAAAAACTCACAGTGCTGTCATTTTATAATCTCTTGTGATGTACACCTCTCTCCAAACTTTTATTTTTCCATCTGCCCATTATACACTGAAGTTAGACCCACTAAAGTCTCTAGTTTATTCTTTGAATATTCAAAATTTTTTCTAACTTAAAGGCTTTTAATGTATCCTCTTTTCTTCCATTTGCCTTCCATCATGTTAACGCTCAGTTATCTTTAAGAACTCAGTTGAGAAGAAAAGTGTTCTAAAAAATTATCACTGACATGTCTTCTAATCTGGGTTAGAAGCTCGTCCTACGTGCTTCTCAAGATTCCTATACTCTTCCTATGAGAGCCCTTGTGTGTTTCTAGGGGTCTGTATCTCCCACTACAAGCAACTTAAGAGCAGAGATTTTGCATCATTCTCTATTATATGCCAAGCTCTTAGCACAATACGTGACACACTGTAGGCACTCCCTAAATGATTGTTGAATTAGAACAGGAATTAAAAGAAATTAAAGAATGTGTAAGCAAAAGCTCGGTTGTATGTAAGAGAAACCCAATTCCCCCTGAAGAAGAGAAAGAGCTGGAGTCCTTTAAAATTAACTGCCTGTTTTTCTGCGGCTAGTGAGCCTTATCTCTCCCTTTCCCAGGCATTGTGAAGACCCTATTTCTCTAGCTGTGCAGGTGCAAGGTCACTAGGCAGATAAACTCAAGTCGTAAAACATGTTTTTCCTTGAAAAAATAAGAAATAATGTAATACATGTCTTAATTGAATAACTGTCTTTGTTTCTCACTTCTGTAATATGCTTCCCCCTGCACAGATCGTCCCCCGCTGCACAAAATGCTTAAAAGGTAACCGGACTCTTTGTTTGGGGCTCAGTCCTTTGGATGTTAATCCGACTGGGTCGGTGCACCTAAATAATTAAATAATTCCTCCTCAACCCCTCAGTCTCTCTGGTTCCTTAATTATCCCGCTGCAGAATGGATTAAAAAATAAAGAAATAATTATTATATAAGTAGGATACAAGTGTTAGAAAAGAACCTTTGCACATACGATATACACGTAACTAAGAATAAATTATTGGTATAAATTTATGGACACAATAAGTGCTTATATTTCTTATTCATAAATTTTATTTTTCTTGGATATTTATGAATAAGAAATATAAGTGCTTTAGCAGATTTATAAACGAGGAACTGAGGGAAGTTTTCACGCCACATTGCCACCTCGAAAAGATGGCTATTGGAGTTGTTGGAGGTTATACGAGGAGCCACAATGGAAGTGTAAGTAAGTTTTCCACTGTATCTCTCCAGCACATCTGACCACAATCCCACCTTAGCTTTCACCAGCAACAGCAAGACCAACAACAACAGCAACATCATTGTCAAGTACCTGTGGTGCTGTTTCACATTTTCTTTTTATTTTCATTTAACCCTCAGAGCAACCGACAAAGTAGTTGTTATTATTACACCTATTTTACAGATGAGGAAAAATAGATCAGAGAGATTAGATAATTTGCCCATGTTCATACAGGTAATAAGTGACAGTTTCAGAATTTGAACCCAGATGTGTCAGATTCTAAAGGCCTTATTCTTTAGTTCTCTACTTTACAGTTTCCCATTGTCCTTTGAAGAACACATTTGGGCTTGCTCTCAGACTCGCCAACATAAATCATCATTTACATATCAGGGCATGTGTGAGTTCCAGCAGTTCACTGAAATAAAATCCCTGAGCCTTAACCCTCCCATCTCAAATACAGTGAAAATTTATTTTAATGATAATGATGGTAATTTTTTATTTGACACTTTTTATAATGCTGATGTTAAAGTCAAGAAGCATTTCTCTGTAATGGAAAAAATGTCTCATTTTTCTTCCTACTGGGCGGTCAGAAGTTGGATTTTAGAAAAAATATATTGAATAGGGATTATACCGCCTTCCTTCCTTAAACCTCATAAAGCAATGGAGTAGGTGGATAAGAAGAAATAGAACCAATTTCTGGAAACAACTTTGGAGTAATGATCATAGAAGTTACAGATATCCAAGAATGCCTAAAGAAATATATCTGTCCTTCCATACCCACGACACACAAATAGGATTTATAGTTAGGAGAGAAAGGATAGAGTCAGTCAAACGTCCAAGGTTCTTGTGATTGGTGCCATGATAGAAGGATTGAGCTTTACGAGCAGGCTTATGTTCTCCTGAGTTTGTGGGTGAAGCTCTGAGTCACTGGAGATTTAAGGTCAAATATTCATGCTCTCAGAATTAAGGAGGTATTCTTGATTACACAGAATTGGGAGGTGAGGAAATTTCCTAGAAAATAAAACAACATTAATGTCCAAGAACAGGATCATTATCTCCTTCTCCTCCCATCCCTTCCTGTTATCATCATAATCATCAACAATAAAATCCATTCATTGATGTTTACTGTGCCAAATGCCATAAAGATTATATACACAGTACTCACAACAAACATTAGAAGAGAATGAAAATATTATTTTCATTTTACAGTTAATATATCTAAAATTTAGAAAGAATTATTAATTTTTCCTAGGTCATACAATTAGAAAGTTACAAGTTATAAGAAAATAATAAAACTTAATTACAGCTGTATAAGAAAGTATGCTCTTATATATCAAGTACAGTATTTCCTCTTGCATGTTCACATCCAAATTCTTTTCTACCCTTCATTCCATCTCTAACATTCATACAATCTCTAATTCCAGGAACTCCACAAATCATTACCACATAAAGGTTTATTTCTAAGCATCAGAAACAACTTCAAACCCTACAGGGAGGCTTTGAGATCATGTGAATGATTAATCATTTGAAAAATCTCACCTCTCTTGAATTACAGCAGTTTGCATTGCACCACATGGCTATGGTAGAGATGGTTACGCATAATTCCAGCAAGGTGAGAATCAGCAGTAGAGACACCATGCCCTAGGGGATATGATGCCTTATATCAAACCCAGTGGCAACATCCAGAGGTAAAAAAAAAAATGTCAGCAGGAAACCAGACTACAACATCTCCCTCCCGTAAAGTGGAACAAAGTGAACCATAAATTAAAGACAGAGACACATATAACACTGTAGAAGAGATAGTATCTCAATCTAAAAGCATGAAAACATTTTCTCTAATGAGAAAGATGTGTCACATTTCTATGTCAACGCATGTGAAGTAGCTACAGGGGGAAGAAGCTGTAGAAACAAAATTCTGACATTATCACTAACATCTTCCAATCTGAATAGTAGTAAACTAAGGAGAGGAGTAGGCAGTTTAGAAAAATGAACAAAAATGGCCCTTCCACAATTTCATTAGCACTTCATAGGGGTTTAGGCATTTACATTATCCCTAGAAACTAAAACACTGAGCTAATATAAACAAAAAATAAAATTGTTGGGCTAATGATTCTACTATTATTACTGAGGCACCTAGAAGCAACCAATACAATATATCCCTGGAGGAAAAATACCTCCAAATTCACAGAAAAATCAGGCTCCGACAAATATAAATTTAGATCATTAAAAATGTAATAAAGAAAATGAGAACACAAACTTCCATAAGTAGTGTCTCACCCATAGGTGGGAACTGAACAATGAGAACACTTGGACGCAAGGCGGGGAACATCACACACCAGGGCCTGTCGTGGGGTGGGGGGCTGGGGGAGGGATAGCATTAACAGAAATACCTAATGTAAATGACATGTTAATAGATGCAGCAAACAAACACGACACATGTATACATATGTAACAAACCTGAACGTTGTGCACGTGTACCCTAGAACTTCAAGTATAATAATAATAATAAAAAGAAAACAGGAAGCTTAGGAGTGAGTCTGTAATTAACAGTTCATAGATCACTGGGATGAAATGGATAATTCCAAAGGAAAATATTAATTTCTAAGTAGAGTTCAGAAGAGGTAGAGTACCTGAACACAAATTTTTAAAAAATTGGTAAGGTTGGCTGGGCGCGGTGGCTCATGCCTGTAATCCCAGCACTTTGGGAGGCAGAGGCGGGCGGATCACGAGGTCAGGAGATCGAGACCATCCTGGCTAACACAGTGAAACCCCGTCTCTACTAAAAATACAAAAAAAAAAAAAAAACAATTAGCCGGGCGTGGTGGCGGGCGCCTGTAGTCCCAGCTACTCGGGAGGCTGAGGCAGGAGAATGGCGTGAACCCAGGAGGCGGAGCTTGCAGTGAGCCGAGATGGCGCCACTGCACTCCAGCCTGGGTGACAGAGCAAGACTCCGTCTCAAAAAAAAAAAAAAAAAAAGGTAAGGTTATTAAAGAGCTTTCCTTTGAAAACACCATGCTAATTTCATTCTAAAGCGCAGTCCTTCAAAACTTCAAGTCATTATTTGAACATTCCAGATTGCAGAGAAAGTTGTAAATCTCTCAAGTTTGTTTTATTAAGCAAGGAGATATGAAATGAAACTTTATTTTTTTATTTTTTTATTTTTTGAGACAGTTTCACTCTTTTTGCCCAGGCTGGAGTGCAATGGCGCAATCTCGGCTCACCGCAACCTCCGCCTCCCGGGTTCAAGTGATTCTCCTGCCTCAGCCTCCCAAGTAGCTGGGATTACAGGCGCCTGCCACCATGCCCGGCTAATTTTTTTTTTTGTATTTTTAGTAGAGACGGGGTTTCACCATGTTGGCCAGGGTGGTCTCGATCTCTCGACCTCGTGATCCGCCTGCCTCGGCCTCCCAAAGTTCTGGGATTACAGGCGTGAGCCACCGCGCCCGGTGAAATGAAACTTAAAAAAAAATCTCTCTGGGGAGTGTAATAGTAGTAGTTGTGGTAATAATAATTGTGTATCATGATATGCTAAGCCTTGTTTTAATTGCTTATCATATGTTAACTTTTTAAATACTCACATAAATCCTATGAGACGGGTACTATTGTTATCCTCATTTCAAAAATGAGAAAATTCAAGGGATTATCTAATTTGCCCTTCATTATAAAGCAAATAGGCGACAGACCCAAGATTCAAATTATGGGATGGGCGCGGTGGCTCACGCCCCTTATCCCAGCACTTTGGGAGGCCGAGGCGGGCGGGTCACGAGGTCAGGAGATCAAGACCATCCTGGTTAACACGGTAAAACCCCGTCTCTACTAAAAAAATACAAAAAATTAGCTGGGCATGGTGGTGGCCGCCTGTAGTCCCAGCTACTCGGGAGGCTGAGGCAGGAGAATGCTGTGAACCCAGGAGGGCGGAGCTTGCAGTGAGCCGAGATCACTCCACTGTACTCCAGCCTGGGCGACAGAGCGAGACTCCGTCTCAAAAAAAAAAAAAAAAAAGATTCAAATTATGGCACATTGGTACCTGATATATTATTTTTCTGTACATCCTGGATTGTTTGAAATATTTTATACTTATACATATTTTTCAGAAACATACATTTGATATGGAGCCCATGTAATTGCATAGGTCCGGTGACTCTGATGAAGAGTGACAACTCCTTAATGACTGGATATTAACTGCTATATTTAGTGAGAGAAAAGCAGTCCCCACTAGTGCAATTGTAGCACTGGCAATGTTCATTCCAAAACTGTTCTGTATCTAAAAAAGAATAAGAATTTTCAATTAATATATGCAGCACGTACTTCATTCCTTTGGCAACAATTCATTGAAACAAACATTGATTGAATATTGTTTACACACCCACTGATATCCTAGATGCGAGGCTAACATCAATGACCAAAGAAAGATTTCTGTCCCCCACCCTCCATGGAGCTTATATTCTAGCAATAAAAACAAAGAAAAAAGTAAACATACTATAGGTAAATTACATAATATTTTTGAAAGTGATTAAGTACTAGGGGCTAACAGAATGGGATAAGGAGAATCTGGGAATCCAAAGAGAGGAGTGGGGGTTCATGATATTAAATAGAAATGACACTGGGGAGAGGCATGAAAGAGCTGTGGGTGCCAGCCAGGAGGATATCTGGGGGAATATCCTTGAAATTAGGGAAACACTCAAAATCCTGAGGCCAGAATCTTCTGGGGCAGCAAAGGGGTCAAGGGCGTTGGAGGCACGTAGTCAATACTAGGAAATGAAGAAGAAGGAAAGTTAACAGAGAGCCAAATCATGTGGGGCTCTGCAGATCATGAAAAGGAACTTGTTTCTAACTCTAAGAAAAATACAAAGCCAATGAAGGATTTGGAGCAAATAAATGATATACTTGGCTTTATGGTTTCAAGGGATCACTGTTTCTAGCAAGGCAAAGAGAAGTTCAACGATAAAAGCTAGAAGCCCAATTAGGAGAGACAAGGTGGATTGGATGAAATGTCATCAATAGAAAGATAAGAAAAGGTCAAAACTGGATATAATAATAGCTTGAAAGTAGAGCCAACATTATTTGCTGATAAATAGGATTCAGGATTGTGAAAGAAAGAAGACTCTTGGTTATTCTAAGGTGTTTGGTCTGGGAATCTGGAAGGATGACATTCCCATCAGCTGACATGAGGAGAAGGTTTGAGGAAGAAGACTGGGAGTTGAGCTTTGGATCTTTACATGCCAGTCTGATGATCAGGAGAGACACCTGGGCTGGAAATACTTATTTCAGGGTTGTGGGCATACAGATATTACTTGAAGTCATAAGAATGTGTGAGATCACAGAAGAAGTACGTATAGATTGAGAAGAGCAGGTGGCAAAGAATTCAGCTCTGGGGCACCAGAACATTAAAAGGTCAGAGACAAGGAGAGGAACCAGGAAAGGAGACTGAGATGGAGAAAGCAAAAGATGGGAGGAAAACCAGCCAAGCAATGTATGCTGGAAGCCAAGTGAGGAAATTCCTGGAAGGAGGAGTGGGCGACTAACTATGCTAAATGCTACTCATAGCTTAAGTTAGATGAGGAACAAGAGTTGACCGTTGTTTTAGCAGGGTGGAAGTTTTCAGTGATCTTAAAGACAGCAGTTACAGAAGGATAGTAGGGAATAAAATAAAGTCTTATTGAAGTGGGTTTGATTCAAACCGGTAGATGGAAATCAGAGAAAGAACATGATGATTCCTTTGAAGGAGTTTAGCTACAGAAGGAAAATACAAATTGTGCCTGTCCCTAGCAGGGAGAAATAATGTCAAGGTTTTCTTGTTTTGTTTTGTTTTGTTTTGTTTTTAAGTTGAGAACAGTAACTGGATGTTTACATGCTGATTAGAGATGGGGCAAGGTAACTCACGCCTGTAACCCCAGCCTTTTGGGAGGCTGAGGCAGGAGGACTGCTTGAGCCCAAGATTTTGAGACCAGCCTGGGCAACATGGCAAGATCCTGTCTCTACAAAAAAAAAAAAAAAAAAGACAAAAATTAGCCAGGGATGGTGGCACACACCTGTAGTCCCAGCTATGTGAGAGGCTGAGGTGGGAGGATTGCATGAGCCCTGGAAGGTGGAGGCTGTAGTGAGCTGTGACCACACCACTGCACTCCCATCTGGGTGACAGAGTGAGACTCGAAAAATATATATATAGCAGAGAGACAAAAATTAAAGTGATGCACTTGTGTGGGGAAAAAAAGAATGGAATCTTATACTCAAGTAGGGAGATCAGCTTTAAAGAAAATCACAAAATTTTCCTATGGTAAGAGGCTAGAAGAAAAAAATACATTGGTACAGATCTAGTCCATTAGTAGTGGAGGTCTGAAAATTCCCTTCTAATGGCTTCAGTTTTCTCAGAAGAGACAGAAAAATCATCAGCAGAGAGTAAGGATGACAGAAGTGGGATTGGTGTTTGAGGATACAATAAAATGGTAAAATAGCTATCCATGGAGGAGGGAAAGTGAATGAATGGAGTAGGAAAGTGGAGTATCAGTGGCTACGTGACTCACTAAGAACACATCATAGAGACTTAGCAGTTGTTTAGAATAGAAGTTTGGACTTTCAGTTGTCAAACTAGTTAGTGGTGGGAGTTCTTACTTCCAAATAATTAGAATTGGTCAAACTTGACAACACATAAAAATCAAGAAGACTTTTTCTAAGCTTCAAGTTCACCAATATTAAGAGCAAGCATCCCAGGAATGCATCCTCACAATGTATGTGATCTGCTGACCTACCATCTGAACACGTTAAGAAAACTAATATTTTGTGCATTAAATGATACTCAGTGTCTCAGTTGTATTCATGGACACTTACTGTCCTACTGTTTATGAATAATATATTTCTACTCCTCTGATCATAGAAAAAGAGGAAGTGCTACTTACCCATGTTCTTGTGGGTTTTATCCCTGCTACAACAGACAAGGTTCCTGAACTACAGAACTGTTTGAAAATAGGAAGGAAAACAGATAAAGGAATATTAAGTCTCAACCATTTTCTTCTTGGTCCTCCCTCAATTAGCAGATATCCAGCAATAGTCATACAAACCTCCCTTTTAAATTCACATCCTAGGACACAGAATTGTACTTGATGCTGCTCACTTTATTTATTTATTTATTTATTTATTTATTTATTTAGTCTTTCCATGCAATTAGTTTTATTCATTTTATTTTTTAAATTTTTTTTATTTCCATACGTTATTGGGGAACAGGTGGTGTTTGGTTACATGGATAAGTTCTTTAGTGGTAATTTGTGAGATTTTGGTGCACCCATCACCCAAACAGTATACACTGCACACAATTTGTAGCCTTTTATCCCTCACCTCCTTCCCACCTTTCCCCCTGAGTCCCCAAAGTCCATTGTGTCATTCTTATGCCTTTGCATCCTCATAGCTTAGCTCCCGCTTATAAGTGAGAACATATGATGTTTGATTTTCCACTCCTGAGTTACTTCACTTAGGATAATGGCTTATGCAAGGATTTAATGACGAAGAAGCCAAAAACAAATGCAATAAAATCAAAGATAAATAGCTGGGACCTAATTAAACTAAGGAGCTTTTGCACGGCAAAAGGAACAGTCAGCAGAGTAAACAGACAACCCATAGAGTGGGAGAAAATCTTCACAATCTATACATCTAACAAAGGACTAATATCCAGAATCTGCAATGAACCCAAACAAATCACCAAGAAATAAACAAACAATCCCATCAAAAAATGGGCTAAGGACATGAATAGACAATTCTCAAAAGAAGATATACAAATGGCCAACAAACATATCATTCACTTTTTAAAAATGAACCATCAGGGAAGTAATAAATAATCAAAACTGAATGAATACATTTTAAAATCACCCCTATTTCTTCTGATTGAATGTTGACCCAGATAATGGAAATGATTCTTCTGACTTTCAGACAGTAATCAGCAGACAAATTTCTTAACTCTCAAGCCAGGACTCTCTGCTGTACCACAAGGCAATTCATCAATACCCATTTTTCATTCAATTTTTTAAGTATCTATAAATGTAACATATAGTTATATATAAGATAATTTTTAGGACTTCATTTGTACTTGGCAAATGTGGTTTCTCTTAATCAGAAAGAGATTTTTGGCCTGGCATCAGGGCTCATGCCTGGCAATTCCAGCATTTTGGGAGGCCAAGCTGGGAGGACCACTTGTGGTCAGGAGTTCGAGACCATCCTGGAAAACATGGTGAATCCCTGTCTCTACTAAAAATACAAAAACAAAAATTAGGTGGGCATGGTGGTGCATGCCTGTAATCCCAGCCACTCAGGAGACTGAGGCAAGAGAATCACTTGAACTGGGGAGGCAGAGGGTTTCAGTGGGCAGAGATCATGCCACTGCACTCCAGCCTGGATGGCAGATCGAGACTTTGTCTCAAAAAATAAATTAATTAAGTAATTAATTAAATTAAAAAATAAAAAAGAGTTTATCGTCTCTAATTGTTTATATCAAGAATTGCAAATCAAAACCACAGCATGCAACCTTCCAATAACCTACAAACAATATTTTTGTCATCAAACACATCTCCAGCAGTGGTATCTAAGAAATAACATATAGCCAGGGGAGTACGAATACTCACAAACACAGCACCCCAAATCGGGTAGCCTGTGTAGAAGGTGAAGAAAAAGAAGTGCTTTTGGAAGTGGTATGGGTATTGCAAGGAACCCAGAAAGACACCCAAAGCCAGAATCATTGCTGCATTCAGGATCTGGATGGCCTGAAAGAAGAAAGGGGAAAAAGGCGTAACAGTCATATACTAAAGTGGACACTGAAAACAGGCCATTTTAATTTTCCTCAGAAAGGAGATGTCGGTGCTTGAAATGGTTAAAGTGTCAAGCCTAAATTAACAGAACGAGAGCTTATCTGAAAGAGTTTTTTATTCCACGCTATCCACACCAATTCCAGTGGCAGCATTTTGTCTTCACCTCTCCCCCACATTTCTGTTCATTCTCACGAACTCCTCTCAGAAAGTGGCAGGACAGTAAAACAGACATGATTGGTAAGGTAGATGGAGTCAAAGTCTCTTCCCAGCATGCTTTTGCATCATAATATGATGAAGGCAGACAGAGGATAAGCCATATCCTACTCAGCCTTTCTCTCAACCCAATTTTTAACCCTTCTCTCAACCCAATTTTTAAATTTAAAATATAGAATATAAGCTTCATAGAGCTCAGCCTCCTCAAATGGCTGGTCAAAAGGCACAAAACAAAAAATGAAGGGTCTTGGAATCTGTTCTCCAAGGTTTGATGTTTTCTACCATGAGAAAATGCCTTTGCATTTCTGCTCCCCAGATCTATAAGAAGTCCCTGTCTTTTCTCCAATCATTATTAAGTCAGTGATAAATAACTCAGAATTTCCTCCTTCTCAGCATAAGCAAGGTTTTCTACATGATACAGTTGGCTCTTGAACAACATTGGGGTTTGGAATGCCCACCCTTTCATGGTGGTAAATCCACGTAAAACTTATGACTTCCCAAAAACTTAACTACTAATAGCCTACTGTTGACCAGAAGTCTTACTATTAATATAAACAGTCGATTATCACATATTTTGTATGTGACATATTATATACAATAAGCTAGAGAAACTAAAAACGTTAAGGAAATCATAAGAAAGAGAAAATGTATTTACTATTCATTAAGTGGAAGTAGATTATCATAAAGGTCTTCATCCTCATCCTCTTCACGTTGAATAGACTGAGGAAGAAGAGGGAGAGCAGGGGTTGTTCTTGCTGTCTCGGGATGGCAAACAGAGGTGGAAGAAATCCACATGTAAGGGAATCCTCACAGTTCAAACGCACGTTATTCACAGGTCAACTGTATTTATTTTCTTCCCTCTTAAATCAGTGTTTAAACTAAGGCTGACTTACCCCAAGAACTTGTAATTTTGCTTTCTGATAATCTGGTGATCCATCTATGGGCTGGTAGACAGAAGTATTCAGCTCTTCTGGTCCCGCCTCACTGCCTGGGGTACCATGGGCAGAGGCTGACCCCAGCTCTGCATTATCAACTTCGTGGGAGGCCATTGGGGTTGTTTATGGCTGTGATAGAAAAGAAATCCAAAGCCTTCATGCTTTCCCTTTTTCCACTAGCTACTAAAATTTTGAGTGTTACAGAAGGGTTCAATTCTGTCCATACATTACAATGACTCTCCACAAATGGGACACCAGGGCAGAGTAACAGAGTTTGTACAATATTCAATTCTGTCTTGCCTTGGAGTAGTAGACATCATCGGGTCATTGTAGTAGGCCTTGGTGCTTCACTTAACTTTGGAATGGTAAAGAGCAATTTCTTTCTCATTTTGCATGCACTGATATATAGTCCCTGCCTTTCTTCAAGTCAGTCAAGGGCAACCAGACATATGGTTTCTCTGAGCAGTGGTCTCTTTATAAGAATAATGGCTTTAGTCACATTCCAGTAATAATAGTAGGTGTCATTTATTTAGTACTTATTACTATATGCCAAGCACTGTCTGGATGCTGTGAATGTATTAATATACTTAATCCTGTTATAATATTATTATTATTCCCGTTTCACAGATGAAAAAAATTGAGGTATAGAGAGACCGAGAAACTTACCCAAACTCATATGGCTTATAAATCATTTCAGATTTTACTAAAAACATTCTACTCTAAGGTCCAATATTTTTCAAATCACCACATTATATAGTACTATATAGAAGACGTCTTTCTGAGTACCAACATAGCATGGTAGAGTTTAAGCACTATGGAAGATCCAAATTCAAATCCAGATTTCATCATTTACTAGTTGCATGACCTAGTAATGGGAACCTCAGTTTTCAGAGTTTAAGCACTATGGAAGATTCCAATTCAAATCCAGATTTCATCACTTACTAGTTGCATGACCTTGTAGTGGGAACCTCAGTTTTCACTTCTGTAAAAATGGGAATAATTTTAATTTTATATTAACATTGCGAGAGTTGACTTTGATAATGTACGGAATTCTCAACCTGTGAACAGGTGGTATCAGCTTTTAACTTATACTCTGCCTTCTAACAAAAAGGACTTCAAGTTTGTATATATATAAGGGTCACAAAACAACCACCTCAATCATTACAGCTGAAAAATATGTATCACTAAAGTACACACAGAATGCTTACATTGGACTTCTGAATGTTGGGCAAGATAACTTCCTAATTCATAGTACCCTCCTACACAAAATAGTTGTAAAATGCTTATATGCTTTTATAACTGATGAGGGAGATGGCATGAGATGAACCATAAACAAACACATAAAATGATGCTGTATTCTGCCATAACTATCGATTGGGTTAAGAATAAGATCTTAATATAAATCATTCTACCATAAAACACATGCACGTGAATGTTCATTGCAGCACTATTCACAATAGCAAAGACATAGAATCAACCTAAATGTCCATCATTTGTAGACTGGATGAAGAAAATGTGGTACATACACACTGTGGAATACTATGCAGCCATAAAAAGGAATGAGATCATGTCTTTTGCAGGAACATGGATGAAGTAGAAGCCATTATCCTTAGAAAGCTAATACAGGAACAGAAAACCAAATACCACATATTCTCACTTATAAGTGGGAGCTAAATGCTAAGAACAAATGGACACATAGAGGGGAACAAAACAACTGGAGATTATCAGAGAGAGGAGGGAGGAGATCGGGAAAAATAACTATTGAGTACTAGGCTTAGTACCTGGGTGACAATCTGCACAACACACCCCTGTGGCACGAATTTACCTATATAACGAACCTGTACATGTACCCGTAAACCTAAAATAAAAGCTTTTTATTGAAAAAGAAAGTATAGTATCTTAATTTCTACTCTTTGTTACAAATTATATACTAGATCCATTTTTCTAATAACTTAATTTTTTGTCAAGCTAAATACACGCCACTTTCAGGATGTTTACCTTTCTGATACTCTACTCTGGGGGTGTGTATGACTCATTTAAGTGTGATGACAAATTTACTAAGCATTGACTAAAAGTGAGAGTCAAGCCATGTTTTATTATTACACTGGGAATTGCTATAAAAATTCATAAAATTCTCTACCAATACTGATAAAACATTTATTATAAATGTCATAAAATTTTGCTACCAATACTCTTCATCAAAGTTTCCTACCAATATTGATTTTCATGCCAAGATTAAATTACATTCTGTATGTATTTAAGTATGGATAAATGTGAAATGACAAGGAACCCTTAACCCCCCGTGTTCAACACTGTACAGAACCCAAGAGCGAGGGAAGATCAATAAAGCTTAAAGCAAACTCTATGTGAATAAGTTCCTAACGTAATTATCTGCAAAAAGTATAAATAAGAATAGCCAAAAAGCCAAGACTTCAAATTTATCCACTGGGAAATTTGTGTGTATTTTGGATTAAATATCTAATGAACTAAGATGCATGCAATACGGAGAATGTTGCTGCTTTATGACCAGATAATCTCTCGCCTACGTCTCCTGCCTCACCCCTCACCCATCCCTATCTCAAAACTCCATCCAGCCTTATTTTCTTGATTTGTCTTCCTTCAGAAGTTCTAAACCCTCAAATGTCTTCAATCCTCTGTGCTATCCCCCATTCCTGAAAGACAAGTCCCCTCAAGCTTCACCTGGATAATTTCTGCTCTCCTTCCAGACTGAATTTTTTTTTTTTTTTTTTTTTTTTTTTTTTTTTTTTGAGTTGGAGCTTTGCTCTGTCTCCCAGGCTGGAGTGCAGAGGCCCGATCTCAGCTCACTGCAACCTCCGCCTCCTGGGCTCAAGCTATGATCCTGCCTCAGCCTCCCAAGTAGCTGGGATTACAGGCGTGCACCACCACACCCAGCTAATTTTTGTACTTTTAGTAGAGATGGGGTTTTACCATGTTGGCCAGGCTGGTCTCGAACTCTTGACCTAGGTGATCCACCCACCTCAGCCTCCCAAAGTGCTGGGATTACAGGCGTGAATCAATGCGCCCGGCCCTTCCAGACTGATTTTCAGCCCACATGTCATACTTCCAGGATGCTGTTTTTAGTCCTGGCCAACTCTGGAAGAAGCATGCACCCCTTTGGGTTGCTCTCAAAATTTCCTCAACTTTCCTTCTCATACCACTTAATCAGCCTGAGCTTTAATTGCCTGGATACTTGTCTGTTACCTCGTTGTCTACTCATCACTGCAACTCCAGTGCCTAGCTCAGAATCATCAGATGGCAAGCACTCAGTTAACACACATGTTCAATCAGTAACCAGACTTTTGGTCCAGCCCAAGGTAGCCATCCTGATAAATGATGATGGAAAATACCTCTGCAAGCACTGGAGCCTCTCATCTCAAGAAACTCCAAGAGCATTTCTGAAGAGAGCAAATATCTAACCATATTATTTAACTTGATTTGTTTCAAATAATCAAAATAATCAGGGAGAATTTTCAGCCTCCAGGTGAAACAAACTATGTTTTCTAAAATTTGGTTAAATCAGTTATTTATTTTTAAAAAAATCAGAGAAATGGTCCGGGTGCAGTGGCTCATGCCTGTAATCCCAGCACTTTGGGAGGCAGAGGCGGGAGGATCTCAAGGTCAGGAGATTGAGATCATCCTTGCTAACATGGTGAAACCCTGTTTCTACTAAAAACACATAAAATTAGCTGGTTGTGACAGCACGCGCCTGTAATCCCAGCTACTCAGGAGGCTGAGGCAGGAGAATTGTTTGAACCCATGAGGCGGAGTTTGCAGTGAGCCGAAATCGTGCCATTGCACTCCAGCCTGGGTGACAGAGCGAGACTCTGTCTCTCTCTCACACACACACACACACACACAAAATCAGAGAAATGTAGATTTTCTAGGAAACTGCCAGTTAAGTTCATCTCTCCAGCTCTTAGTATGTGGCAGGCATTTGTTCTAAGGGCTTTATCCATGTTTACTAATTTAGTTCTCACAACATCAGATGAATGGGTACTACTGCTATGATCCTTTCCATCTAACAGATGAAGAAGCTGAGGAACAAAGAAGTTAAGTAGCTTTCCCAAGCCCACACAGCCAGCAATTTGAGAAGCTAAAAATCAGAACCTCAAGCTATCATTACACTCCACTGTCCCCTGAGCTATGCTAAAATGCACTTTGCAGACCCCATACTTCAGGCATATCGAGACCACCCCTCATCATCAGAGCTGGCAGACAAACTCAGGTGCAGCCAGTGGGATTTAATGTACCTAAGAGGTGCGTGTGCATGTGTGTGTATCCATACCCACATTTTCCCAAAGAAATTGCTGTATTATTATGTCTAACACTTTTTATCATGGCTCCAAAGGAATCATCACATCCTAAAGAGAAGCCATGTTCACAGTTAAATGTTCCAAACCTCTACATAGCAACCAAACAGAGACCTTTGCAGACATCCCCAGTAGTCCACTGGGAGGCATTTTAACGAAAGATATAAAAGAAAGGGGAATGTCTATGGAGAGGGAATCTATACCTTGGAGGCTTCAGGCTTTGGCAGACGGCTTTCCTCCCAAGTCCACCTTGTCGCAAGTAGGAGACACTCAGAAAAGATCACTACAGCATCTTTTCCCGATAACGGAAGCCTCCACAGACTTAACGTTATCTTTGCCTTATGCAACACTTTAGAGGACTTGGTGAAAGTGTTTTGCGGGCTGACTGACCAGTGTGCTAATCACATCTGCATTTGGGGCCTCGCTGATCCATTGTGTTTCCCCAGGGCTTAGTGATGATTAGGAAACTGGTGTGAGGGATAACTGTCTTCTGGCTTTCAGATGTTGCTTAACACATTGCTGGAACAGGAAACACAAGCAACAATATGGGTAGACAAGTGGGAAGAGGTTGTGGGTTGGAGGTAGAACAGTGTTAGGTGCATAGCAAGAAGAGACAAAGTCACACTGTAAGAGAAGCATCTGGAGGAGGGAGGTGGTCACTCAGGCACTTATTTTACATGATGTGCCAGCAACGGTGCTATGTACCTTATATGCGTGATGACATTCAATTCTTACATGCTTAGAGAGGTTAATTACTTTGCCCAATATCACAGATATAATAATAATGCTAATTATTGTTTAAATGTATTAAATGGTTACTACATACAGGTCATTGTTCTGAATGCTTTACATATGTTAATTCATCTCATCCTCACAATAACCCAGGACCCAGGTACTACTATTAACCCGATGTTATGGTAGAGAAAACTATGGTATAGAAATGTTACCCAGCTTTCCTAAAATTTAACTGGAAAAGCCCTGTGCAAAATCTCTGTTTTGTACAATGGTGAAGCCCGAAGTGTGCCTGTTATCCTAATATGATTGTTAAAACCCCTCCTTTCAGTTTCTTTTTTGTTTTTTGGTTTTTTTAGGTTTTTTGTATTTGTTTGTTTGTTTCGTTTGTTTATTGAGATGGCGTCTCACTCTGTCATCCAGGCTGGAATGCAATGGTGCAATCTTGGCTTACTGCAACCTCCGCCTCCCGGGTTCAAGCAATTCTCCTGTTCCAGCCTCCTGAATAGCTGCAACTACAGGCATGCACCACCACTCCCAGCTAATTTTTGTATTTTTAGTAGAGACAGGGTTTCACCGTATTGGTCATGCTGGTCTCGAACTCCTGACCTCCGGTGATTCACCTGCCTCAGCCTCCCAAAGTGCTGGGATTACAGGCATGAGCCATCGCGCCCGGCCTCCTTTCAGTTTCAAAAGTGGCCAAATTATATGCTTATCCTAAATAAATGTCCTAAAATAGGCAATAGAAAGATCAGAGCCAAGTGACAAGGAGTAAGGAAGTAGGTAACGTGAAGATTCAAACCACAATCCTTATGAAGGTCACAGGGCCAGGCCTGAGAGAAAGAATGAGGGCACAGCCCCTGATCCATGCCCCAGGGGAGTCTGTGAGACAGAGAAGAATGTTCACAGCAAGGAAAGCGAGGTCCTAGTCCTACAAACAGGAGCGTCAGTGGGGACGTGATCACAGGAAAGAGAAAGAGGGCCAGTTACCAAGACCAAAACATAGTGTGTGGGCAGAGATTGTGAATATGAAATGAGCAGGGGCCCAGTTGCCAGAAAATTTCTGCACAGGTGCTTCTGCTAAGAGAGCTGGCACCTGAGCCCTAGGGCAGCGGCTCTCCAGGGTCTACATTTAGGAGCGAAGGAAGGGACTGATGAAAGAGAAGACAGAGACAGAGACAGAAGTCAGAAGGAAATAGCCAAAAGGAAGGTGGTAAAGATAAGATCCTTCCCTCCCCGTTTTATCCAGAACCATTGCAAATGGAATACTGAAGAAGAAAGAGATGACAAGAAAATGCCTTCAGCGAAGAAGAGAAAGAAATCTGAAGAAATGAAAGGAAAGAGTGGATGCTTTCAACATGCTCTTTTTGAATTTGGAGCTGTAGAAAAAGCCATGAAAGGAAGTTACTTAAACTCTAAGACTTCGGTTCTCCCATTTGTAAGTTGAAGATCATAGTGCCCACTTTGGGGTATAAAGTATAAATGACAGAATGCATGTAAAGGTCTTAATAACTAAGATCTTCACATGAGTTCAAAGTAAATAATAAAAATGATTGAGCTCTTTCTTCAATTCCTTAGAGAATGATTGTGAGAAACTGCTTTCAAAGGAAGATTCACAAATAAAAATTTAATATACTTACCATGTACAACATGTTTTGACACATGTGTGCATTGTGAAGTCACTAACACAAAGCAGATAATCTACTGATCACATCAGATCACATAATCATCTTTTTTTTTTTTTGGTGGTGGTGGTGAGAACATTTAAGATCTCCTCTCTTAAACTTCAAGTACATAGTACAGTATTAACTTCAGTTATCATGCTGTTCATTAGATCTGCAGAACATATGTATCTGACTGTACCTCATTAAAGCTGAGGGGGGAACAGTAAAATAAATACATAAAAATTATTTTTATTTTTTATGTATTTATTTGAGACAGAGTCTCACTCTGTCACCAGGCTGGAGTGCAGTGGCGCGATCTCAGCTCACTGCAAGCTCCGCCTCCGGGTTCAAGCAATTCTCCTGCCTCAGACTCCCGAGTAGCTGGGACTACAGGCACACACCACAACGCCCAGCTAATTTTTGTATTTTCAGTAGAGATGGGGTTTCACCACGTTGGGCAGGATTGTCTCGATCTCTTGACCTCGTGATCCACCTGCCTCGGCCTCCCAAAGTGCTGGGATTACAGGCATGAGCCACCACGCCCGGCCCCCTATTTTTTCCATTTTTGTAAGTACCTAGTGTATATACTTATGAGGTACATGAGACATTTTGATACAGGCATGAAATGCATAATACTCACATCATGAAGAATGGGGTATCCATCCCCTTAAGCAGTTATCCATTGCATTGCAAACAATCCAATTACACTCTTTATCTTAAAAATGTACAGTTATTGACTACAGTCACCCTGTTTTGCTATCAAATAGTGGGTCTTATTTATTCTATTTTTTTGTACCCATTAACCATCCCCACCTCCCCTCCCAGGCCCCCACTACCCTTCCCAGCCTCTGGTAACCATCCTTCTACTTTCTGTCTTCATGAGTTCAATTGTTTTGGTTTTTAGATCCCACAAGTGAGAACATGTGATGTTTGTTTTTCTGTGCCTGGCTTATTGCACTTGACAGAATGATCTCCAGTTCCATTCATGTTGTTGCAAATGACTGGATCTTATTCTTTTTTATGGCTGATAAATAAAAATAAATAAATTAAAAAATTTTTTAAACAAATTAAAAAGGGAAAAATAGAAGATTCATAGACCTTTTTTCCACTTGCATGCAATATTTCCCAATGGCAAGGAGACATGATCAAGGAGAGACTGACTAGCTTTCAGTGCTGAAATACCTTAAAGAATAATCAAGTTCAAAACTCAAGTAGCAAATTTCCAAAAGGAAAAGGAAATCTTCGAGTGAATTCACCTATAGTCTAGCTATTCATTTACAAGTGCCCCATTTGACTAAAAAGCAATATATTTCTCAAGACTTGCTGGTCTTATCTACTTACTAAATATTATTGCTTGCACTGTCTGTTTTACCCCCCCATACACACTCATGCCCATGTGTGTACATATTAAAATCACATTCTTCATGAAGCAGTACCTTTATATATCTTAACACATGTATAAGCTCTTAAAACACTTAACCACCTAAGGTTTTTGACTTTGGGGTGCATTAAACGTGTTTAATTCATAATTTACCAGTTTATAATGTTGCAAAAGTCACAAGTTGAAATCACGTTGAAATGGCATTAGTTACTATAATTGTAAGATTAATAAAAGATTAAGACGGACAAGGATTGTTGTTCCAAGAGGTCTTGAAATAATGAGCCATCAAATAAAACCAACAATCAGAAACTACCTTTGATTCATTCTTGTTTTGACCTCATGCTGTGTTTTCAAATAAACGAGGAAAATGGACTAGAAATCCAATCTTAGCATTTGAATGAAGGCACTGTTGTTTTAGAGGTCCTAAGAAAACTGGAAGAATTTATCATGTCATTTATTGGTAAACATGGAAATAGCCTAGATAGAAAATGCTAATACAACAGTTCTACTTTCAACTACCTAGTGGAATCTTCTGGGAAGTTTATAAGACATTAAATCAGGATATTTGTCATGAACCCAACATGAAGGTGAACTTTTTTTTTTTTTTTTTTTTGAGACAGTCTTACTCTGTTGCCCAGGCTGGAGTGCCATGGCACAATCTCGGCTCACTGCAGCCTCTGCCTCCCAGGTTCAGGCGATTCTTGTGCCTCAGCCTCCTGAGTAGGTGGGATTACAGGGGCACACCACCATGCCCAGTTAATTTTTCTATTTTTTTTAGTAGAGACAGGGTTTCACCATGTTGACCAGGCTGGTCTTGAACTCCTGGCCTCAAGTAATCCACGCGCCTCAAACTCCCAAGGTGCTAGGATTACAGGCATGAGCCACTGCACTCAGCCCAACACAAACATTTTTTAAAGGTCCCAAGGTAACGCTAATGTGAAGCCAGATTGTAGAACTACTGG
Source organism: Homo sapiens (assembly GCF_000001405.40). Lineage (NCBI taxonomy): Eukaryota > Metazoa > Chordata > Mammalia > Primates > Hominidae > Homo > Homo sapiens. Next base: position 60,052,204 of record NC_000011.10, on the reverse strand, counting down.
GTATGTCTAAAAGACCTTTATAACGAGATAGTTGGAAATAAGATAGGAAAAAACAAATGCATTTCTCTAAGAAAGATCACCTCTTCTACTAGGGTGGCCTATGTACTTTATTTTAGGGTGTAAAATTGTATCTTAGTTTGGAGTTAAACAGATTTCATTTTTGACAGCCATTTTAATGGGATTTCATCCTGATAAGTACATTTTCTATAGTGCAAGATGGGCTTCATGTGAAATATTACAGCTCTTTAATCTTCTTTTGCCTTGATTTGCATTCTCCTCACGAAAGGTAACCATTGAGTTCTACATGAACACATTCTTTTTTTTTTTTATGGCAAGAGAGACTTTATTTTTATTTTATTATTATTATACTTTAAGTTTTAGGGTACATGTGCACAATGTGCAGATTAGTTACATATGTATACATGTGCCATGCTGGTGTGCTGCACCCATTAACTCGTCATTTAGCATTAGGTATATCTCCTAATGCTATCCCTCCCCCCTCCCCCCACCCCACAACAGTCCCCAGAGTGTGAAGTTCCCCTTCCTGTGTCCATGTGTTCTCATTGTTCCATTCCCACCTATGAGTGAGAATATGCGGTGTTTGGTTTTTTGTTCTTGCAATAGTTTACTGAGAATGATGATTTCCAATTTCATCCATGTCCCTACAAAGGACATGAACTCATCATTTTTTATGGCTGCATAGTATTCCATGGTGTATATGTGCCACATTTTCTTAATCCAGTCTATCATTGTTGGACATTTGGGTTGGTTCCAAGTCTTTGCTATTGTGAATAGTGCCACAATAAACATACGTATGCATGTGTCTTTATAGCAGCATGATTTATAGTCCTTTGGGTATATACCCAGTAATGGGATGGCTGGGTCAAATGGTATTTCTAGTTCTAGATCCCTGAGGAATCGCCACACTGACTTCCACAATGGTTGAACTAGTTTACAGTCCCACCAACAGTGTAAAAGTGTTCCTATTTCTCCACATCCTCTCCAGCACCTGTTGTTTCCTGACTTTTTAATGATTGCCATTCTAACTGGTGTGAGATGGTATCTCATTGTGGTTTTGATTTGCATTTCTCTGATGGCCAGTGATGGTGAGCATTTTTTCATGTGTTTTTTGGCTGCATAAATGTCTTCTTTTAAGAAGTGTCTGTTCATGTCCTTCGCCCACTTTTTGACGGGTTTTTTTTTTCTTGTAAATTTGATATAACCAAAGACAAAAACCACATGATTATCTCAACAGATGCAGAAAAGGCCTTTGACAAAATTCAACAACCTTCATGCTAAAATCTCTCAATAAATTAGGTATTGATGGGACGTATCTCAAAATAATAAGAGCTATCTATGACATACCCACAGCCAATATCTTACTGAATGGGCAAAAATTGGAAGCATTCCCTTTGAAAACTGGCACAAGACAGGGATGCCCTCTCTCACCACTCCTATTCAACATAGTGTTGGAAGTTCTGGCCAGGGCAATCAGGCAGGAGAAGGACATAAAGGGTATTCAATTAGGAAAAGAGGAAGTCAAATTGTCCCTGTTTGCAGATGACATGATTGTATATCTAGAAAACCCTGTTGACTCAGCCCAAAATCTCCTTAAGCTGATAAGCAACTTCAGCAAAGTCTCAGGATACAAAATCAATGTACAAAAATCACAAGCATTCTTATACACCAATAACAGACAAACAGAGAGCCAAATCATGAGTGAACTCCCATTCACAATTGCTTCAAAGAGAATAAAATACCTAGGAATCCAACTTACAAGGGACGTGAAGGACCTCTTCAAGGAGAACTACAAACCACTGCTCAATGAAATAAAAGAGGATACAAACAAATGGAAGAACATTCCATGCTCATGGGTAGGAAGAATCAATATCGTGAAAATGGCCATACTGCCCAAGGTAATTTATAGATTCAATGCCATCCCCATCAAGTTATCAATGACTTTCTTCACAGAATTGGAAAAAACTACTTTAAAGTTCATATGGCACCAAAAAAGAGTTTGCATCACCAAGTCAATCCTAAGCCAAAAGAACAAAGCTGGAGGCATCATGCTACCTGACTTCAAACTATACTACAAGGCTACAGTAACCAAAACAGCATGGTACTGGTACCAAAACAGAGATATAGATCAATGGAACAGAACAGAGCCCTCAGAAATAACGCTGCATATCTACAACTATCTGATCTTTGACAAACCTGAGAAAAACAAGCAATGGGGAAAGGATTCCCTATTTAATAAATGGTGCTGGGGAAAGTGGCTAGCCATATGTAGAAAGCTGAAACTGGATCCCTTCCTTACACCTTATACAAAAATTAATTCAAGATGGATTAAAGACTTAAACGTTAGACCTAAAACCATAAAAACCCTAGAAGAAAACCTAGGCATTACCATTCAGGACATAGGCATGGGCAAGGACTTCATGACTAAAACACCAAAAGCAATGGCAACAAAAGCCAAAATTGACAAATGGGATCTCATTAAACTAAAGAGCTTCTGCACAGCAAAAGAAACTACCGTCAGAGTGAACAGGCAACCTACAAAATGGGAGAAAATTTTCACAACCTACTCATCTGACAAAGGGCTAATATCCAGAATCTACAATGAACTCAAACAAATTTACAAGAAAAAAACAAACAACCCCATCAAAAAGTGGGCGAAGGACATGAACAGACACTTCTCAAAAGAAGACATTTATGCAGCCAAAAAACACATGAAGAAATGCTCATCATCACTGGCCATCAGAGAAATGCAAATCAAAACCACTATGAGATATCATCTCACACCAGTTAGAATGGCAATCATTAAAAAGTCAGGAAACAACAGGTGCTGGAGAGGATGCGGAGAAATAGGAACACTTTTACACTGTTGGTGGGACTGTAAACTAGTTCAACCATTGTGGAAGTCAGTGTGGCGATTCCTCAGGGATCTAGAACTAGAAATACCATTTGACCCAGCCATCCCATTACTGGGTATATACCCAAATGAGTATAAATCATGCTGCTATAAAGACACATGCACATGTATGTTTATTGCGGCACTATTCACAATAGCAAAGACTTGGAACCAACCCAAATGTCCAACAATGATAGACTGGATTAAGAAAATGTGGCACATATACACCATGGAATACTATGCAGCCATAAAAAATGATGAGTTCATATCCTTTGTAGGGACATGGATGAAATTGGAAACCATCATTCTCAGTAAACTATCGCAAGAACAAAAAACCAAACACCGCATATTCTCACTCATAGGTGGGAATTGAACAATGAGATCACATGGACACAGGAAGGGGAATATCACACTCTGGGGACTGTGGTGGGGTCGGGGGAGGGGGGAGGGATAGCATTGGGAGATATACCTAATGCTAGATGACACATTAGTGGGTGCAGCACACCAGCATGGCACATGTATACATATGTAACTAACCTGCACAATGTGCACATGTACCCTAAAACTTAGAGTATAATAAAAAAAAAAAAAGAAAGAAAACAAAAAAAACAAAAAAAAAAAAAAAAAAAAAGAAAAAAATGAAGAGGCTTTAGAGCCACCCTTCTAAAATCCAGCCACATCACTCTTTATCTTGTACATACGTATTATCTCACACTCAATAATTTACTTTGTTTTCAGCAACCATTCACCTGCCCAATATTCTCTGAAATCGGTTTATATAAAATAATTTTACTTCTATATTCAAGAGAAACACTATTGCTCAACTTTAAGTTTTATTGAGAGTTGTATAACTGCTTGAATAGCAATTGTTTTCTAGAGAACTAAAGTTCAGCAACTTAAGATGATTCCAAGCAGTAGAGTATAGTGGCTAATATACAAAGAGAGAGTATAGAGACAGATCTAAAGGCAGATTGCCCTATTTTAAATCTTGAACCAACACCAACAAGTTATGTGACTCAGGCAAATGATTTAACCTCTGTTTGCTTATCTGTAAAATTGGGATAATCATGATATATTTCACTCTTTAAGAAGATTAAATAATTTATCGCAATGTACTTGTACCATATTCTGACCCTTAGGAAGTCCCATAGAAGTATTACCTCTTAGCTGCATGTTAACTGGTAAAGACAGATGTTCACTATGACAGGGTCAAATTCTTTATCTGACAAGTTAACAGCTACAGACAGCATTTAATTGAAAATGGAATAGTATCACTTTAATTAAAAATAATAATAAACAGTATCTTGGCAAAATTTGCTTCCAGGAGGATGTGGCATCCAAAACATACATTCAATAAGCTATTGAATAGCCAATGGCACAGTTCAATTCTCACCCTTGATATAAGAAATCTACCAAATCAGAAGTATTTTTTGATATATTACATATTTAGACTCCATGTTTAAAGAAAGGAAGATAGTATAAAGTAGGTGGTAATAAATAATCATTTAATGAATGCTCTTAGGTGGCAGGATAACTCTTTGCTTAACCAACTCAACCATTCAATTATTTTGAGTGTGGAAGAACCATTCGGAGGAACAAGGGAAACCTAACATCAAATTTCAGTTAAGGTAGTGGTTACTTGAGCTCTAGAAAATAAATTGAATTTAATTCTGGAATAATCTAAATAGGTTGTCACATGGCATTATTGTTAGGATTCAACTTTACTGATTAATAGGAAAATCTACATGAATTAAAGTATCTGCACATAAAAGGATTTTGCCTTTCGTGAGAGTTAATATGTTAAATTTTACACTATGCTCAAAGTTTTGCCTCTTGCACATTTATATGTCTCTCTCTATTCTTTATTCTTCCTGAAAAATATTAGAACATATTTATTGGAGGTTCTTATCAATTAGATCAAGTCATTGTCTTTGAAGACATATTTCTGAATCTTCTACACAGAACAGAAAGAACTTAAATGTATAATATGAATTACCTAATAGTTAATGTTAAATTAATCAGCCATACCCCTACTGAATACAAATATTTAGAAATACACATTCACTAATCAACTAATCAGGACCTTTACTGAAGTAGGGTTTTTAGAAACCAGAGACTTAAGGAGAGATATACACCAACTATATTTTTGCTATGAAAAAATGAAACTGTTTTCCTGCAAAATACATAACACCAGCTTCAAGTTTCCATTTCTCCTTTAGCTCAGAGCAAGTTTGGACTAGAAGATAATAATCCTAACTCTTCTGCTGTTGTCTGAAAGTCAGCAATAAAAGGACTAGGATCCAATTTTATTTCATTCTCAGTAGAAACTGGTGTAAGCCACACTGATTTCCTAAAGAAAAGGGAAACAGAAAGCAGATAGTGTTGGAGCACTTGGGATCAAGTCAGTTTTACCACTGTTTAATATCATGATCATATACAGAATAGTCATTCAGGAGTATGGCATAGAGCCAGCATACTATGCCTTCTAGATCCTCGTGGACTCTTGGTACAGGATTTGAGCAGATAGGCTTACAGAAGAACTAATTCCAGATAGTCTCCCCATGATTTCTGCATCAAACACTGAGTAGAAAGACGAATGGTCTTAGATAATTTGTGATGCTTGCATTAGAAGAGTACCAATGTACCCAGCAAAACAGACTCAGCCAAATGGATCCTAAGAACAGTAAGAAAAAGCCACCAAAAGCTTAATCTGTCCCACTGTAGTGGCAGCAAAGTTCTATATGTCAATGTGAGTAAGTGAATATGAGAGAGAGAGACTACAACATTAAAATTCATGCACCCAAAACCTAAACAGACAACTTTGTTGGCCAAGTCTTCATTTTTTTTTTAAGGAAAGTAGGCTTCAAGCAACATAGTAGTTACTATCAAAATAGGAATATCTATTTATCATGATTACTCTGGCAGCCTACGGAAAGGCAGTAGTTCTGAGGCATTAGATCAGAACTCTGTGTTGCTCCAAGCTTTGGGTAGTTCATAGAATTGAAAACATATGTATGTGTGTGAAAGGTAGACAGAGACAAAGAGATGGAGATGGAGAGAGACAGGGAGAAAGAGAGAGAGACAGAGAGAGAGAGAGAGACAGAGAAACCGAGAGAGAGGCAGAGCGAGAGACAGAGAGACCAGAGAGACAGAGAGACAGGCCAGAGAGACAGGGACAGACCAGAGAGACAGGGACAGAGACAGAGAGAGAGAGACAGACAGAGAGAGACAGACAAAGACAGAGAGACAGACAGACAGACAGAGACAGAGGCAAAGGCAGAGTGAGAGACAGAGGGACAGACCAGAGAGACAGGCCAGAGAAACAGGGACAGACCAGAAAGACAGGGACAGACAAGGACAGAGACAGAGATAGAGACAGAGAATCAAGGGGTGGTTTCTATTTAGAGTTCAGCTATGTTCCTGAATATCACTAAATCCCTCAGCCTTTATGAAAATAAGTTAAAGGGAAGAGTAAAAGTATTATGAAAATACTTTATGAAAATAAGTTAAAGGGAAGAGTAAAAGTATTAACAATGTGAATGGACTTAATGCCACTGAACTGTACACTTAAAATGGTATCTTAGATTATGTACATTTTACCAAAATTAAAAGATTTGTACATTTTCCCAAAATTAAAAAAGATTATATACATTTTAACAAATTTACAACTTGTACAAATGTACAAGATTATGTATATTTTACCAAAATTAAAAAAAAATTCTGCCTCTCCTTGAGAAAAAGTACTATAATCACATTAAGACATTGCACATTGGCTGAGCTCTAAATTCTTATTTTGATGTCAACTATTTTCACATATTAAGCAAGGATAAAAATTTTCCTGTGGTTTTGAGATAGTTTCCAAGGTTCTTCACTCAGATTTATAAGACTTAACATAAATATTTCAATGGCATGGCAAAAAAAAAAAAAGTGTATCAGGATACCTTTCCACTTAGTCTCAAAGTTCACACGAGGCTCTTGGGATTCAATATCTCAGTTCCACAAAATTGCAAGCAAAGTACATTTAATAATTAGGCTGATAAGCCCTCCCTTCATGTATTCTCCATGAGTTAGTATTAAATGAAGGACTGATTTTCTTATGTTTTTAGCCACTTACTCTTATAAGATGAAATTGAGCAATAAAATGTATCAGAATATTATAAAAGACAAAACATTGAAAGATAATATCAGTGCTTAATCCTATCACTTACTAAAGGTGACAGAGTATTTAATGACTCTGCTTTGTAGTTGAGTTATTATAAAATAACATAGTTACACTAGATTGTTAGGACCATTATAAATCTATATGTTTTTATTCTAAAATAAACATTACATTCAAAATATTAAAACATTTTAAAGTACTCATTAAAATATTTGTGTAAATACTAATTTGGGGTTTGTTTACAATTATACTTATGGGTGAATCATGTTATATTCTCTAAAGTCTATGCTTCTGCAGAAGCTTCTCATAAGCAAAGGTAAAGCTAAAACATTCCAAAGGAATCAAATCTGCTGGACTTACCTAGAGGTGGAACACTCCAAATGGATTTCCTGAGGGTCATGATCTATATTCCTTGGGGTAAAGTACAGCTCGGTTTGAAAAAGGAGAGTTTCCTCAGAAACTACCTAGGAGAGCATGAAGTTTCAGTGGAAGATATTTGGAGTAACAGATGAGGAATACACACACTTGAATAGGATGTAAAAAACATTCATGATCTCAAAAATGGCTACTGTCATTCTTAAATATAAATAAAGATATGACAACTCACTGGGACAGAAGAGGAGTGTTATCCCTAAGAGTGAATTTAAAATGCCTGGGGGCAAAACAATCTTAATTCATTGCAGCAAATTTAAACTGCCGCTTACAGCCATCTTTATGATTCATTAATGAAAAGGTTTCCAACAGTTCCTTTGAGAAAGGTGATTTGTAAGTCAAATAACGGAGAGTGGTTTAAAGCACAAGCTTCGGAGAGTATTCATCCTGGTTTGGTATCTAAACTACCACCAACAAGCAGTGCATCCCTGGAAAAGCTGGTAAAGCACCTTCTGAAGCTCCAAGTTCCCAATTTCTAAAATAAAATACTTTATTCAAAAATGATTGTTATTATCATTGGTCACTGGCCCAAAATATTTGTGTAGTGTGAATATAAATTGCTTAAATTTGGGAATCTGTGAGAAGATAATATCCCAGGATAACAACGCAATTTAGGATTTGTGCCTAGCTGAATGACAAGAGATTTCATTTCAATGAAAATCCACTATATATTTACACAAATCCTCATGGAACATGGATAGATTTCAAATGACCTAACATTGAACATGATGGAGCTTCCCAAGATTGGTGACCTTCCACATTAGAAGAATCACACAAAATTTAAAGCAGTCTGCTAATATTTAGTAAAATATAATAGTAGCCTAAGGGCAACTTAGAATCAGTTCCCTAGCCAATTTATAAATCTGTGATCTAAGGTCCTGTGCACACAGAATGACCCAATATTCAGTGAAAAATAATGATAAATTCCGTTGTCCCCTGCCCATAAATTACTACAATGAGAAGCAAACATTATTTTTTTAAAAGACAATTTTAATACTAGGCATAAAAGTCTGACAAAACATGCAGTATTTTTTACAAACAATCACTGTTCTTACCCTTGTCCTGATGCCACAATCACGAACAAGATATATAAACTCATATACATATGTATGTATCCGATTTGCAGGGCAGCCCATTCCCAGATGTAATTCATCCGCAAATATATACAGATTTCTGCTTTCTGCAACTGGGATAACTGAGACCATCAACCAGTCCAGAGAGCAACTTATTTTCACTGTGGAAAGAACCATATGAAAAGCATCAGAAGGGTGTCTATCTTAAGAAAGTGTTCAAAGAATAGTCAACTCTGCCCTCTGTGATAAATAAAAGGCATTTATTTCTCTGGCAAGGGTAACCATGGCTTAAAGGTTTTCTTACAAACATTATTAAAATTATTTTCCAAAATACCTAACTAATTATGCCCCCATGTAACTAGATTTCAGCAATTTCATGGAGGAGGTGGGAGGATCAACATGCAAGAATAAGAAAAAGCATAAATGGGCCGGGCGCAGTGGCTGACGCCTGTAATCCCAGCCTTTTGGGAGGCCGAGGCGGGCGCATTACAAGGTCAGGAGATCGAGACCGTCCTGGCTAACACAGTGAAACCCCGTCTCTACTAAAAATACAAAAAATTAGCCGGGTGTGGTGGCAAGCGCCTGTAGTCCCAGCTACTCGGGAGGCTGAGGCAGGAGAACGGCGAGAACCCAGGAGGCGGGGCTTGCAGTGAACCAAGATCGCGCCACTGCACTCCAGCCTGGGTGACAGAGAGAGACTCCAAAAAAGAAAAAAAAAATAAGAAAGAAAATGAAAAACCATAACCGTATAGCCCCTTAATATTTCCTAAATATTCCATGGAGGGGGATATATTTAGGACAAAACATAAGGGGCAGAAGTGAATTGCAATGTGTTAGAATAAAAGCGATATCATCCCAGTATACTTTTGGAAAGAGAAAGAGGAGAAAGGGTGGTTCTAGAACAGTAGAATTCTTGTCTAGAGCAGCCAGAACCAGAAACAATCTCAGCCATAAAAGGAAAAAGAGAGAGAAAGCCCTTTATTTGGGATGTTAGCTCCATGCACGTTTTGTTGTAAAACCCATCTTTATCCTCTATATTTAAATCGTCAGTAAGTCAATAATAATCATTATTTGCAATAGATTCATTTGGAGGAACTGAGTCTTTTCAGCATTAAAAGGTACATATTTAAATTATTAATGAGCAAGTGGCCACAGAGGACTCCACCACCACTGGAGCTTGGAAGTTCCGCCTTTAGAGAGAAATCATCAACAAGGTAAGACAATGCACATTTCAGAAAAGGTGTAGAGGCAAATGTCCTGCATTAGTGATCATAACCTTTAAATCACGTCTCTCTACGTGTTTGAAATACTGTTCTCACATCACCTAGGAAAGATGATCAGGAAGGTCCTTCCTAAAGGAAAATAAATTCCAGCAGCTAAGATTAAAGATGGATGGAAAGGAGAAGTGGGCATGACACACAGAAAGCCCATACTTATGATTTCACTGCATTTTTTTTCACAGTAACATTAGAAAGTCGAGTTTTGGGGGGGTTTTTTTGTTTGTTTGTTTTGAGACGGAGTCTCGCTCTGTCACCCAGGATGGAGTGCAGTGGCGCTGTCTCCGCTCACTGCAAGCTCCGCCTCCCAGGTTCATGCCATTCTCCTGCCTCAGCCTCCCGAGTAGCTGGGACTACAGGCTACAGGCACCCGCCATCACGCCTGGCTGACCTCGTGATCCGCCCACCTTGGGCTCCCAAAGTGCTGGGATTACAGGCGTGAGCCACCGTGTACCCAGCCTGTTTTTCAGACGGAGTTTTGCTTTTTTTTTTTTTTTTTTTTGAGACAGAGTCTCGCTCTGTCACCCAGGCTGGAGTGCAGTGGTGTGATCTCAGCTCACTGCAAGCTCCGCCTCCCGGGTTCAAGTGATTCTCCTGCCTGAGCCTCCCGTGTAGCTGGGATTACAGGCGCCCACCACTACACAAGGCTACTTTTTGTATTTTTAGTAGAGACGAGGTTTCACCATGTTGGCCAAGCTGGTCTCGAACTCCTCCTGACCTCTGGTGATCCACCCGTCTCGGCTTCCCAAAGTGCTGGGATTACAGGTATCAGCCACCGTGCCCAGCCAGAAACTCAGTTTTAGTCTGACGTTCTATCAAATAGCTGAGAAAAGCCTGAGAAACACACATAGATACTTTCACTGCAGCAGAATCTTCCTTTGCTCAGGCTTCCTGAAAGACAGTTAGGGCCTAAACACCCTACCCACCCTAAATAGCCAGAATTCACAGTGGCTCTTTCTCTCCATGTGCTGTTCATTTCAATAATTAACTGTTAACTGTTACCTGGTGAGCTTCACTGATCTAGGCATTCTTAAAATTCATCTTAGGTAAAATGGAAAAATATCAGGAGCTATATGTGATCTTTGCTTCCAAAGGTATTACAGGCCAAATGGGTAAGAAATTGACGTATCAGTTTCAAAGAAAAACCCCCTTTCAAATTACCAAAAAAAGTCTACAAAAAGAAACCATAAAGAACATAAAAAGTAATATTGAAATGCTACTTTACAGATTACATTTAGTCAGGCCTTGGAGCTGGCAAGCATTTGGATTCCAGGCAAAACAGAAAAGATACATTGGAATCAACTTGTAGACAGCAACGCGCTGACTTAGCTTTCTCCTATTAACTTTGCAGAACCGTTGATGAGTTTAACATGGGTGAAGTTCAGAGCAGTCTTTTTAAGGGAACAAAACAGCAATAATATCAGCATTAAGCAAAAATATGAGTCTGGAAGCAGGAAGATCAGCTAAGATGCAACTGAATATCTTACAATGTGATACAATCAAGCACCAGTAATTGGCAGGGGTTTGAAATGTTAGACTGAAAGAGAGCCAAGGACTATTCCTGAAGAACCTCTGAAAATGAGTCTCAAGTTAGAGAGAAGACCAAAACAGAGAGAGAGAGAAATAAAAGCCTGAGAACTGGGACATTTAGGCAGAAAGAGAAAATGTATCCTCCGTATATTGACACAAGTCTACTTGGCCTGAAAGCGCTTCTTCTTCTAGCCAGTTAGAATAAGATCAGATTTCTTCAGGGAGTAAAACACCTGCATGGAAAGCGATCATTATGATTAACTCCTTCGAGGAAGCATTCTCTAAAACTTGTTATTTACCATGGAGGTTCTCAGCACCGGTCCAAATCAAGACAGCGAGGAGCATCAAGACTTCTAACGCCATGGAGACCTTCGTCTGAGCAGACCTCCAGCACAGGACAACTCAGGAAACAAGGAGTGGCGACTGGTTTAAGTGATTTTTATATGGCATCCCATGCTCAGCTGCGTTCGTTTTCCTCCTTATTTGGGTAGTTCACAGGATGCTCTTATCACAGTGTCAGCTACCTAAAGGCTGAGACTCTCTTGATTATCCAAACACTGAAGCTCAAAGAGACATATCAAGAAAAAAGTGTTATTTGATAACAGTCTTTACAAGTCCTGTTACAAACATCAGGAGGATGGCATGGCACACAATGCTTCCAGTAAATACTAAATTACAGGAAACTGTTCTTACTAGCTAACGTTCAGGTGTTTTAAGTTTCCATCTAATATGAGAACAGCCTAGATCTTTCATACTTGAAATCAAAAGACTATTATTTCTTCATTTCTATGGGTTTGGCTGGAAGAAGCAAAGCAGACATGATAAACTGACTTGACCAGGAACATAAATCTCTAGGAGGGGACAGGCACCCAAAGGAAAGTCAAGTCTATTGGTATTAGGAAAGTTGACAATTCCCTCTCTGTTGATTCTTTCTAAATTAAGGTGTTGGTAACTTTAGTCATTTCAAACCTGAGACAAGAGAATATTTTATATGCATATATATACACATAACTGTATATGTATAATAATTTATATTTATGATTTTTTCAATACTGAAGTAGAATAAAAGTTCCAGCCAAAGATTTTTATTGTATTTTTTTAAAATGTTAGTCACGGCCTGAATGTGACTGCGTGGTTTTAAGGGTAATTGAAAATCAAAGGCTAACAGTAAATAAAATTCAAAGAGGCTGAATTAAATGCCTATTATTGCTTTTAGTCATATCTGAATTATATTTTCAATGTTACAGTCTGCTGTCAAATGACTACATGCACAGAGCTTCCCTATGCATTTAAGAAGGACTTCTATTTCTGACATTACATTCTCTTGTGGACAGTGAGATCCCCAAAGCTGTGACCCACACAGTGCTCTGCATCAGGAAAGCCTGGAGAATCCAGTCGCCCAACCACCAATGGGGAAAGAGTATTAGAGAAAGAGAAGGGCAAGTCTACATGTTATTTTTTCATCTTTCATTTCTTTAAACATTTTTCTGATGTTAAGAACATTTTCAGGATCTAAAATTTATTAACTTCATATGCAGCTTTTAAATCTTGCCTATGTAAACATCTAATATTGTTCCAAAAGGAATCATTGGCCAGTTTCTTGTATTTCAGTTTGAGAAAGTTAAACAAGCTAAGGCTGCTGTTCATACGCTGTAAAAAGGAGATATATTCTCTCTAAACTTATTGTGAATAAGACATAGCAAATGTAAACTGTCTTGCTCAAGTCAATAGCGTACAAAAAATATCTAATATATGACTATTTCCTGTATCTTGAAGCACAGTTAGTAACAGGACTTTATGCAATGTTTCAAGGATTACTCAAAGCCGCAGAATGAACAAAGTTCATTTTCCAAAAATTCCAATTTTAATACAGAATTTTACTGTGAAACAGTAATGGAATTTAAATATAACTTTAATGTAAAATGGAGATAAAGCAGAGATAAAACAAATATTTTAAAACAATTTATAACTTAGGGAAATGTTGCAACTATAGTACAAAAAAACTTTCTTTTTCCTGGACCTTTTGAGAGCAGGTTGCTGGTAAGATGTTCCCTTGACTGTAAATATTTTGAAGTATATATCCAACAAATAAGGCCATTCTTCTACTAGAGTGCTTCTCAATAATTGGAACTTAGATGATGGAGGGGTCCATGGGATCAGATCTATTTTCACAATAACACATTTTCTTTTTCATAATGTCGACATTTGCACAGGTGTGCAAAAACAGTGGTGGGAAATGCTCCTGCCTCTTGAGCACCAATCAAGGTAGTAGCATAAGAATGTGTTAGTTTGTTAGTCACCATTGTATTCTTCACCCCTGTGCACTCACAGTAAAGGGAAAAAGCCAGTTTCACTTAAGTCTTGAAGCAGTAAAAAGTATCTGTTTTATTAAATGCCAACCGTTGAATGCATGCCTTTTTACTATTCAGAGTGATAAAATAGAAAGTATGCATAATACACTTTTGCTGCGTATCAAAGTATGAAGAGTGTCTCAAGGAAAATCTGTGCAGTTATTGGAGCTGTGAGCTGAACTAGCCACTTGTTACATAGAACACCATCTTTACTTAAAGAATGACTATCAGACAAACAATGATTATTCGCCCGTGGGTATTCGACATTTTTTGAAATTGAATGATGTAAACTTGTCACTTCAAAGAAAACAACTAACAACAATTAAACTCAGTGATAAAATTCAAGCTTAAAGGAAAAATTAGCATTTTGAAAAAGTTGTATTCTCTACTATGAGCTTGGAAGCTCACTGGTGATATCTTAACTATGATTTCTTGTATTGCATAATAAAATATCATCACTTAAAACATCTGCATAACTCTGAACTAAAATTTTCCCAATTATCTGCACATGATGTTACAGAAACATTCATGGGCAAAGTACAAGAGGGACCAGTGGATTTTAATGGGAATAAGTATGAAGAGTTTATTGATATATTTTCAGATCCCATGTTGCAACAAACCTCGAAGATACTGCCCCTTAGTAAGTTTTGGTGCAGTATCAAAAAAAAAAAAAAAGCCACAATTATCTGAAAAGGCTTTTAAAATACTCTCCTTTTTTCCAACCACGTATCTGTGTGAGGCAGGGTTTTCTTTATGTACATTAACCAAAGTGACATATTACAAAGACCGAACGCAGAAGCAGATATGATAATCCAATTTTCTTCTAGTTAGCCAGACAAGAGACTTGCAAAAATGCGAATATAAAATGATGTCACTCTTTTTTTGGAAAACAGTAATTTTTCACTAAATGTTCACTATTTTATGTTAACACCTGTTGGGTTTATTAGCTATTTTAATTATTTAATAAATATTTTTAACTCAGTTTTAATTTCTAATGTGGTAATGTGGATGGATAAAGCCCATATAAATAAAAGCTCTTTGTAATTCAATATTTTTAACAGTCTAAAGGAGTCCTGACATCAAAAATTCTGAGCAGCATATATACCCCAAAGAAAGGAAATCAGTATATTGAAGAGATATCTACACTCCTGTTTGTTGCAGAACTGTTAACAATAGCTAAGATTTGGAAACAACCTAAGTGTCCATCAACAGATGAATGGATAAAGAAAATGTGGTACATATAAACTATGAAGTGCTATTCAGCCATAAAAAGTATGAGATCCCGTCTTTTGCAACAACGGGGATGGAGCTAGAGGCCATTATGCTAAGTAAAATAAGCCAGGCATAGAAAGACAAACATCACATGGTCTCACTTATTTGTGGGATCTAAAAATCAAAACAATTGAACTCATGGACATAGAGAGTAGAAGGATGGTTACCAGAGGCTGGGAAAAGTAGTACGGGGGAGATAGGGATGGTTAACGGGTACAAAAAAAATAGAATAAGACTATTTGATAGCACAAAAGGGTGACTACAGTCAGTAATAACGTAATTGTACATTTTAAAATAATGAAGAGTGTAATCAGATTCTTCATGATGCAAAGGGTACATGCTTGAGGAGATGGATATCCCATTCTCCATGGTGCAACTATTATGCACTGCATGCCTGTATCAAAATATCTCAGGGACCCCATAAATATATACACCTACTATATACCTGCAAAAATTAAAAAGTTTTTAAAGTCTAAGCAGCCAGCATTATTGCATTGTGGCTGCAAAGTTGTTTAACGGCTACAGAGTTACAGTTTTACAAGATGAAGAGTTCTGTTACATGACAATGTAAATGTACTAAACACTACAGAATTGTACACTTAAAATGGTTAAGATGGTAAATTTTATGTTATATGATCTTATTAAAAATAAAATTAAAACTATTACATTACATATCTAAATGTGAAAAGCAAGACTGTAATTTTTTAAGAGAAATACGTAGGACAGAATATCTTTGTGACATTCTGATAGGGAAGGCTAAAGGTGGAGGTTTGGAGTGGGAAACCTCCATTCCACAAACCTCCAAATAGGAGCATTCATGTTATACATACTTTGGTTAAACAGTGTTTTGAACAGCCACGTGAATATGTTGTAGAGGAAAATGAATAACTGAGTCTGCATTTCAGGGGTGAAGTCCAGGATAGAGATGTAACTTGAAGCCATCAGCACAGGGATGTTAGTTAAAACAATGAGATTGAATGAACTCTCCAAGGGAGTGGATATGTAGAGATGGGGTGAGCAGTTCAATGTCCAATCCCTAGGAACCCCAATAAGCTAGAAAAGAAGAGAAATATCAACCACAGAGGATCTACTAAAGACAAACAGTGATCACTGAGAAAGGATGCTATTGCAGAAGCAAGATTTTTTAAAAATTTGGCCAGAAGAATTAATATATCAATAATATACCCAGAGATACATCATACTGAGAATAATTATTTCTATTAAAACTAAGCACAAAACAAGGCCTCTAACTTTGCTATTGCAGAAAAAAAAAACTTATTGCACTCCGACAAGAGACAAAAAGTTTATATATTTGAAATAGTTACTTTTTGTTTGAGACAGGATCTCACTCTGTCACTCAGGCTGGAGTGCAGTGGCATGATCATGGCTCACTGCAGTCTCGACCTCCTGGGCTCAGATGATCCTCCTACCTCAGCCTCCTGAGTAGCTGGGACTACAGGCACCCACCACCATGTCTGGCTAATTTTTGTAGAGATGAGGTTTTGCCATGTTGCCCAGGCTGGTCTCAAACTCCTGGGCTCAAGCAATCCACCTGCCTTGGCCTCCCAAAGTGCTAGGATTACAGGTGTGAGCCACTGTGCCTGGCCTGAAATAGTTAATATCAATATTAGTTTCAGCTGATATAATCAACTTATTAAAAAAAGAGAATCAACTAACAAATTATTAAACTGATTAAAAATTCAACAAGCATGATGGATATTACTACTCAAAAAAAAACTTAAAGCAGTCATATGTGCTAATTTGGATTCATTGATCCAATTCAAAAAAAAAAAAACGAGAATAAAAGAATCCCATTAGTAATTGTTCCCGAGTTTTCATGAAACCCTGTAGAGGGCCTCATATTGGCAGTTGGTTGGCCCCATTCATTGTGTTCTACAATTTTTAGGGATACCTGATCACTAAGTTCTAAAGATAACAGTCTGTGTGCTTTGTTTCAATATATTGGTTGCACTGTCTGTTTGTGTAAGATTTGGGGCAACTCAAACTATACCACCACTGTGACCTTATCCCAATGTAAAACAACCTTTCTATGATACACATGCAGAATAAAGCAAGTGCATAAGGAAATTTTAAAGTTGTTATACACACTTTGTTCAGAGTATGCTTGGCAGAGACCCCATGTGTAATTATTTGTATTACCCAAAGCATATCTTAGCATAATGAACTCATATGTGTAAATAATTGATTAGCTTTATCAAAATTAAACAATAAATATTACAGCAGTTTTCTCTGTAGCTATCTAGGTTACACTATATATGCTAGAAGTAAAGGGATGGGAAGACTGCATTACTTAAATTCCTTTGTTAGGATTATTCGGGTGCCAGCAGTTGTAGAGGCCATCTCTGATCATACCTATCTGACACCTCCCTGTGCCCCACTTTGTCCCATTCTCTGACCAGGGCACCCACAGGACTGACTTTCAGTTTGCCTTTATTCTACATTTTGTCACAACTACTAAGGAGGACAAAACCTGCTAACTCCCCTAACCACATTAAGTTTGAGTCCAGCCTTTTTTGGAGTGATTAGCAAAAATCCTGTCTGAATACTGATGAAGAACGCAAGATAGAAAGAAAACCACAAAAACTGCTAAATTTAAAAGATGTTAAATTTTTAAGCCTGCACAAACATTAAGTGTTGACTCCCAAAGAAATCTTTCCCATCTAAATAGCACCACAAGTCACCCACTTATAGCCCCCAATCACAGGAGACATGCTTGATTCCAGTGTGTTTCTCACACTCTGTGTCCAAACCATTTGTATGTTTTAATATCCCGCAAAATATATCCTCAATTGTACCACTTCTCTTGACCCTTGGCTCTAACCTTTCAAGTCAAAAACAATTTTCGCCAACTTTCTGGTCAGCCTGTTACTGCTATGTCTCCAGGAAATTAACAAGATTCTTTAACCCAGAGACATTGTTTCTTCAATTTCACAGCTGCACAAATCCTTGTCAAAAATAAAACAGATTGTTATCCATCTGATCTCCCTTTGATACACTGTATATCCCTGAAATCATTATTATTGGAATTAGTGAATACTTACATTAAAAGTTAATTTTAAAAACTTAAGATTTTTCAAAGTATCAGACATTAAATGTCAAAAATTAAGATCTAAAACCAAAAGCATCTGGATCAAAACCTCATTCTGACATGTAGAGATTTTGGTCAATTGAATTCACCATTGAGACTTTTTAGGTTGAGTTAATGAGTACCTGCCTCATTACTGTAGTGATTGTTAAATAAATGCATGTATCCTATTGCAATGAGGGCCACAGATGGCTATTTTTAAATTTTAGGTTCAGGGGTACATGTGCAGGTTTGTTATATAGGTAAACTGCGTGTCACGGGGCTTGGTGTACAGATTAGTCACCCAGGTAATAAGCATAGTAACTGATGGGTAGTGTTCTATCCTCTCCCTCCTCCTACCCTCCATCCCTCAAGTAGGCCCTGGTGTGTGTTGTTCCCTGATTTGTCTCCACGTGTACTCAAGGTCTGGCTCCTACTTATAGGTGAGAATATGCGGTATTAGGTTTTCTGTTCCTGCATTATTTCACTTACGATTATGGCCTCCAGCTCCATCCATGTTGTTGCAAAGGACATGCCTCATTTTTATGGCTGTGTAGAGTTCCATGGTGTATATGCACCATATTATCTGTACCCAGTCTACTATTGATGAGCATTTAGATTGATTCCATGGCTTTGCTATTGTGAATAGTGCTGGGACAAACATGTGTCTTTATGGTAGAATGATTTATATTCCTTTGGGTATATAACCAATAATGGGATTTCTGGGTCGAATGATAGCCCTAAGTTTTTGGAGGAATTGCCACCCTGCTTTCCACAATGCTGAGCTAATTTACATTCCCACCAGCAGTAGGTAATTGTTCCCTTTTCTCTGCAACCTGGCAAGCATCTGTAATTTTTTTAACTTTTTTATAAGAGCCCAAAAATATCTTTTAATTGGGATTTATATTTCCAGGAGTAGTCAAAAATCTACTAGGGTTTATCGAAATGAAAGATTAGGCCAAGTGTCCTCACCCCTGTAATCCCAGTACTTTGGGAGGCCGAGGTGGGTGGATCACCTGAGGTCAGGAGTTCAAGACCAGCCTGGCCAACATAGTGAAACCCCATCTCTACAAACATACAAAAATTAGCCAGGCATGATGGGTGCCTGTAATCCCAGCTACTCAGGAGGCTGAGGTGGGAGAATCATTTGAACCCGGGAGGCAGAGGTTGCAGTGAGCCAAGATCGTGCCCATTGAATCCCAGCCTGGGTGACAGAGCGAGACTCCATCTCAAAAATCAAATAAAAAAGAAAGGTCAGGCCAAGTCATGCTGCATCTTTAATTTTACTCAAGGTGGAAAGAAATAAAAATAGTAAAAGAATCACATATATTCAGATGACAAAATTTTACTGTCATTTTCATTTCAAAAACAAAAGTATTCAGTCCCTTCAACCAATCCCAGCTCTTTTCCAGCTTCAGCTGTCTTGGGAAGGATTGAAGATCAGGAAATTGACATAGTTAGGTACCTGTTAGTCAACCAAGCCCAGCAGCTCAGCTAAGTTATTTAGCAGTTCTAGATGACTCAAATTTAGATGTCTTTGTATTCTCTTGGAACAAAAATCCCCATTTCTAGAGGGGAAAGAGAGGTACTTTCAGATTTAGCAAAAATAAATTGTGTCTAAAGAGGTGGAGAGAGACCTTTTTCACATTTTCTTGTGTCCATGAGTTTTTCTCCCTCCCAGGAGCAAGAAGTCTAGCCATAAGAATGTTCTGCCCCAACTACATTTTCCCTATGGAAGAAGACTGACCCTGCTTTGAGTAAAGATCATTTGTGTGCATGCATCCCTGCTCATGTATGTGGTACTTTCTGGTTCAGGCTCCCTGGAATGAGTTTGGCACCTGTACTCTTTTACAGTATACTCAAAGGCACAAGACTTCACTTCCAGAGATATACTAAGCAATTTAAATTAAGAGAAGAATTAGATATCTTTCCACCTGGGATGCAAGCTGTGATCAGCATGATCTGAGTTTTGAGCACTTTTGTGTTGGAATAAGCAGCTATTGTGGAGCCTGCCGTCCCTCTAAGGGATTTTCACTGGGCCTGGGACACTGTGCTATATGGAAGCTGGGAGCGAAGTTGTCACTTGGTTCCAGGTTCTTTATTAGAATAAATCATTTCCCTGTTCTGGGTACACAAGGCACATTCGCTGTATTGCTTAAGGTGTGGGTGTCACATGGCACTTGGCTGGTATCGGTATAGGTATACCTACCCCCTGTGGTAAGGTATCAGGGTCTTTGCCTACAGCTCCAGAGGGGTGCATGCATCCCCCACTTTGCATTGGCTATCAGGAGGGACCTACATGGGAGACTAATACACACAACAAATGCTGATTTTGCTTCATCTTTTCTCCTTGCTTCACCTTTCCTTCTCTCCGGACACACAAAAAAAGACACTGGTTCCAACCAGTGCCTTGTGTGTGCCAAGTCATCCTTGGCAACTCCAAGATAGATTCAGTGGGTCTAGATATGTGAGCTCCCACTCCTGGTGCTTGGCACTATTATTTTTGCCACCCTCCATGCAATGGGAATTCTTATTTGGGATTCATAGCTGGATCTCCCTACTCGACATTTTGCCGATCAATTCAGGAGCCTCAAAAGGAAGAGCAAGTCATCTTGTTCACTAAGAAAATCTCCACCAAAGCACTGATGGTGGGAAGGGTGGTGTGACAGTGTAGTTGTGGCCCTGTATGGTTACAACACTTTCAGAATTAGGCCAAAAAGCAACTGAAATATTTTCTTCTAGATTCTTGCTTTATCAAGGTAATAGAAAAGAAATGCACAATGTCAAAATAAGTTTACAATGTTTCCTCATGAGACATTATCAGGAAACAGAAAAGAAAAAAGCAGTATAGAAAGCCACAGATGAAGGGCTCATGGGAAAATCCTCCTTTTGAGTGCATTATAAAAGAGGGAGACTTCAATATATTTCACTAAGACACGGTTACGAAGAATAATGGGTAAAACTAAAGTGAGCAACTAAATCATAAAAATGCTGAATGTTAATTCAGAAAAGAACACACTGGGTATGGGCAAGCTTTATTATGTATGAGCTTGATTTCAGAGTTAGAATGGCAATTTCACTTAAAATTAACTCATTAAAAAGTATAAATATCATGGTATAGATATGTTATTCAAAACTCCAAAATGTAGTGAAACTGGTAACAGATGTTGCTACTCATCTTTGTACAGACACATCAACAGTATTGATGAAACTGGTTTTCAGACAAGATGTATCACTTGTTCCCTTGCTTTAGGGAGGAGAGGGTGTTATAACACAGGCATTATTGATACAGTGACTTCTTGGATAGTTGCTCCTGTAGGATAGGGGGGAAAAGCAGTTAAGAGCTGCTTAAATATAACCTTACCTAAAAAGAAAACACGTTCAGAGAACTCATGGGTGCTCAATTAGAAGTAATGTGGAAAAAAAAATCACATTTCTACCCTAAAATGTAATCTATGGAACTAACCAGCTATATCAAATATAACCATTAGATATTATGCTATTAGAAGTGATTAGCATCTATGTGTTGGCTAGATGACTGCCTTTCTGAGACTATCAAGTAATTACATCATACATTTCAACTTTGATTTTAAGTGGTTTTCAGATCTCTAGAACAAAGCTTATTTCTTTATGAAATGTCAACTTCAAGGCTATTGTCAATATGCACAAGTTTTCTGACATCCTTTTAAAATAAGCTCAGTAGAAAAATCCTGATTAAAAAGAGTGTTTTCTACAGGTATTAATCTTAGGAAAAGTGCGAATTAGATGTAGTGACTTCCTCTGAATTTAAGCCTAGTTTACCTATCTGCCTACTTATTTTATACACATATATGTATATAGACATGTTTTTCTACAAATATTAGTATGAAATTAGAGATCTGGTATGGGCCTTCTATGACAACAATTTCATTTTGTCACAGGCTATATTGAAAATGAACAGTTTAGTACCTGAGAGAATAGGTAAGGAAACTGACCAGTATGGAACCTATTCATGTTCATCTGCAACAAGAAAATGATAACTATATCCAAGTACAGACTACGGTACCTAATTCTACAGGGTTCATATTAAAACCAGAGCAATTTCAGCATGCAGCATTCAAATAGGAATTTACATCATTGCCTTCCTTGAAGTTATATTTAACAAATTGTGGTTAACTATAAAATAAACAACCTTAATATTCTCACCTTATTAACACTGTTAAAATTAAGTGTCCATGTTTTACTTTGTGTGGGAGTTGGTGACTCTTGTCCTTTTGTTTTTTGAGGGATTTCTTTCAAGGTGTGGGCATCAAACCCACTCATTCCAAAATGCATCACAGAGGGGAATTTAAGCCTAAATGCAGAGCAAACAAAAGAAAAGCACAGGATTAATAGCTGTACAGATTTTTTGTGGGAAAAATATGTATTAGATAGGTTCGTTATAAGTGATAACCCAAAATAACTGACTTGTGGAGGAAAGGCAAAGTAGCTCAGTAAATCTAAATAAAGAGTTTGTAACAGAACCTTGAATAGGATGGTACTTATTGATCCAGAATTGATCCTTGACTTGACTTTGAGGCTCCGGGGTCAATAAAAGTTTTGAAGAGCAAAATGATTGTTAGATGTGACAAACATTCTATCTATGCTGAATGGACTATGACTCAACCAAGCCAGGCCACACACACACATCCCAAGATTAGAAATTGAAAACAGAGACCCATATGTATGCAAAAAGATGCTACCACCAAAATCTTAGGCAGGAAATAGAGACATAGACACACCCCATTCCAAGGTTAAAAAGGATTTCACCACCTTTAACTACCATCTCAACCCTTCCCCATCCTATCTTAGGAGTTGTAGTGTTTATTCCCACTGCTGCTCTTTCCTTCCCTGCATGTAAGAAAAAGGAATGTGGTTTGCTCGTCTCTCAAAGCCAGCATGTAGGCAGTTCCAGGAGAATGATTCAGATTCAGAGTACATGTGTAAAGGGAGGCTAAAATCTCATTCAAATTTTCTATATCTCTTGTTGAATTTAGAAGGGCTAATATGTCCTGGCCTATTTGATCTGGGAGAAAAATGGACTGCGAATAGATAAGGCATAATAGCCTTTACTTCTATAATCTGCTATTGAAACCATTTTTTTTTGAGAGCTCAGTGGATGCCTATATAGACGGCAATATAGTTCAATCCCATCTGCTAAGATTCCCCTTAAGACGGCCAGCACCAAGTGAGAAATCCAAGGATCAAATCTGATGTTCATGATAGACCCACTCAAAAAGTCATTAAGTGAGGAAGACCGGCATTTGGACCCACCGTGGAGAAGGCATCTATGCTCAGTGTTGGCCAAAAGACCCCTACAACAATTTCAGCAAAGAGATATTTTCTCTTTTCATGTCTTAATACCATTACTCTATCCCAGCAAACACAGGAAAAGTAGGGGAAGAGAATAGATTTTAAAACCACAGAAAGATCACATTTAAGAATATACTCCAAAACTCAAACCCCAGCGTAGCTGGAACTGGAAAGAAGGGAAGGAAGAAAACTAAGTATGAAAATCTAGTATTAAGTTGTATTCCACTAGGCTTCACAAGTCTAATAACCAGAAAATGAACTTCAAGATGATGTCAAACATTGAGGAAAAATTTACATTGCATAAAAGCAGTGATTACACGCCAGGTGCAGTGGCTCATTCCTGTAATCCTACCACTTTGGGAGGCCGAGGCAGGTGGATCACTTGAGGTCAGGAGTTCGAGACGAGCCTGGCCAACATGGTGAAACCTCATCTCTACTAAAAATATAAAAATTAGTCTGGCATGGTGGGGTATGCCTGTAATCCCAGCTACTCTGGAGGCTGAGGCAGGAGAATCGCTTGAACCCAGGAAGCGGTGGTTGAAGTGAGCTGAGATCGCACCACTGCACTCCCGCCTGGGCAACAGAGTGAGACGCCGTCTCAAAAAAAGAAAAAAAAAACAGTGACTACGAAACTACTTTCTGCAAGTTTAGACTATCTGATAATTAAAAGGTGAATATGACAATATCAACTGCAAAAAGGCAACTAGATCTCAGGAATCAGAAGTAGGAATTTAAATGACATGTAACTTATCACCACATTTATATGCTCATTGCCTTGACTCCATTGCCATAAGTACCACTTCTTTCCATGATCCAAAAGGAGGAGACTAACGGCTTTTTTTTTTAAAGACAATCTCACTCTGTCACCCAGGCTGGAGTGCAGTGGCGCTATCTCAGCTCACTGCAACCTCCACCTCCCAGGTTCAAGCGATTCTCCTGCCTCAGCCTCCCAAGTAACTGAGATTATGGGCATGTGCCACCAGGCCTGGCTAATTTTTGTATTTTTAGTAGAGACAGAGTTCCACCACATTGGTTAGGCTGGTTTCGAACTCCTAGCCTCAAGTGATCTGCCTGCCTTGGCCTCCCAAAGTGCTGGGATCATCTTTTTTTTTTTTTTTTTTTTTTTTTAATATCATAGCCTTTACCTGCTTAGAGGCTGACAAGTTTACAAAGGCTGTTTGAAAAACTAATTGGCATTGTCCAAGTCAGGTGCTAACCCCTGGGTCAATAAAGTGGAAGAGGATAGGAGGTGCCTATAACAATATAGCAGCTAATATTATAGACAGAGGTTGAGAAGACATTGGGGGCTGGAAGAACAAACATATTTTCTCAGATTAAAAGAGGATACAACAGAGGTACATTTTCTACCCCGTTCCAGGAAGTATGGGGGACTCATACCAATTTGTAAAAATTCCTCATGGTCAGGGAAGCATGTTCTTTAAAAAACCAAAGACTACCACCAAAATCTTAGCCAGGCAAGAGAGGGAGACACCCCATTCCAAGGCTAAAAAGCAGTTAGATTCCACCACCTTTGGCTATCATTTCAACCCTTCACCATCCTACTTTAGGAGCTGTAGTGTTCATTCCCACTGTTAAATCTTTCCTTCCGTGACAGTGAGGAAAAGGAATGTGGGGGCGGGAGTGGGGAAAATGAGAAAATTACCTACTGGGGACTATGCCCAGTACCTGGATAGCAGGGTCAATAGTATCTCAAACCTCAGAATCATGCAATGTACTTATGTAACAAACCTATATATGTACTCCCTGGATCTAAAATAAGAGTTAAAATTTAGAAAATTAAAAATAAAGGTTAGAACCACTTTAAGATCAACATGAATGTTTATGATATTTAGCTACTGTCTGGTTAACAATTGTGTTTATCCTGATGTAGCAACACTGTCGATTAGTAAATCTTTATTACAGAAAAATCTAAGTCTACACTGTGCAAATGTTACCACTAACCACATGCTGCTACTGAGCACTTGAAAAAATAGCTCGTGCAACTCAATTTTTTGTTGTTTTAATTTTAGTAATTTACATGTAATATTACCAGTGGCTACTGGTTACTATGTTAGACAGCAAAGGTTTAGAGATGACTGGCGAAGTTTGAAGAACAGAGGTTCCTTTTAAAAGCTGATTTCAAGTCATTCCTTGCAGGGTGCCTTAATTTTGTCTGACCTTTTCCACCCTTCAAGAAGTATAAGGATATAGTGAGAATTTGTTTGAAATCATCCTGAACAGCTGAAAATGGCATTGCTAAGTTGCAAATGAACTTAGGTAGTCAAGATAAAGATCAAATAGATCATTAAGACATAAATAAGAGCCCAGAGAAATCCAAGCTTATAAGGTCATTGATATAACGAAAGAGTCAGAGCAATTCAAGGATGAAAGAAATTTCATTTCAGTTAATGGTACTGTATCAACAGGATGTCCCTATGGAGAGGGAAGAATCTTGACCTTTCTTACACTACATGCAAAAATTAAGTTCAGATGGATTATAAACCCAAATATATTCAAAACCATAAAACTTCTAGAAGAAAATAACACTTGGCAATAGCAAGGAATTTTACGACAGAACAGAAAGCAATAACTAGAAGGAAGAGTCTATAAATTAAACTCCAAAATTAAAGACGTCTGCTCATCAAAAAACACATTAAGAAAATTAATAAGCAATGTGGGGACTGGGGCGAAATACATCTGACAAAGTCCTGGTCTTTAAGATATGAAGACCACTTACAACTCAAGACAGATGATGCAGAGTAAAAATGAACAAAAGACATGGCTCACAAGAGACATAAAAATGGCCAATGAGCACTAATAATTAGTTATCAGAAAATGCAAATTAAATATGACTATGCACCTATTCAGATGGTTAGAATAAAAAACTGACATCAGAGGGTGAAACCACTGGACTCCCATACATTCCTCGTATTAGTGCCAAAAAGGACACCTTATTTTGGGAAAATATTCATCATTTCTTACAAAACTAAACATACTCTATGATCAAGCAGTCCCATTCTTAGGTATTTAAAGGAAACAAAAACATACACCCAAAGATATGCAAACATATGGTGATAGCATATTTATTCATAATAGCCAGAGACTGAAAACAGCACAAGTCTTCATCAAATAATACGTATCTAATGAAATATACCACTCGGCAATATAAAGAAACAAGCTACTGGAATATACAACATAAACGAGTTTCAAACATTCTGCTGAAAGAAATAAGCTAGACACAAAAGCATACATGCTGCGATTCTATTTCTACAAAGTTATAGAAGAGACAAGAACAGTGAGGTGTGGCTGCAGGAACCAACTGGGAAGATCCACTTTCTGCAGCAATCAGTCTTACTCATGTCAATAGGGTTTTATGTTAAACATAAAGCTCAGTTGACAAATGCATTAACTTGTGTAACATTTATATATTAATTGCATGTGAGTTCTTCTTCAAGTAAATTATTGATCCTTGATTCATGATACGCATGCTGAAGCACTTAGGGAAAAGTGTACTCATGTCTTCAATTGGAAGTGCATCAAAATTGATAGATGGGGAAATGATTGTGTAACAAAGTTTAGCAAAATGGTAGAATCTAGGTACTATATATAAATTCCTTCAATTCTGTACATTTGAACATTTTCCTTAGAGTTAGAGAAACTTTAGAAATTTATGCCATACACATCCCTCCAGGGCATTTTTATAGCTGCATTCTTAACAGAAACATCTATCAACCAAATAATAAATTTAAGAATGTGTAAGAGAAGTAGCTACTCATACCTCTTCACAAAGCAAACCACTGGAAATTCATAGGTAGTATGCAACCTTGGTTTGTAACTGATCTCTGATAATATGGCGTCATCATTTGTTTGGAACATCTGAAACAATTGAGAGTTTTAATACTAGAAGGCATTAAATTCTTTTGGTGGCTTAATGATCTTAATAGAATCTGCTTTAGGAAAATCCGGAAATGGCATTTTACATTAATTTAACAGATATAAAATAGTAGACCTCATGAGAAATACTTTATTCTCCTTTTTCTCCTGGTCCTTCAACTTCTTTGCCCCCATCTCTAATACCAGATGGGGGATAGGAGAAAATTGTCTCTGGGTCTGTTTTAAAGTATATGTGCTTTTTCCAAAGTAGTACAATTGCATATATTCATAAACAATGTTCCCAGCTATTAAAATCTGACAGCAGATGGAGGTAGTAAAACTGAGAAGGCACAGACCGTACCTTATGACTTTGAGACAGAGTTTCACTTATCACCCAGGCTGGAGTGCAATAGTGCCATCTCAGCTCACTACAACCTCTGCCTCCCAGGTTCAAGTGATTCTCCTGCCTCAGCCTCCCAAATAGCTGGGATTACAGGTACCCACCACCACACCCAGCTAAATTTGGTATTTTTAGCAGAGACTGGGTTTAACCATGTTGACCAGGTTGGTCTCAAACTCCTGACTTCAGGTGATCCACCCACCCCAGCCTCCCAAAGTGGTGGGATTACAGGTGTGAGCCACCATGCCCAGCCCCTTATGACCTTTTTAAAGTCCCTTATCTGAAATGTCCCAATTAAGTAGATAAGCACCTGGTCCTATCTAACAATTGATCACTGCAAGAGATAGGAAGATGCTTGAAAATTTTAATTAGGAAGGAACTTTTGATACTATGTAGCCCTGAAAAAAAAATTCAGTATATGTTTTAGGGAAAAGCATCATGGCACTTACAATTTTCTTGATCCCACAAGAAGTGACAGGATAAGAAAACGCGTAGTTAAATGACAACAGTCTTGTTACAGGACAGTTATCTCTCAGGTGTATGTCGCCAATTCTAATGTCTGTGTTCTTATCAAAAGGCCTTATTTTCATTCTGACTAACAACCAATCATCAGAGCACATTGCAGTTATTGCTAAAAGAAAAAAAATCCAAAAAGTAATATGGTAGTATACTTCCTCCCAAGACATTACACTATCAGTGCTGACAGACAAATATAACACAAGCTACATGGGTAGCGTTCAGTCTCCTATTAGCCATGTTCAAAAATAAGCAGGTATAGGCCAGGCACAGTGGCTCATGCCTGTAATCCCAGCATTCTGGGAGGCCGAGGCAGGTGGATCACCTGAGGTCAGGAGTTCAAGACCAGCCTGGCCAACATGGTGAAACCCATCTCTACTAAAAATGCAAAAATTATCCAAGCATGGTGGCGTGCCCCTGTAATCCCAGCTACTTGGGAGACTGAGGTGGGAGAATTGCTTGAGCCCAGGAGGCAGAGGCTGCAGTGAGTCGAGACCATGCCACTGCACTCCAGCCTGGGCAACAGAGTGAGACCCCCATCTCAAAAAAAGACATTAAAATTAAAATTTAAAAAAGCAGGTATAGTTTAAAATATATTTCATCTAAGCTAATATATCCCAAATATGATCATTAACATGTAACAAAACAAAAATTGAGATTAGATTTCTTATACTAATTTTCTGGAACTGATGTGTGTTTTGTATTTGTAGCACAATTCAAATTGGCCACACTTCATGTGCTCAAAAGCCCCTTGAGGGCGGTGGCTGCTGTGCTACTCTGTACTTTACACAGCTGCAAAAATCCACAGAGAGGTTAGTTGGTTATTTAATTTCTTTGCAACCATTTATTCATATTTAGAGTGAACGTAGTCATTATTATCTACCTTTTAGGGTTCTGTGATGATTAAATGAAATAAGGCATATAAAAGATCTTGGAACACTGCCTAGAACTTAAATGCTCAATTAATGTTTATTAAGGTAAAAACAATTTAATGGTCTTTATATAAGACACTACCACCACCAATTCCTTCCATAGAGATAGATCTCCATCCATCCATCCTCAGTATCAATTAAACTAAACCTGATCAGAATTTAATACTATATAAAAGATTAGGTTTCAGAGTCCAATCTTCTCATATTAACCTGAAGAAGCTGTGGCTATATCCTAGGAACATTTTTACAATATCAGGCACACAGTGACATTTCACATTTTACTATTATCTCTCCCCACCCCTAGGGGAAAAAAAAAAAACCACATCTTCATCTCTTTATCCCCATATGGCATGTATTTGGTCTTCAGTATGAATTTTAATTAAATAAGTGACTAGTCCAACCACAGAAGACATTGACCCAGGTTTTAATCCCAGGACAGTTGGCAGTATCCAAGGATCTACAGAACTCTGTCTTCCGTAAAATGTTTGGCTTAGAATGAGCCTTATTTGGCCTAGAAACCTGAGGTTACCAACTTGATACATGCTTTTTGGGACAGCTAGAAGAACAGAGACGCAAGTACAACATGGAACTCAGCATTTAGAATTTTGAGAAACCATTTTCCTAGAGAGATTAATAGCATAAGTTATTCATATAAGAAAGTTGATAGATACTGATAGTAAATACAGTGATGACAGCTGCAGAAGTGAAGTTTAGGGTGAGGATGAAAAAAAATCTGCAATCCACTTACCTCATAGCAGCAGGACTATGGTACAATGTCCTTCTTGGTCCATGTCGAAACGGGAATTGTAATTACTATCAAGTCCCTCCTTTTATTCAGACTAAGAAAGGAGCTGTAGCCTATGTATTTTCTGTTTGTATCCCAAGGATAGATATATTTATCTTAAAAAGCAAAGCTTGCAGGGCCAGGCTGTCATTGAGGGGTTAATATGTTAGACCACAAGCCTGTTCCCATGGGGATTCCCACATTTATTGTCACATTAAATAAGAAGTTCTGCTGTTTATGTACCAATTCCTAGGTCAAATTTCACCACATTCTTTTTTTTTTTTTTTTTTTTTTGGAGATAGAGTCTTGCTTTGTCACCCAGGCTGGAGTGCAGTGGCAGGATCTTGGCTCACTGCAACCTCCACCTCCTGGGTTCAAGTGATTCTCCTGTCTCAGCCTCCTGAGTAGCTAGGACTACAGGCATGTGCCACCACACCCAGCTACTTTTTGTATTTTTAGCAGAGACAGGGTTTCGCCAGGCTGGCCAGGCTGGTCTCAAACTCCTGACCTCAGGTGATCCACCCCCACCTTAGCCTCCCAAAGTGCTGGGATTACAGGCGTGAGCCATGGCACCCGGCCTATGTTCTTGTTATTGAGTCTAACAAAGAAAACCTGAGATAGGACAGATAATGTCTTCATTTTCCAGATAAGAAATTAAATGCTCAAACCATTAAATTACTTGAAGAATCTTAAGTCCGGTACATAACGTGGCTGGCCCTAATACCAATCAGACAGTGATCTAGGCCATCAGTAGTCAACTCAGTCATTGCTGCAATCTAAACAGTGTCTTCTTTGTCCACTGAACATCTGTGTCTTAGGAGAGGTAGGAGTGAAAAAGTGAGAATTAGAATAACAGTAAGTGCCTGACTCAGGTTTCAGTTAATTATTCTCTATTCACAGAGAATTCTCTATTCTCTATTAATAATGCTAGTTGGTGAGTAATTTGTTTATAGCCTTACTAATCAAAGTCTGGTCCACAAATCAGTAACATCAACATCACCTTAGAACTCATTAGAAATACTGAGTTCCAGATCTCATCTCTAACCTATTGACTCGGTTTGCATTTTAATAACAAGATGACTTACATATACAAAGTTTGAGAACTGGTCTAAGAGGTACCAACATTCAGAGCTGCAAGATGACCACTGAATATAATAAAAGCAGGTAAAAACATGTGAAGAGAAGGATAGATGAGAGGCCAGATTTCTTTCACATAGCCATTCATTCAATTTTTATATAACTAATACTTTCCAGTGCAAGGATGGAAGACGTTGTGTGTGCCAAGCATTATGGCTAGACCACAGTTACAAAAATGCCATAAAAAATAGATTGGTAGTACTCTGGGAGCAGGAGCTAGGTTTTGTTTTGAAAGATGGAGTCTCCCTCTGTCGTCCAAGCTGGAGTGCAGTGGTGAGATCTCAGCTCACTGCAACCTCCACCTCCTGGGTTCAAGTGATTCTTCTGCCTCAGCCTCTGGAGTAGCTGGAACTACAAGCATGTGAGAGGTGACAGCGTGCTGGCAGCCCTCACAGCCCTCGCTCGCTCTCCACGCCTCCTCGGCCTTGGCGCCCACTCTGGCCGCTTGAGGAGCCCTTTAGCCCGCCGCTGCACTGTGGGAGCCCCTTTCTGGGCTGGCCAAGGCCAGAGCCAGCTCCCTCAGCTTGCGGGGAGGTGTGGAGGGAGAGGCGCCGGCGGGAACCGGGGCTGCTCGCTGTGCTTGCAGGCCAGCGCAAGTTCTGGGTGGGCGTGGGCTCCGCTGCCCCACACTCGGAGCCGCCGGCTGGCCCCCGCCCCCACCCGGGCAGTGAGGGGCTTAGCACCTGGACCAGCAGCTGCTGTGCTCGACTTCTCGCTAGGCCTTATCTGCCTCCTGGCGGGGCAGGGCTGGGGACCTGCAGCCCGCCATGCCTGAGCCTCCTCCCCCACCGTGGGCTCCTGCAGCGGCAGGAGCCTCCCCAACAAGCGGGGGCCCCCTGCTCCAGGGTGCCCAGTCCCATCCACCATCCAAGGGCTGAGGAGTGCGGGCACACTGCATGGGACTGGCAGGCAGCTCCACCTGCAGCCCCGGTATGGGATCCACTGGGTGAAGCCAACTGGGCTCCTGAGTCTGGTAGGGACTTGGAGAATCTTTATGTCTAGCTAAGGGATTGTAAATACACCAATCGGCACTCTGTATCTAGCTCAAGGTTTGTAAACACACCAATCAGCACCCTGTGTCTAGCTCAGCGTTTGTGAATGCACCAGTCCACACTCTGTATCTAGCTACTCTGGTGGGGACTTGGAGAACCTTTGTGTCCACACTCTGTATCTAGCTAATCTAGTGGGCATGTGGAGAACTTTTGTGTCTAGCTCAGGGATTGTAAACGCACCAATCAGCACCCTGTCAAAACGGACCAGTCAGCTCTCTGTAAAATGGACCAATCAGCAGGATGTGGGTGGGGCCAGATAAGGGAATAAAAGCAGGCTGCCTGAACCAGCACTGGCAACCCGTTGGGGGTCTCCTTCCAAACTGTGGAAGCTTTATTCTTTGGCTTTTTGCAATAAATCTTGCTGCAGCTGTTTGGGTCCACACTGCCTTTATGAGCTGTAACACTCATGCGAAGGTCTGCAGCTTCGCTCCCGAAGCCAGCCAGACCACGAACCCACCAGGAGGAACAAACAACTCCAGACGCGCTGCCTTAAGAGCTCTAATACTCACCGCGAAGATCTGCAGCTTCACTCCTGAGCCAGCGAGACCACGAACCCACCAGAAGGAAGAAAACGCCGAACACATCCGAACATCAGAAGGAACAAACTCCGGACACGCCACCTTTAAGAACTGTAACACTCACCGCGAGGGTCCGCGGCTTCATTCTTGAAGTCAGACCAAGAACCCACCAATTCCGGACACACATGCACCACTACACCTGGCTAATTTTTGTATTTTTAGTAGAGATGGGGTTTCACCACGTTGCCCAGTCTGGTCTGGAACTCCTGAGCTCAAGCGATCTTCTTGCCTAGGCCTCCCAAAGTGTTGGGATTACAGGCACTAGGTTATTTTTTTTTATTTTTTTTCTGAGAAAGAGTCTCGCTCTGTCGCCCAGGCTTGAGTGCAATGGCGCAATCTCAGCTCACTGCAACCTCTGCCTCTCAGGTTCAAGTGATTCTCCTGCCTCAGCCTCCTGAGTAGTCGGGATTACAGGCACGCACCACCATGCCCGACTAATTTTTGTATTTTTTTGTTTAGTAGAGACGGGGTTTCGCCATATTGGTCAGGCTGGTCTCGAACTCCTGACCTCATGTGATCTGCCTGCCTCGGCTTCCCATAGTGCTGAGATTACAGGCGTGAGCCACTGCACCCGGCCTACAGGCACTAGGTTTTTAACTCATTTTACTCCCTAAGTTTCCCTAGATTCGTCTAATGTGACTAAAGTACACTTAGTTCTCAATTTCATCCTTAACTACATACCCTAATTTTGGTCTCAGGGAATGGTAATAGAGAAAGACCCACATACAAAAAAGACATTAAGGCATTGAAATCTCAAAGAAAGATCAAACAAACTCAGGTGTAACAGAGAAGCCAAGTCTGATTATGAGAAAGGTAATCGCAGGTTTGAGATTTGATACTGGGTAGCCCCCCACAAATCTTATTCACTCTGAGAAGTACAAAGAGGCGGTCATTAGCTTCGGTTGTTAGAAATCAAGATTATGTGAAACGCAGCAGTGGTTTCAGCTGGTTTCAGGTCTGGCACTGGTTTTGCTTAGAAAAGGGGTCTCACAAATATGTGCCTTAAAGTGCTTCTAAGCTAAAATAAAACACAAGGCTGGGTTTCTCAACTCAGCCTCACTGAGATTATAACCAAAGAGATTTTGTGGTTGTTGGCTATACATTGCAGAATGTGTAGTGGCATTCTTGACCACTATCCACTAGATACGAGTGACAAACGCTGTTGTGACAGCCAAAAATCCCTCTAAACATTGCCAAATGTCCCCTGGAGGGCAAAACCACCCGCTGAGAACCAGTATTCTAATGTAAAGGTGGAAGAGAACCAGTGCATGGTTACAGAAACAGGAGAAAGTCCATAGGCTGCTTTATTTGGCAAACCTCTCACACTGACATTAGACGCAGCCGACATCACTCTGGCGCACTGAACCAAACAACTATTCTCTCATTACCTCACGGTAATTCCAGCACTAAGATTTGAGTGTTTTCATTTCACGGGGCCTCTCATCATCTTATTTTAAGACACTATACATTCCTAGTAATTTTTTCCTGGCAGCCAAAATTAGAGAGACTTCAAAAGTAACTTGCCCAAGTTCATGCAGCTAACAAGTACAATGCTGGGGCTCAACTGTTTCCCAAACTTCAGTATATAGAGGAAGCAATTAGAACTCATCCAAATTCAGCTGCTTACTCTCTATATAATTTTCATTCTATCTCTCCAGCACCATGGATAGGCCAAGAGAGCCTGTAATCCTCCCCAGAAACCCAGAGATCTCTAAGGTAGTCCTTCCTTTCCCTGGTTCTTTCAAATTATAGGAGCCCCAGTTATGTTAGAAACATGGGTCTCACATTAGAAGAGGGATAATGGCATAAGATAAACTAAAACTGGAGAACTTTCAAATTGGCTTATAGAGAAAGAAGACTGAGCACAGTTTATGTGACCAGAAAGAGTAATTTTTTCTTAACTGAGTAATAGAAACAGGCAGCCCTACCTGTTGGTTTATAATCAGGGGGAAAAAA
The DNA here is from genome assembly GCF_000001405.40 of Homo sapiens. Lineage (NCBI taxonomy): Eukaryota > Metazoa > Chordata > Mammalia > Primates > Hominidae > Homo > Homo sapiens. Next base: position 60,017,555 of record NC_000011.10, on the reverse strand, counting down.
AAAAATCTCAGCTTTTTACACAGCAGTGTTTTAGAAAGTAATCTTATCAGTTTAAATCACCACCTCTGAAGATATTTCTTATGCATACCTGGGTTGAATCCAGAAGAATTCCAAAACAATAAAGAAAAGAGGAAGGACCTACCTAAGAGCACAGAGGTCTTCATTGCTCCAGACTCCAAGACACAACATAGAAAACAAGAAATGGCAAGGAGCTGGGGGTTCCTTGAGTGCTTATAAACCTTTGGCCACATTCAGCTGTCTGCAATTACCCTCTGCTGGGGCAGCCCAGGGAAACCCCTTAGCATCTTCTCAAAACATGGCCCATCAGCTGGCAGTAGCTGCAACACTTCACCTGTGCCATAGGCAACCTGGGAGCTTGTTAGACGCAAAATAACAGGTTTCACTCTAGACTTACAGTATCAATCACAAACTGCATTTCAATGAGATTTCCAAGTAGTTCACCTGCATATTAAATTTGAGAGGCATTTTTCTTAGCATAGCTTTAGTCTGGGCCACTTGACTACCAACTTCTTAAAAATTATTTTAAAATTAGAAATCATGATGTAAATAAAGTTACTCAATCTATTATACATCTCTAGGTATATGGATGTGTCTCAGTGAAGTCCTACACACCTACCTGTGATACTTATTAATTAAACTGTAAGGAACAAGAGCCCTAGGATTTAAAAAGCATCAGGAGACTGACACAGGTGACACATTTGTGATTTCATCTCACCATCATTCTCTCATTGTGGTTCAATTTTAAATTTCCTGAACTACTAATGAGGTTGAGCCCCTTCTCAAACATTTACTGACCATTTGGACACCCTCTATTGTGAAATCATTTTCCAAATTTTCTATTTCGTTGTCTGTATTTTTAAGGTTAATTTGCAAAAGACTTTTATATATTCTGAATATGAATCTCCTGGTTTATGTGTATTGTGAATATCTTCTACCACTCTGTACTGTGATGGTTAATTTTATATGTCAATTTGATTGGGCCACAAGGTGCACAGATCTTTGGTTTAACGTTATTCTGGGGGTGACTGTGAAGGCGTTTTTCAGTGAGATGAACATTCAAACGGGTAGACTGAGTAAGGCAAACTGCCTTCACCAATGTGGGTGAGCCTCATTTAATCTGTTGAAGGCCTGAATGGAATAAAAAGGTTGAGAGAGGCAGCATTCACTCTCTCTGTCAGACTGTCTTCAGCTGGAACATTGGTCTTCTCCTTTTCCTGACTTGAATTTAGACTAGGACTTACACCGTCACCTCTGCTGGTTCTTAGGCCTTTGGACTTGCACTGGAACGATACCCTTAGCTCTTCTCAATCTCCACCTTGCTGACTGCAGATCTTGGGACTTCTGAGACACTGGGAATCACAGGAGCCAATTCCTTATTGTATATGTGTGTGTATACGTGTGTGTGTATATATCTCACATATATATGGTATATTATACAGACATATACATCTCATATTGATTCTATTTCTCTAGAGAGCCCAAATAATACAGTAGGTAACCTTGTTAATTTCCTCATGGCATATTTATTTAATGATAATAAACAGAATAATTAAATATTACTATGGTCTAATTTTTTCCTTTGGAGTTTGTGCACTTTATGTCTCTTTTAATGTCTTTATTGATCTGAAATCCATGACAATTTTTTCCAGTATTCTCTTCTAAAAACTTTATAATTTCGCTCATCATATTGAGGTTTTAAATCTACTTGGAATTGATTTTTGTGAATAGAAAAGCATATTTGACCATATGGATAGCCATCTGGGGATTGAAATAATTTATTTATTTAAAAGTCCATCTTTATCCACAGTTCTGCAGTCTGTCTTTCATAAGTCAAGGTGTGTATGCCTATTTCCAGAGCCTCTATTTTATTCATTTATCTATTTATTTATTCCTGTATCAATACAAATATATCTTGTTTACCATAGATTTATCTTGATATTGTTACAGTAAGTCCTCCTTCTTTTTTTTAAGTGTTCCCATTTTTTTGACCAATTATGTAAATTTTAAGACCAGCTTGCCAAGTTTTAGAAAAAAAAAACCTATCGTTCAAGAGAATGAGAAGGCAAGACATACACTGTTAGAAAATACTTGCAAAAGACATAACTGATAAAAGACTTTTGTTCTGGAGTGGGCAGATCTATGCAAACTGACCCCAAAGTCCAAGGAAGCTGAAGGGGCAGAAGAAAGTGGTTGACAAATCCAGTTTCTTAAAAAGAAACATTTAATAGGGACTTAGAAACCATGTAGCCATGTTGTGCCTCAGTGGAAACGAGACCAGATGGTGGATCCCATGCCTTTTTCCCCTAGATCCAGAGGTGTATACCATAGGGAAGGGAAATACATGATTCAGAAGAGATGTGTAGGACAACTGAAGTACGATGACATGAAGGTTGTTTTGACCTAAAGGCAGGATTTACACACTCTTACCTAGGGAGCAATAGATAAACTGGAAATCTTAAGAGGCCTTCTTAGAACCAGGGTTAATCAAAAGTCAACATGGCAAATTAGCATTCAAGATGTAGTTGCTTTATCTCCACAACTGTTATCCAAAATATACAAAGTACTCAAAGTTAACAATAAAGAATCAAACAATGCAATTAAAAATGGGCCAAATACCTGGACACCTCACCTAATAAGATATGCAGATGACAAATAAACATATGAGAGGATGCTGCATGTCACATGTCATCAGGGAAATGCAAATTCAAAGAATGAGATACCACTACACACCTATTAGAATGGCTAAAATCCAGAACACTTGCAACACCAGTTAGTTGCTGGTGAGGATGTAGAGCAACAGAAGTTCTCACTCAGTGCTGGTGGGAATAGGAAATGGTACAGCCGCTTTGGAAGACAGCTTGGTAGTTTCTTACAAAATCAAATATACTCTTAGTGCCTGCTCCAGCAATGTGCTCCCTGGTACTTAACCAAAGAAGTTGAAAACTCATGTCCACACAAAAACTTGCACACAAATGTTTATAGCAGCCTGAATCATAATTGCCAAAACTTGGAAGCAACCAAGATGTCCTTCAATAGGTGAATGGATAAACTGTGGTACATCCAGACCATAGAATATTATTCAATGCCAAGATGAAATGAGCTATCATCATACCATGAAGAGACATGGAGGAACCTAAAATATTTGCACATTACTTAGTGAAAGAAACCAATCTGAAAAGGCTGCATATTGTATGATTCCAACCATATGATATTCTGGAAAAGGCCAAATTACAGGAATAATAAAAATATCAGTGGTTTCCAGGAGTTGGGTGGAAGGAGGGATAATTAGGCAGAGCACAGAGGACTTTTAGGACAGTGAGACTATTCTGTATTATACTATAATGGTGAATATACGTCATTATACATTGATCTAAACTCATAGAATGTATAACACCAAGAGTGAACCCTAGTGTAAGCTGTGGATTCTGAGTGATAATAATATGTCAATGTAAGTTCATCAATTGTAACATATTTACCACTCTGTTTGGGGGTGTTGATAATGAGGAAGGCAATTATATGTGGAGGCAGGGGAAATATGAAATACCTTCCTCTCAATTTTGCTGTGAACCTAAAACTGCTGTATAAAGATAAAATGTTTTTAAAAATGGTTGCAATTTTTATTGTGATTGGAATCAATCTATATCCCACAAGACTGCCAAATCATGAACATATTATCCCTCCATTTATTTACGTCTTTAGTGTCCGTGAGTAAAGCATTATAATTATCCCTTTACATTCTTACAAAGGTTCTGTTAGATTTATTCAAAATAGTTATTATTTATATGCTATTGTAATTTTTTAATGTTTTCTAACTACCAGGTATATTTGATGGAACCTTTATCAAAATAAGGGAATTTCTTTATGTTAATAGTTTACTCATTTTTTTATTATATTTTAAGTTTTAGGGTACATGTGCACAACGTGCAGGTTAGTTACATATGTATACATGTGCCATGTTGGTGTGCTGCACCCATTAACTCGTCATTTAACATTTAACTCGTCATTTAACATTAACATTAACATTAACTCGTCATTTAACTCCTAATGCTCTCCCTCCCCCCTCCCCCCACCCCACAACAGTCCCCAGTGTGTGATGTTCCCCTTCCTGTGTCCATGTGTTCTCATTGTTCAATTCCCACTTATGAGTGAGAACATGTGGTGTTTGGCTTTTTGTCCTTGTGATAGTTTGCTCAAAATGATGTTTTCCAGCTTCATCCATGTCCCTACAAAGGACATGAACTCATCGTTTTTTTATGGCTGCATAGTATTCCATGGTGTATATGTGCCACATTTTCTGAATACAGTCTATCATTGTTGGACGTTTGGCTTGGTTCCAAGTCTTTGCTATTGTGAATAGTGTCACAATAAACATACAAGTGCATGTGTCTTTATAGCAGCATGATTTATAATCCTTTGGGTATATATCCAGTAATGGGATGGCTGGGTCAAATGGTATTTCTAGTTCTAGATCCCTGAGCAATTGCCACACTGACTTCCACAATGGTTGAACTAATTTACAGTCCCACCAATGGTGTAAAAGTGTTCCTATTTCTCCACATCCTCTCCAGTACCTGTTGTTTCCTGACTTTTTAATGATCACCATTCTAACTGGTGTGAGATGGTATCTCATTGTGGTTTTGATTTGCATTTCTCTGATGGCCAGTGATGATGAGCATTTTTTCATGTGTCTTTTGGCTGCATAAATGTCTTCTGTTGAGAAGTGTCTGCTCATATCCTTTGCCCACTTTTTGATGGGGTTGTTTGTTTTTTCTTGTAAATTTGTTGGAGTTCATTGTAGATTCTGGATATTAGCCCTTTGTCAGATGAGTAGATTGCAAAAATTTTCTCCCATTCTGTAGGTTGCCTGTTCACTCTGATGGTAGTTTCTTTTGCTGTGCAGAAGCTCTTTAGTTTAATGAGATCCCATTTGTCAATTTTGGCTTTTGCTGACATTGCTTTTGGTGTTTTAGACATGAAGTCCTTGCCCTTGCCTATGTCCTGAATGGTATTGCCTAGGTTTTCTTCTAGGGTTTTTATGGTTTTAGGTCTAACATTTAAGTCTTTAATTCATCTTGAATTAATTTTTGTATAAGGTGTAAGGAAGGGATCCAGTTTCAGCTTTCTACATATGGCTAGCCAGTTTCCCCAGCACCATTTATTAAATAGGGAATCCTTTCCCCATTGCTTGTTTTTGTCAGCTTTGTCAAAGATCAGATAGTTGTAGATATGCGGCATTATTTTTGAGGGCTCTGTTCTGTTCCATTGATCTATACCTCTGTTTTGGTACCAATACCATGCTGTTTTGGTTACTGTAGCCTTGTAGTATAGTTTGAAGTCAGGTAGCGTGATGCCTCCAGCTTTGTTCTTTTGGCTTAGTATTGACTTGGCAATGCAGACTCTTTTTTGGTTCGATATGAACTTTAGTTTTTTCCAATTCTGTGAAGAAAGTCATTGGTAGCTTGATGGGGATGGCATTGTAGTTTACTCATTTTTATCACCACTGAATATTGAATTTTATCAAATTTTTTACTGTGCTCTACTAAGTACATTATTTGTTAATGTGGTAACAAACTTTAATACATTTTTAATACTAAATCTAAATTTCACCATAGACACAAACCCAATTGATCATATGTTTTTTAATGTATTTCTGGAGTTGATTTTTCTAATATTTTATATACAGCTTTTACATCTATGTCTAATTGAGGCTTTCTATTGTAGTTTGTTCTTAGTTTAATTATTTACCTCTCATTCTTGGAATTCATTTCTTCAAATGTCTGTTAATGGTTGTTTAGTACTATACCTTTCAGCTCTTCTTCTTTTGTAATGTATAATTTTACACCATCAATTTCTCTAGTTGTAACCTACAAAGGATAACCGAAAGTGTTATTGTTTTTATTCAAAATGCTTTCTAATTATTATAGTGATTTTTTGATCCACTGCTTATTAAGAGAGGTCTTACCCAATTTCTCTACATGTTGAATTTTAAAATAGTTGCATTATTTTATCATTTATCATTTATTGTTGAACTCTAATTCCCACCTATCAGAAAACATACAGTATATTATTTCAATCCTTTGAAACAAAACTTGTCAACTTTTTGTAAATCTATGTAAGATTTAAAAGATTATATATTCTACACTCAGGATATGGTCATCTATAGATGTCACTAGGTCAATTTTGTTAACTGTGTCATCCAAATTGCCAAAATCCCAAAGAATTGTGAACGTATCACTGTATCATTTACTGTGAAAGGTGTGTTAAAATTTTCCTCTTACACACATGCATTACTTAAGGATATATTCTGAGAAACGAATCATTAGGCAATTTCATCATGGGTTAACATGATAGCATGTACTTACATAAACCTAGATGGTATAGCCTACTACACACCTGGGCTATATGGTATAACCTATTGCTTCTAGGCTACAAACCTGTACAGCATGTGACTGTACTGAATACTGTAGGCAATTGTAACACAATGGTAAATATTTATGTATTTAAATATAGAAAAGGTGCAGTAAAAATATGGTATATTTGAGACCAGGCTGGGCAATGTAGTGAGACTCCACCTCTCCAAAAAAAAAGAAAGAAGAAAAAGGATAAAAGATTTTAAAATGGTACCCCTGTGTCTGAAGTGGGCCTCCAGCAAACTCCAGAAGATCTGCAGAAGAGGCCTGACTGTTAGAAGAAAAACTGACAAACAGAAAGCAAGAACATCAACATCAACAAAAAGGACCCCCACAAAAGAAAAAATCCCATCCAAAGGTCATCAGCCTCAAAGATCAAAGGTAAATAAATCCACAAAGATGAGGAAAAAACAATGCAAAATGCTAAAAATTCCAAAAACTAGAATGCCTCTTCTCCTCCAAATGATCGCAACTCCTCTCCAGCAAGGGCACAAAAGTAGATGGAGAATGAGACTGATGAGCTGACAAAAGTAGGCTTCAGAAGATGGGTAATAACAAATGCCTCTGAGCTAAAGGAGCATGTCCTAACCCAATGCAAGCAAGCTAGGAACCTTGATAAAATGTTGCAGGAACTGCTAACTAGAATAACCAGTTTAGAGAAGAACATAAATGACTTGATGGAGCTGAAAAACACAACATGAGAACTTCATGAAACATAAACAGGTATCAATAGCCGAATTGATCAAGCAGAAAAAAAGGATATCAGAGATTGAAGATCAACTTAATGAAATAAGGTGTGAAGACAGGATTAGAGAGAAAAGAATGAAAAGGATGAACAAAGTATCCAAGAAATATGGGACTATGTGAAAAGACCAAACCTACGACTGATTGTTGTACCTGAAGTATGAACAGAATAGAACCAAGTTGGAAAACACTCTTGAGGATATTATCCAGGAGAAATTTCCCAACCTAGCAAGACAGGCCAACATTCAAATTCAGGAAATACAAAGAACAGCATGAAGATACTCCTCCAGAATAGCAACCCCAAGACACATAATCGTCAGATTCTCCAAGGTTGAAATGAAGGGAAAAATGTTAAGGGCAGCCAGAGCGAAAGGTCAGGTTACCAACAAAGGGAAGCCCATCAGACTAACAGCGGATCTCTCTGCAGGAATCCGACAAACCAGGAAAGAGTGGGGGCCAATATTCAACATTCTTAAACAAAACAATTTTCAACCCAGAATTTCATATCCAGCCAAACTAAGCTTCATAAGTGAAGGAAAAATAAAATCCTTCACAGACAAGCAAATGCTGAGGGATTTTGTCACCACCAGGCCTGCCTTACAAGAGCTCCTGAAGGAAGCACTAAATATGGAAAGGAAAAACCAGTACCAGCCACTGCAAAAACACACCAAAATATAAAGGCCAATGACACTATGAAGAAACTGCATCAACTAATATGCAAAATAACCAGCTAGCATCATGATGACAGAATCAAATTCACACATAACAATATTAACCTTAAATGCAAATGGGCTAAATGCTCCAATTAAAAGACACAGACTGGCAAATTGGATAAAGGGTCAAGACCCATCAGTATGCTGTATTCAGAAGACCCATCTCACATACAAAGACACACACAGACTCAAAATAAAGGGATGGAGGAATATTTACCAAGCAAATGGAAAGCAAGAAAAAAGCAGGGGTTGCAATCCTAGTCTCTGATAAAACAGACTTTAAACCAAAAAAGATCAAAAAAGACAAAGAAGGGCATTACATAATGGCAAACAGCTCAATGCAACAAGAAGAGCTAACTATCCTAAATATATATGCACCCAATACAGGAGCATCCAGATTCATGAAACAAGTTCTTAGAGACCTGAAAAGAGAATTAGACTCCCACACAATAAAAGTGGGAGACTTTAACACCCCCACTGTCAATATTACACAGATCAACAAAACAGATGAACCCAGCTCTAGACCAAGTGAACCTAAGAGACATCTACAGAACTCTCCACCCCAAATCAACAGAATATACATTCTTCTCAGCACCACATAGCACTTATTCTAAAATCAACCACATAATTGGAAGCAAAACACTTCTCAGCAAATGCAAAAGAACAGAAATGATAACAGTCTCTCAGACCACAGTGCAATCAAATTAGAACTCAGGATTAAGAAACTCACTCAAAACCACACAACCACACAAAAACTGAACAACCTGCTCCTCAATGACTACTGAGTAAATAAGAAAACTAAGGGAGAAATAAAAGAGTTTTTTGAAACCAATGAGAACAAAGACACAACGTACCAGAATCTCTGGGACACAACTAAAGCAATATTAAGAGAAAAATTTATAGCACTAAATGCTCCCATCAGAAAGTGGGAAAGATCTAAAATCAACACCCTAACATCACAATTAAAAGAACTAGAGAAGCAAGAGTAAGCAAATTCAAAAGCTAGCAGAAGACAAGAAATAAGTAAGATGAGAGCAGAACTGAAGGAGTTAGAGATATGAAAAACCCTTCAATAAAAATCAGTGAATCCAGGAGCTTGTTTTTTGAAAAGATTAACAAAATACACAGACCACTAGCCAGACTAATAAAGAACAAAGAGAAAAATCAAATAGACACAATAAAAAATAATACAGGGGATATCACCACTGGTCTCACAAAAATACAAACTACCATCAGAGAATACTATAAACACCTCTATGCAAATAAACTAGAAAATCTAGAAGAAATGGACAAATTCCTGGACACATACACCCTCCCAAGACTAAACCATGAAGAAGTCGAATCCCTGAATAGACCGATAGCAAGTTCTGAAATTGAGGCAGTAATTAATAGCCTACTATCCATAAAAAAGCCCAGGATCAAATGGATTCACAGCCAAATTCTACCAGAGGTACAAAGAAGAGCTGGTACCATTACTTCTGAAACTATTCCAAACAATAGAAAAAGAGGGACTGCTCCCTAACTCATTTTATGAGGCCAGCATCATCCTGATACCAAAACCTGGCAGAGACACAACAAAAAAAAGAATTTTAGACCAATATCCCTGATGAACATCGATGTGAAAATCCTCAATAAAATACTGGCAAACCAAATCCAGCAGCACATCAAAAAGCTATTCACCACAATCAAGTCGGCTTCACCCCTGGGATGCAAGGCTGGTTCAACATTCACAAATCAATAAACATAATCCATCACATAAACAGAACCAATGACAAAAACCACGTGATTATCTCAATAGATGCAGAAAAGGCCTTTGATAAAATTCAATGGCCCCTCATGCTAAAAACTCTCAGTAAGCTAGGTGACTGCATTGAATTTGTAGATTGCTGGAATTGATGGAACATATCTTAAAATAATAAGAGCTATTTACGACAAACCCAAGGCCAATATCATACTGAATGGGCAAAAGCTGGAAGCATTGCCTTTGAAAATCAGCACAAGACAAGGATGTCCTCTCTCACCACTCCTATTCAACATAGTATTGGAAGCTCTGGTGAGGGCAATCAGGTAAGAGAAAGAAATAAAGGGTATTCAAATAGGAAGAGAGGAAGTCAAATTGTCTCTGTTTGCAGATGACATTATTGTATATTTAGAAAACCCCACAGTCTCAGCCCCAAAACTCCTTAAGCTGATAAGCAACTTCAGCAAAGTCTCAGGATACAAAATCAATGTGCAAAAATCACAAGCATTCGAATACACCAATAATGGAGTCAAATCATGAGTGAACTCCCTTTCACAATTGTGACAAAGAGAATAAAATATCTAGGTATACAACTTAAAAGGGATGTGAAGGACCTCTTCAATGAGAACTACAAACCACTGCTCAAGGAAATAAGAGAGGACACAAACAAATGAAAAAAAAATTCCATGCTCATGGATAGAAAGAATATCATGAAAATGGCCATACTGCCCAAAGTAATTTATAGATTCAATGCTATTCTCATTAAGCTAACATTGGCTTTCTTCACTGAATTAGAAAAAACTACTTTAAACTTCATATGAAACAAACAAACAAAAAAAGCCTGTATAGCCAGGAAAATCCTAAGCAAAAAGAACAAACCTGGAGCAATCACACTACCTGACTTCAAACTATACTGTAAGGCTAACCAAAACTGCATGGTACTGGTACCAAAACAGATATATAGACCAATGGAACAGAACAGAGGCCTCAGAAATAACACCACACATCTACAACCATCTGATCTACTACAAACCTGACAAAAACAAATAATGGGGAAAGGATTTCCTTTTTAATAAATAGTGCTGGGAAAACTGAAACTGAACTCCTTCCTTACACCTGATACACAAATTAACTCAAGGTGGATTAAAGACTTAAACATAAAACGTAAAATCTTAAAAACGCTAGAAGAAAACCTAGGCAATACCATTTAGGACATAGGCATGGGCAAAGACTTCATGACTAAAACAACAAAAGCAATTGCAACAAAAGCCAAAATTGACAAATGGGATCTAATTAAATTAAAGAGCTAGGCCTCAGCAAAAGAAACTACCATAAGAGTGAACAGACAACCTACAGAATGGGAGAAAATTTTTGCAATCTATCCTCTACTATCAAGAATCTACAAGGAACTTAAACAAATGTACAAATAAAAAACAACCCTATCTAAAAGTTAGCAAAAGATATGAACAGACACTTCTCAAAAGAAGATATTTATGCTCCAACAAACATGAAAAAAGACTCATCATCACTGATCATTAGATAAGTGGAAATCAAAACCACAATGAGATACCATCTCACGCCAGTTAGAATGGCGATCATTAAAAACTCAGGAAACAACAGATGCTGGAGAGGATGTGGAGAAATAGGAATGCTTTTACACTCTTGGTGGGAGTGTAAATCAGTTCAACCGTTGTGGAAGACAGTGCGGGGATTCCTCAAGGCTCTAGAACCAGTAATGCTATTTGACCCAACAATCCCATACCTGGGTATATACCCAAAGGACTATAAATCATTCTACTATAAAGACACATGCACACGTATGTTTATTGCGGCACTATTCACAATAGCAAAGCCTTGGAACCAACCCAAATTCCCATCAATGATAGACTGGATAAATAAAATGTGGCACTTATACACCATGGAATACTATGAAGCCATAAAAAGAATGAGTTCATGTCCTTTGCAGATACATGAATGAAGCTGGATACCATCATTCTCAGCAAACTAACACAGGAACAGAAAACCAAACACCGCATGTTCTCACTCAAAAGTAGGAGTTAAACAATGATAACACATGGACACAGGGAGGGGAACATCACATACTGGGGCCTGCTGGAGGGTGGAGGACAAGGGGAGGGAGAGCATTAGGACAAATACCTAATGCATGCAGGGCTTAAAACCTAGATGATGGCTTGATGGGTATGGCAAACCACCATGGCACATGTATACCTATATAACAAACCTGTACATTCAGCACATGTATCCCAGAACTTAAAGTAAAATTTTAAAAAAATGGTACCCCTGTATAAGGCACTTACTATGAATGAATCTTGCAAGACTGGATGTTGCTCTGGGTGAGTCAGTGAGTGAGTGATGAGTGAACGTGAATGCCTAGGACATTACTGTAAGCTACTGGAGACTCAACACTTACACTTAGGCTACTGTAAATTCATTTTAAAATTTTTTCTTCAATAATTAACCTTAGCTTAACTTTATTACTTTATAAAATTATTTTTTTTTACTTTTTGACCATTTTGTAATAACAGCTAGCTTAGCTTAAAACACATACACTGTACAGCTGTACAAAAACTCTTTCTATCCTTATTCTATAAGCTTTTTTCTATATTTAAAACTTTTCATTTTTTACTCTTTAAACTTTTTTCTTAAACAGTAAGAAACAAATATACGCACTAGTCTAGGCCTATGCAGGGTCAGGATCCTCAATCTCACCGTCTTCCCTCTCCACATATTGTCCCACTGGAAGGTCTTCGTGGGCAATAACACACAAGGAGTTGTCATCTCCTGTGATAACAATGTCTTCTTCTGGAATACCTGCGGAAGAAGCTGTCTGAGGCTGTTTTAGTTCACCTTATTTTTAATAAATAGAAGGAATACACTCTAAAACAATTATAAAAAGTAAATACACAAGCCAGTAACATAGTCATTTGTTATCATTTTCAAGTATTATATACAGTATATAACTGTATTTCTATACTTTTATATAACTGGCGGCACAGGTTTATTTGCAACGGCATCACCACAAACATGTGAGTAATGCATTGTGCTACAACGTTATGACAGCTATGCTTCACTAGGCAATGGGAATTTTTCAGCTTCTATAATCTTTTAAAATTCTTTTATTTTTAATTATTATGAATACATAATAGCTGTACATCTTTATTGGATACAGGTGATATTTTGATACAATCATACAATGTGTAATGATCAAATCGGGGTAATTAAGACATCCATCGTCTTAAATGTGTATTATTTCTTTGTGTTAGGAAAAAAATGTTTATTCTAACATTATCCATGTTTTTCAGCTCACATGCTCATCTATAAACCCCAGCCTGCCATTACCAGAAACTTTAACTCTCTTTTGCATTTTTTAAAATTTTTCTTAAAATTTATTTATAGAATTAGAAGAAGCTTAGGAAAAGGGCCAAATATTTACATTTTGGTAGCTATATCCTATGTGCCTTCAAATAAATGTGTGATCTGTTTTCACTTTGAAAATCTAAATTCAATTTATAAACATTGGTTATTGTCTATGTTATCAAATTTTGATATTCTGTTAAACAAACTAGTCCTACTTTTTAAAATAGTTTCATAGCTTTTAAAAAATGTCTAATTAACAAATAATATTTATATATTTATAGGGTACGATGTAATATTTTAATACAGGTATACATTATGAAATAATTAGATCAAGTTAATTAACACATGCATCACCTCACATACTTATTTTTGTGGCAAGAGCACTTGAAATTTACTCTTGACAATTTTGAAATATACATTTTTTTCATAAATTATTGTGAAATTTCATATAATGATTTGTGAAATTGTGGTGCACCCATCACCCAAGTCTGAGCTCAGACTCTCCTTGGGCAGGTCTTGCTACAGCTGCTGTAGGGGATGGGAGTAAGGTTCCCACGTCAATGGAGTTGTGTATCTAGGAGGATTATGGCTGCCTCTGCTGAGTCATGCAGGTTGTCAGGGAAGTAGGGAAAAGATGGCAGTCACAGGTTTCACCCAACTCCCACACAAACCGAAGAGCTGATCTCACTCCTATCATGCCCCCATTAACAGCCTTGAGCCTTTTTCCAGGTGGTGGGCAAGTTGGGCTTCAGAACTTGCCCCAGGCTACCCACCTCCCAGCTGTGAAAGAAAAGAGCTTGGTTCTTCCCCCTCCTGTGGAGTCTGCACATCAGATTCGCACCCTTTCCCGAATTCTGGCCAGGAGGCTTCTTGCCTGGTTCAAATTGTTACAAAATTCAGCTGGAGACTTCCTTCTCCCTGTGGTGTTTTCCCCAGCTTCTCTGTCTTCCATCCTGATGGATACCTGTGGTGCCAGGCAGGAATGGCCTGCTTGGGGACCCAGCGAGGTCCCAAAGCATTTCCTACTGCTTCCTCTACCCCTATATTTTGCTTGGCTCTCTAAACTGACTCAGCTCCAGGTAAGGTCAGAAACTTCTCCTGCAAACAGACCTTCAGTTTCTCCAGGGGTGTGTGTTCAAGAGAGGAAGATTTCCCTCTCCCACTTCTGCAGTTGGAGCACTCACAGTATTTGGGGTGTCTCCTGTGTCCTGCAGGAGCAGTCCACTTCCTTCAGAGGGCCTGTGGGTCCTCTTGGGATTGCTGGTTTGTTCTTGCAGTTGATTTGGAACTAAAATTCACAATGCAAGCCTCGGCACACTGCTCTGTCTGTGTGAGTTGGAGCTGCAATCTAGCCCTGACTCCTGTCTGCCATGATCTCCAAGAACAGCCCAAAATATACATTATTATTTAACTATAGTCACTATGCTGTGCAATAGATTTCAAATCCTTATTCTTCCTAACTGAATGACATCTCTCCATCTCTCCCTCCCATCCACTCTCCAGCTTCTGGTAATGACCATTCGATTTTCCACTTGTATGAGTGACTTTTTTAGATATCACATGTAAGTGAGATCATACAGTATTTGCCTTTTTGTGCCTGGCTTATTTCACTTAGGATGTTATCCAGGTTCATCCATGTTGTCACCAATGACAGAATTTCCCTCTTTGATAAGGCTGAATAACATTCCATTGCACATGTGTACCACATTTTTCTTTATCCATTCATCCATTGATGGACACTTGGGTCGATTCCATATCTTGGACATTGTAAATGCTGCTGCACTGAATATGAGAATGCAGATATCTCCTCACCATACTGATTTCAATTCCTTTACATATATACCCAGAAATGGATGGCTGAATCACATGGTAATTCAGTTTTTAGTTTTTTGGGGAACCTCCATAGTGTTTTTTATAATGGCTGTCCTAACTTATATTCCAACCAATAGGAATGTAAGGGTTCCCTTTTCTCCACATTCTTGCCAGGATTTGTGAATTTTCATCTTTTTTATAATAGCCATTCTAACATCTCATTGTGATTTTAATGTGCATTTCTCTGATGTTTAGTAATGTTATTTTTTTCATATTCCTTTTGGCCATTTGTATGTTTTCTTTTGAGAAATGTCTATTCAGGTCTTTTCCCCATTTTTTGACTGGTTATTTTTCTTGTTATTGAGTTGTTTGATTTCTAACAAGACTGAGTTTTTTAAATGGTTACTACTCACCTATGTGGATCATTTATATCATTTTATTATTTTTATATTAAATGTTTATTCTTTTATATAGGTATAATTTTTATAATCTGGATATTAAGCTTTTAAAATTATACTTAGTGATAGTTTTCTGTCATTTATCTTCAAAATTTTTGTTATAAAACTATAAAGATATATTTTCTTAATGATTCCTGGATATTGACTCTTGCTTGGAAAATATCATCTATACCAGTTTACTTTATAATGTTATAAATATTTATGTTGTAAATATATACTATATATAATTTATGTCATTTATTTTATAAATATTCTGATTTTCAAAATATTTTTACCTCTTAAAGTCATAATTTTTGTGCAGAGTGTAGAAATGTACCTAAAAGTGTAGTCCACATGCCTTATGAACTAATCCACACTTTCTTTCATCATAAATTAATCATACACCTATGTATAGGTCAATTTCTAAAACCTGTTTCAGCATCACCATTTCTATTCTGGTAAAACTATACATTAATACAGTTTTAGTTTATGTTCTTATAATTAGGTGAATAATTACTACAAATTTTATTTTACTTTTACATGTTTACTACTAAGATTTCTCTAATATGGAGAAGCAGTAAAACATAGTTGTTAAAAGCAAAAGTTCTGAAGCTATGCCTAGCAGTGGTATCATCTAGGACATGTTATTTAACCTCTATTTGCTGCAGTTATTTCCTTTGTACAGAAAAAAATAGTCAATATACTATAGAGGGGTTGCTGGCTGTGTGGATTGAAGTGTTAATTCACATGATTAAAGGGGTTAATTACTTGGAGCATGTCCTCGCAATGAAAAATTCTTTTTCTCACTTGAATCTGTTACTATACTGAAGTACCTTAATAGAATGCCTGTTAATATTACTTTGAATTCTTTCCTGATTATTTTTAAAGATACTGCATTTAGTTTTCTAATTATATATTTCTGAATCTCTTCCTATATTTTTGTATACATATATTTATATATAGGTCAACAATTTAGGTGCCTGTATTGCCCTGGCCAGTTATCATAAATTGGAGAGAATTATCTGTCCTTATTTTTTTAAGACTATGAGATTACTTATGAAATGCAGATATCTTTGTTTACAATTAGTGAAATTGGTTTATAACATATGTTAACAAATATATTATTTGTAAATATGTGACGACTTCTAAATTGGTCTCTAATTCTCTCTTCAGACTTTCTGTATCTTGAATCTATATTGTAATACTTTCCTAAAGTATTATTCATCTTCATTTTCAAATATATTGGCCTAAAATTATATAACATTTATAAAAAGTCTAATTATAAAATTCTTATAGGGATTATGTAAACTATTTACATATTTTAAGATAAGTGATAATTTTGGATTATTCCTGCTACATTATGTTATTTATTATAATTTTTCTTCTTACACCTGAGTTTTATTAGATTTGCCTTGTTTCTACATGGTTAATTCTCTGGCAACTTGTGAGTCCCCTATATATTTCTTTGAAAGTTTTATATATACTTTTTAAGAGGGCGGGAGTCTTCAAGATCACTGGCAGTTTCCTACGGGGACTCACAGGACTCAGCATGTAGTCATATCCCACTATGATTTATCACAGAAAAAGGATACAGAGCAAAATCAGCAAAGGGAAAAGGTCCATGGAATGATGTCCAAAGGAAACCAGGTGCAAGCTTCCAAAATTCCTCTCCCAGTGAAGACACACAGGATGGGCTTAATTCCTCCTACACTTATTTGTGACAACATGTGAAGTATTGTCTATCCAGGAAGGTCATTAGAGACTCACTATCCAGGGTCTGTTTTATTATTAGGGGCTGGTCAGGTAAGCCTTCTGTTCCTGGCATGTACCCACAACGCAGATTCCCAAAAGGAAAGCAGGTATACAACATATTGTTTGTACGGTTTTAGGCACACTGAGCTACTCTTATTAGTTAGGGTTCAGGGGACCCTCCCCAAATCCAAATTACCACATGGTAGCCAAGAGCCAACCTTGCAAGCAGGCCCAAGAGTAGCAGTCTCAGGCCTGCTATTTTTAAATCTTCTCTGTACATCTTTGAATTTTCAAAATGGAGAATCCTCCATTTTTCTATGATCATCTGGAGTTAATTAGTATGTGGTAGGCAGAATTCTAAAGCTATTTCCTCCAGATTCCTATCCCTGACTTATTCAAGGAAGCATTAATCTAGGTACTTTGCAGGTATAATTAAGATTAAGGGCTTTAAAATAGAGAGATTATCCCAGATTGTCTGAGAAACCCAATTTAATTGAGTGAGTCCTTAACAGTAAGGACTGCTTCCAGCCAGGGAGACTGCCTCAGAAAAGGATCTGTCAGAGAAATCGAAGTGTGTGAGAAACTCGTCCTGTCATTGCTGCTTTAGAAGGATCCATATAGGAAGACATGTGAGTTCTCTAAAAGCTGAGAACTACCCCCAGCCGATGACCAGCAAGAAAATAGGAATTTCAGTTCTCCAATTACAAGGAACTGAATTCTGCCAACTTAAATTACCCAAGAGCCCTGCTGACAACTTGATTCACTCTTGTGAGACTCCAGAGAATCTAAATGAGCCACTTGGTGCCTGGACTCCAACCCCAGAAAACTATGAGGCAATAAACGAATGTTGTTTGAAGCCAATAAATTTGTGGAAATTCGTTGTGAGAAAAACAAAGCTAATACACAATCTGTATTCTTGTGCGGGGAACTTATCACATTTTTCCAACATTTTATGATAATTTGGGATTTTCAGATTTTACATTCCAGTACTAAATTTATGCCAAAGAATGAATTTTGCCAATATCTTAGCTCTCTAACTTTATTTGCATTTACATTTTTTCTTTTGGAGCACATAGTCTAATAATTCTTTAGAAGGGGATCTGTATTATTTATTGTAATCCTTATTTGATTTTTTGATATCTTTATACCATCAGGATATCTAAGATGAATAATACTTTAAGACTATACATTTAAGTCTTTTTCTTCTCACAAATGAAATCTAGTTAGCCTGAATATGGGGGGAAAGATTAAAATAAATTTGATCACAATTGCTATTATTCTGTAGACCTTTAGCATCCAAGTTTACAGATAAGCCTGTACAAGTTAATAACCTTTTATAGTGTAGATTTACTGTGTGATTTGAGAATATTTATCTCTAAAAGCAGAAAACAAAGTGGTCAAAACTCATTAGAAGTGACATAAGCAAGTAAGAAGCCAGTGAAACAGGCAGAATAAGATGCATTGAATATAGGTGAGTGAAATACTAACCAGAAGGATAAATAAATAGAAAACAGGATGAAATATACAAAAACATTAGGGGAAATATGGGGAAAAATATTTTTCCATCATGTCATCATTGACCAGACAACTCTGTAACCCCAAATTGCCCACCAATTAGTAACATCTAGTTTGGTCCCATCCTGGCCCCATGTGTTCCACTACAACCCCCTCAAACACACACACACACACACACATCTCTTGGAATTATGTCATAGCTAACTCCAGTAACACTTACCACTGCATTTCTCTGATAGAGCAAACGTGTGCTGTTGACTCTGAGTACCTTCTGTTTGTGGCCTTGCTCAATCCTCAATGCTGGTCCTTGTAACCTCATAATTAATCAATAGAGAAGGATGATACAGTAGGGAAAGATACAAGATATATGTACAGTATACACCCCAGGATGCTGCAAGTGTGGTCCTTCCATCCTGCTTGCCCCCTACCCTAAGTGTGTTATCTTCCACCAGTGCCTACTTATTTTTCCTGGCCTCTTACTACAAGTTTTAAATTGATTTTATTCCCCATGTGATTTTTAGCATCATCCTTTGGTCTATGAGCTTTGGGAGGTGCTGTGTCTTTCAGAGATGGCCTAATGTGCCTAAAACTAATAGGACATTTTCTTTTTGCTTTTGATTTTATTTAAAATTTTTAAGTGTTCAATTTTTGGCTTTCTAGAATTTCAGCAAGCTAGATCTAACTCAGGAATATTTGGGTTGAAAGACGAGTAGGGAATATGTAACTTTTAAAATATAGGACATTCATTTACAGAAAGAATTACTGAAACTCAAACAGCTAAAATAAATTGTCCTCAATCTGGTAGAAATGAATCACTTATGATGTTCTAGTGATTTAATCCCCAGAGAAGGAAAATAAAAAATAATTTCATATAAATTGAGATTAAAAACCGTGTTCTTATATTCAGGGTTAGAGATATTCCACAGTATGTCAATGAATCCTCTAGTCAGTATTTTGTTAGAAAGGGAGAGGGGGTGAAGTAGAAAATAAACAAAAAATAGAGGCAGGAAAGTAGAGCTGAATGACTAGCACTAGGGGAATGTATTTATTTACTCTATTACCCAAGAGGGAGCCACACTTGAGATATATTTCTGGACTGTAACTTTCATCTACTTTCTCATGAGAGAATTCAATCTTTATCCTATTTGCAAGGTGGAAAAAAAGTCACTCGACACTTAGCTGGTGTTTTGCTTCCCCCTCCACCTTGGAATCTTCCTGGCTTCCAGGTCTCACGCAGTATGAAAACTATGAGACAGGTGTCCCATCCTGGGATTGATTTAGTCCACAAAAGGGCAGGCTTTCCAAAAAGAGCCTGATTTTATTCTAGAGGTTACTTTCCCTTCAGTCGTTGTATAAGGAATAAAGAACACACTGTAATTATGATTTCCTTCTTACTTTTGCCAACTGATTCCACATCCAGAGAAAAATAAGTATGTAGGTTCAAGAGAACACCTGAAAGCATGTGATTTTTTTACAAGATTTTTCAAACTTTACCACTTAATCCATCACTTTAAATATTTTGAGATATATGAACAAGAAGTTAGACAAGATTCATTTTTGGTTCAAAGTTGTCATAAATTGTGACATCAATTAGAATATTATTTTCCCCAAAAATAGCTCCTTCATATGCACAAAGTGAATGAACCCAAATTTTCAAACTCACTTGAAATTACTACTATATAGAAAAGAAAAGTGATACAAAAAGGAACAAAAGAAAACTACAGAAAAGCCAGAAGTAGGAAATAGAATAGTCTAATGTTTTCAACCTTACAGAGAGAATCTGATTTTATCTACTTTTATACATATCATTAGAAAGAAGTGAAATGGCAATTAATCAAAAAACTATATACCACAGTATAATAGTTACCGAGTCTCCCCACCCAGATTGTTGGTTAACGAGTACACCTTTACCCTTCACAAAATACAGGTGCCTAGAAAAATACCCTGTAAGGATTTCAGCTTTCTTCACAGAAGAGAAATAACTATTCAAATATTCAAAACTTTATTTTTAAAAGTAGCCTTCCCTACAAATTTAAAAGTCTGGGGAAGCTCCTTTTTACCCCATCCAAAGAGTTCATAAGCATGTAAAATAGAGCAAATTCATTTTTAAAACAACATTATTAAAACAGCAAAAGATAGCATCCATCAGCATTAGTGCAGCTTCTGAAAGGTAGTGCAAAATCCTCAGGTAATCAGAGGACCAAGGTTACAAAGGTTGCCTTAACCACCAGAATTCAAAGCTTAATTCCTTTGCTTAGTTCAGGGAATAAAAATTATATAGTCCAACAAAAGAAAAAGCTGCTCCTGTAAGGAAGAAAAACAAACAGGTAGTAGTACTGATTAGAAGCTTTTACATAAAAACCTTAGATATTTCACTGTGGCTCAACTAGGGAGGAATACAGGGATTGAGAAAGAGGGCATTGATTTTAAACTGCATAATTTACTACAATATTATAATAAACCCAATTTTAAACTGCAGAATTGACTACAATATTGTAATGATCCAAGTATAGTCAATGCAATACTTATGTATAGCTATTATTAACAAATATTTATAAAATTTAAATAATAGCATCTCAAATTTCAATTTAAGATGGTTAATAGATCCCTGAAATAATAGTGTATAGATCTGTATCTTCTAGGATGCTAAAGTTCAAGAACTATAGACTATATGAATAGGTCTTAGGACTCAACTTTCCATTCAAGAAGGGTCTTCTCTTGTAGGCATTTTGTCCCTGCAGATCAAAACACAAGAGTTAACATGCATATCAATTACTGTCTTCATGGTAATTCCTGGAAATTTCCAGTCCCATTCTATATTCATGTTGTAGTCAAATTTTCATTCTTTGGTTGATTGGGATTCATAACATGAATAGCTATTGTTTCTTGCAAATTGGCCACATTTTATTCAAAATAGTAAATGAGAAACACTATGACAGAATATATCCCTAATCACCACAAATGCATGGTAACAATGATCCTAAACTGGAATTATATGGCACATGTTGTAGAATGTATGGTGTATGTCACCTTGAACCCTTACCTTTTTTCCATTAATATACTGGAAAACATTTAGAGTACTAAGTCAAAGTACGTACCTAAGTAACATTCCTCGATACCCCAATTTCCTGCTTGATAATACTGAGTTTGGACTATTTTCTTAGATTTATCAGTATTATTCTGTATTACATTTTGTTCAAATGAGGAAGGCTTTCTGAAAAACAGGGAGAAAAACATATGCAGGGATTTGAGGCTGGTATATACATTACTGTTATTTTTGTAATGGCAGGGAATATGAGAATAGAAATAAACTAGACATCTCTCTTTGGGTTTTAAAAGATAGAACACCAAATCAAGTCATTTTATGTTGAAACGGAAATTTGCTATTTTGCAGAAGGATAAGCAAAAGTTTCTAACGGAATGTCAGTTAGAACTTTCCATTACCCCAGAATTAGTGATTGTGACCCAGAGCTAAAATCAAAGTAGTAGCAAATGCCAGAAACTTTTAGATTTGCTGAACCAGATCTGGTATCTTTAAACATGTCACCCTATAGTCTACAGAATATCATGAAATTCTGTTTTGCATTCCTGGCCTGGTGGGTGAGGAGTCTACTGAAATACTCCTCTTCTTTGTGAAGCCAAAGTAAGGTGCCTTAAATGAAGAGTTAGACACCAAGGATACCTACACTGGAGACTGGCATCTCACTTCCAAGTAGCTATCTGCTTATGTAGTAGGCTGCTGTATCTTCCACATATACATCTTTAGTACGGAGAAAAAAAATTTGAGAAGTCCAAGAAGCAAAAAGAGTAGAGTGGAAGAGCCATACAAC
Source organism: Homo sapiens (assembly GCF_000001405.40). Taxonomy (NCBI): domain Eukaryota; kingdom Metazoa; phylum Chordata; class Mammalia; order Primates; family Hominidae; genus Homo; species Homo sapiens. Next base: position 59,995,202 of record NC_000011.10, on the reverse strand, counting down.
CCCAACATTTGGCAGGTGATTTCCTACCAATACCCGGATTGAGTTATTTCTGAAGTATAGCAACTAGCAATGCTTTATATGTGCAGGTTACTAATTATCTGTGTAGGGGTCCCCAAGAAATAAGAGGCTCAATGATCAACAACCAAGTTAAGAGACTGAGGAAGGGTATCAAAAGTAACATCTGGGTGGAGCCAGTAAAGCCTTATATAGATTGCCTCATCAAAACTACACATTGGCATCTCTAGGCCTTTAGTGAGCCCTAAAGACCCAAGCAAATCTGAGCAACATTTAGAGTGTACAGTAAAAACTTACTTGATCAAAGCTACTGGAAATGGATGACAACTGTGCCAGGTTGACACTCATCCTTCCTCTCTTTTTATCCTTTTTCTCTACCTTATAGAAATGGATGCAACTGTGCCAGGTTGACACTCATCCTTCCTCTCTTTTTATCCTTTTTCTCTACCTTAACACACCAAGGCAGTAAAGAAAGCAGAAGATAAAGTATTTATAGAGTAGGTTGAGCCTTCTTTTTGTCCAATCATTTGTACCCAGGGCAGGCAGTAGTAAAGGAGGGGAACATTAAATTTGATATGAAATTGAGGTTTTCATTGAGCTTAATTTATCATAGGAGAAAAAGGCAAAAGATGTTGTAATGGTATGGGAAGGGAAGACTTTACAGAACAGAGCTGATCTGAGTTATTGAAAAAGAAATATAATCATTTACTTATGCTTTTATATAGCTCCGATTATTCAAAAGTAGACTATATTTAAAATTCCAACAGATACGTAATTGGGCCACATAAATAACTGAGCCAAGAATGGGCCAAGTTACCTGACCTCTGCATCTATAGGCTCTTCTACATTATTCTCTCATTGCAGAAGTGTTCTTAAAAACGAGGAGAAAATGGTGGTCATTAGCAAGTCTTCATTGTTATAACTCTGGGTAAATCAGAAACTGACTCTGTTTTAGTTTGAACATTTTGGAAGAAAAAATCACTTTGAATCTCTTGGGCCATTCTTATCCCTGGGACCAACAACTGCAGAGTGGTGGTATGTTCACAGAAGAAATCAATAGTTCCTATGATAGCCTTGGGACTGGGCAGGTTGGAAGTGGTAGGTACAAACAAAGAATGCCCGGGAAAAGGAAAGTTCACTAACAAAATCTTGTTAGAGAAGAAAGAAAAATCAGGCCAAATTCAGCTGATGCCCATCCACAGAGAGAATGTTTAAACTATCCCTAGCCAGAAGGGAATCACCAATCCCAGCAGTCGGAACTTGAGTTCCCGCGAACCTCACCACAGAGGGCTAAAGTGTTCTGAGTCTCTAAGTAAACTTGAAAGGCAGTCTAGGCCATAAGGACTGAAACTCTTAGATGAGTCCTAGTGCTGAACTGGTCCCAGAGACAGTGAACTGGGGGAACACATGACCTACTAAGATACAAGCCATGCAGCTAAGGAAGTGCTGGCATTACCCAACCCCTAAACCCAGGTTGCATAGCTTGTGGCTCCAAAAGAGAGCTCTTTCTTCTGCTTGAGGAGAGGAGAAAGGAGAGTGGGGAGGACTTTGTCTTCATCTTGAATACCAGTTCAACCACAGCAGGAGAGGGCATTGGTCAGAGTTGTTAGTCCCCCAATTCCAGGTCCTAGCTTCCAGACATTTCTAGACACACCCTTGGCCAGAAGGGAACCCACTGCTTTGAAGGGAAGGATGCAGTCCTGGCAACATTTATCACCTGCTAACTGAGAAGCCCTTGGGCCCTGAATTATCAGCAGTGATAAGCAGGTACTACATCAAGGGCCTGGGGGGAGCCTCTGAGACTTGCTGACTTCAGGTGGGACTTACCACATTACGGATAAAGCTGTGGTGGCTATGGGGCAAAACTCCTGCTTGAGAAAAAAAAGTCCAGGACCAGAGAGATTCACAGCTGAATTCTATCAGGCTTTCAAAGAAAAATTGGTACCAATTCTATTGACAATATTCCACAAGATAGAGAAAGAGGGAATCCTCCTTAACTCATTCTATGAAGCCAGTATCACCTTAATATCAAAACCAGGAAAGGATATAACAAAAAAAGAAAACTACAGGCCAATATCCCTGAGGAATATAGATGCAAAAATCCTCAACAAAATACTAGCAAACTGAATCCAACAGCATATCAAAAAGGTAATTCACCATGATCAAGTGGGTTTTATACCAGGGATTCAGAGATTGTTTAACATATGCAAGTCAATAAATATAGTACACCACACAAACAGAATTAGAAGCAAAAGTCACATGATCATCTAATCAGTGTAGAAGAAGGATTTGACAAAATCCAGCATCCTTTTATAATTAAAACCCTCAGCAAAATCAGTATAGAAGGAACACACCTTAAGGTAATAAAAGCCATTTATGACAAACTCACAGCCCACATTATACTGAACAGGGAAAAGTTGCAAAGCATTCCCCCTGAGAACTAGAACACTACAAGGATGACCTCTTTCACCACTTCTATTCAACATAGTACAGGAAGTCCTAGCCACAGCAATCAGACAAGAGAAAGAAATAAATGGCATCCAGATCGGTAAAGAGGAAGTCAAACTGTGACTGTTTGCTGATGATATAATCGTATAACCTAGAAAACCCTAAACGGCCATCCAAAAAACTTCTAGAACTGGTAAACGAGTTTAGCAAAGTTTCAGGATACAAAATTAATGTACACAAATCAGTAGCTCTGCTATACACTAACAGCGACCAAACTGAGAAATCAGGAACTCAACCCCTTTCACAATAGATTCAAAAAAAATAAAATACTTAGGAACATACCTAGCCAAGGACATGAAAGACCTCTACAAGGAAAACTACAAAACACTGCTGAAATAAATCATAGATAACACAAACAAGTGCTTCCAGTGGGATGGAAAACACATCCCATCCTCATGGATGGGCAGAATCAATATTGTGAAAATGACCATAGTGCCAAAAACAATCTTCAAATTCAATGCAATTCCCATAAAAACACTAGCATCCTTCTTCACAAAACAAGAAAAAACAATCCTAAAATTCATATGGAAACAAAAAGGCTTGCATAGCCAAAGCAAGACTAAGTGAAAAGAACAAATCTGGAAGCATCACATTATCCAACTTCACACTATACTATAAGGCCATAGTCACCAAAACAGTATGGTCCTGGTATAAAAATAGGCACATAAGCCAATGGAACAGAATAAAGAACCCAGAAATAAAGCCAAAAACTTATCACCAACTGATCTTCAACAAAACAAACAAAAATATAAAGTGGGGAAAAGACACCCTATTCAATAAATGGTGCTGGTATACTTAGCAAGCCACAGGTAGAAGAAATGAAACTGGATCCTCTTCTCTCACCTTATACAAAAATCAACTCAAGATAGATCAAAGCCTTAAATTTAAGACCTAAAAACTATAAATATTCTAGAAGATAACATCAGAAAAAACCTTCTAGACATTGGCTCAGGCAAAGACTTCAAGACCAAGAGCCCAAAAGCAAAAACAACAAAAACAAAGGTAAATAGATAGGACTTAATTAAACTAAAAAGCTTCTGCAGAGCAAAAGAAATAATCAGCAGAGTAAACAGACAACCCGGAGTGGGAGAAAATCTTCACAAACTATATATCTGACAAAGGACCAATATCCAGAATCTATAAGGAACTCAAACAAATCAGCAAGAAAAAAAACAATCCCATCAAAAAGTGGGCTAAGGACATGAATAGACAATTCTCAAAAGAAGATATGCAAATGACTGACAAGCATATGGAAAGTGCTCAACATCACAATGATGAGAGAAATGCAGATCGAAACCACAATGCGATACCACCTCACTTCTGTAAGAATGGCCATAATCAAAAAAATCAAAAAAAATAGATGTTGGCATGGATGGTGTAAAAAGGGAACATGTTTACACTGTTGGTGGGAATGTAAACTAGTACAACTGCTATGAAAAATAGTGTGAAGATTCCTTAAAGAAGTAAAAGTAGATCTACTGCTTGATTCAGCAATCCCACTACTAGGTATCTACCCAGAGAAAAAGTCATAATACAAAAAAGATACTCGCACATTCATGTTTATAGCAGCATGATTTGCAATTGCAAAAATATGGAACCAACCCAAAATGCCCATCAATCAACGAGGAGATAAAGAAAATGTGGTATATACATGCCATGGAATACTACTCAGCCATAAAAAGGAATTAAATAATGGCATTCACAGCAACCAGAATGGAATCAAAGACTATTATTCTAAGTAAAGTAAATCATGAATGAAAAACCAAACATCATATGTTCTCATTCATATGTGGGAGCTAAGCTATGAGGATGCAAAGGCATAAGAATGATACATTGGACTTTGAGGACTCGGGGGAAGGGTGGGGGGTGGTGAGGAATAAAACACTACACATTGGGTACAGTGTACACTGCTCGGGTGATGGATGCACCAAAGTCTCAGAAATCATCACTGAAGAATTTATTCATGTAACCAAACACCACCTGTTCTCCCAAAACCTATTGAAATTAAAAAATTAAAAATTAAAAAAATTTTAAATCAGTAGCATTTCTATATGTCAGCAATAAACAATGTGAAAAATAAATTAAAAAGTAATCCCATTTACAATAGCCATACACAAAATTAAATATGTAGGAATTAACCAAAGAAGTGAAAGATCTCTATAATGAAAATTATAAAACACTAGAGAAAGAAATTAAAGAGGACACCCCCCAAAAATGGAAAAATATTCCATTTTCATGGATTGGAAGAATCAATGCTGTTAACATATCAATAGTACCTAAAGCAATCTACAGATTCATTGCAATCCGTACCAAATTCCAATTACATTCTTCACAGAAATAGGAAAAACAATCCTAACATTTATATAGAACCACAAAAGACCCAGAATAGCCAAAGCTATCCTAAGCAAAAAAGAACAAAAGTGGAGGAATCACATTACCTAACTTCAAATTATACTACAGAGCTATAGTAACCAAAACAGCATGGTAGTGACATAAAAACAGACACAAAAATCAATGGAACAGAATAGAGCACCCAGAAACAAATCCACACACCTATAGTGAACTCATTTTCAACAATTGTGCCAATAATGTACACTGGGGAAAAGACAGTCTCTTTCATAAATAGTGCTGGGAAACTGGATATCCATATGCAGAAGAATTAAACTAGATCCCTATCTCTTGCCATATACAAAAAATCAAATCAAAATGGATTAAAAATTTAAATCTAAAACATCAAACTATGAAACTAAAAGAAAACATTGGGGAAAATCTCCAGGGCATTGGTCTGGGCAGAAATTTCTTGAGCAATGCCCTATAAGCATAGGCAACCAAAGCAAAATTGTACAAATGTGATCACATCAAGTTACAAAGCTTCTGCACAGCAAAGGATCCAATCAACAAAGGAAAGAGACAACCCGAAGACTGAGAGAAAGTATTTACAAACTACCCATCTGATGAGGGGTTAATCACCAGAATGTATAAAGAACTCAAACAACTTTATAGGCAAAAAAATCTAATAATCTGATAAAAGAAAAAGTGGGTAAAAGGTTTGAATAAACATTTCTCAAAAGATGACATACAAATGGCAGACAGGCATATGGAAATAGATCAGAGAAATGTAAATAAAAAATACAATGAGATATCATCTCGCCCGAGTTAAAATAGCTTGTACTTGCCAAAGACAAGCAATAACAAATGCTGGTGAGAATGTGGAGAAAAGAGAACCCTCATACCCTGTTGGTGAGAATATAAGTTAGTACAACCACTATGGGGGACAGTTTGGAAGTTCCCTAAAGAACTAAAAATAGAGCTACCATGTGATCCAGCAATCCCACTGCTCAGTATATACTCAAAAGAAATCAGTATGTTGAAGAGATATACACTCCCATGTTTGTTGCAGCATTGTTCACAATAGTTAAGATTTGGAAGCAACTTAAGTGTCCACTTTATCCAGATGGATGGATAAAGGCAATGTGGTACATATACACAATGGAGTACTATTCAGCCATAAAAAAAGAATAAGATCCTACCATGTGCAACAACATGGATGGAACTGGAGGTCATTAAGTGAAATGAGCCAGGCAGAGAAAGACAAACATTGCATGTTCTCACTTATTTGTAGGATCTAAAAATCAAAACAATTGAACCGATGGACATAGAGAGTAGAAGAATGGCTATCAAAGACCAGAAAATGTAGTGGTAGGTTGAGAGAGGGAGGAGGGGTGGTTGGTTAATGCATACCAAAAAAATAGAAAAAAAATGAATAAGATCTACAATTTGATAGCACAACACAGTGACTGTAGTCAATAATAACTTAATTGTGGATTTAAAAATAACCAAAGGAGACTAATTAGATTGTGACACAAAGGATAAATGCTTGAGGGGATGGATACCCCCATTCTCCATGTGATTATTATGCAATGCATGACTGTATCAAAACATCTCATGTACCACATAAATATATACACCTACTATGTACCCACAAGAATTAAACATTTAAAATTTTTTTAAAAACCACAATAGTGTCAGCTACCAGAGAAACAAATAGGTTCATTTTATTAATAAAATACATTGAGACAGTCAGCTTTATATATAAACATTCATATATTATATGACATATCTACTCATATAAAAGAACAGAACACTGTCCATCAGTCAGACAGGTCTAAGGGCTGGACCTCAGCATATTTTCTAACATCTTTAGTCTCATCGGAAACACCTGGCAACCAAGCAAATGTTAGAGAACCTTAATCTCTGTAGCCAGCTAGACTTACCTTTCAAGGGCGCATCTTACTGGGATGTAAGTTCTGAAATTCAAAAACGCTGGTTGATATTTGACGAAACTCTCAACAAGAATGCCCCATGGGCATTCCTCAAGAGAATAAAAAAAGTATGAACTTGTTTTACTTAAATCTAACAGTTCAAAAATAAGAGTTAAAGTTTTTAAAATAATAGAAATTTTTATTTTATATTAAGTCAAAGGACAACAGAGCTAAGTAATAAAATGTTTATGTTTAGAAAACACCCAAGTAATAGCTCCTGACATTATGTCCAGACATTTTGTTGTCTGTCAATGTGTAGACAACTCCTGATCACATTTGTTTAAGTGTAGGGGCCTGATTTTGGCAGACCTGTATTATAGGACAGGCTCTGCAACTTACTCTGAGTATGAATTTTCACTAAATGTTTCATTATTTCAGAGCAGGTTCTACCTTCCCCACTCATAAAATGGAGATAATATAGCTCAGGGGTTGTCAAACTGGCCAGAGAATATTTCAGTCTTTGCAGACTGTACTAGCTCTCTTGAAAATACAGACATACCTCATTTTATTGCATTTCACTCTATCATGCTTCACAGATAACACATTTTCTACAAACTAAAGACATGTAGCAATCCTGCATTGAGAAAGTTGAGTACCATTTTTCCAACAGCATGTGCTCACTTCATGCCTCCGTGTCATATTTTGATCATTTCACAGTATTTCTAGTTTTTCATTATTGTATCTGTTGTGGTTTGTGATCAGTGATCTTTAATGTTACTATTGTAGTTGTTTTGGAGCACCAGGAACCATGTTCATAAAGACAGCACACTTAATAAATGTTGTATATATTCCTACTGTTCCACTGACCAGCCATTCTTGTCTCTCTTCCTCTTCTCAGGCCTCTCTATTCTCTGAGACAAAAATGTTAAGATGTTAATAATCCTACAATGGCCTCTAAACGTTCACAGGAAAGGAAGAGTTACATATCTCTTACTTTGAATCAAAAGCCAAAAATGGTTAAGCTTAGTGAGGAAGGCATGTCAAAAGCCAAGAAAAGACAAAAGCTAGGCCTCTTGTGCCCGACGGTCAAGTTTTGGATGAAAGGAAAAGTTATTGAAGGAAATTAAAAGTGCTACTCCAGTGAACACCCAAATGACAAGAAAGCAAAACAGCCTTATTTCTGATATAGAGAAAGTTTTAGTGGTCTGGATCAAACCAGCCATAACATCCCTCATGCCAGAGCCTAATTCAGAGCAAGGCTCTAACTCTTCTCAACTCTATAAAGACCGAGAGGTGAGAAAGCTGCAGAAGTGAAGCTTGAAGCTAGCAGAGGTTGGTTCATGAGCTTTAAGGAAGAAGTCATCTCCATAAAAGCACAAGGTGAAGTTGCAAGTGCTAATTGAGAAGCTGCAGCAAGTTATCCAGAAAATGTAGCTAAGATTACTGATGAAGGTGGCTACACTAAATAGATTTTCAACGCAGATGAAAAACCCTTATATTGGAAGAAGATGTCATTTGGACTTCCACAGCTATTGAGAAGTCAATGCCTGCCTTCAAAGCTGCAAAGGACAGGCTGACTGTTAGGGGCTAATGCAGCTGGTAATTTTAAGTTGAAACCAAAGCACATTTACCCTTCCCAAAACTCCTATGGCCCTTAAGAATTATGCCAAATCTATTCTGCTTATTCCCTATAAATAAAACCACAAACCCTAGATAACAGCACATCTGTTTACAGCATGGTTTACAGAACATTTTAAGCCCACTGTTGAGAGCTACTATTCAGAAAACAAGATTTCTTTCAAAATGTTACTATTCATTGACAACACATCTAGTCAATCAAGAGCTCTGATAAAGATGTACAAGGAGATTAATGTTGTTTTCATGCCTACTAACACCACATCCATTCTGCAGTCCATGGATCAAGGAGTAATTTTAGCTTTCAAGTCTTTTCAGAAATACATTTTGTAAGGCTATAGCTGCCATAGATAGTGTTTCCTCTGATGGATCTGGGCACAGTAAATTTAAAAATTTCTGTAAATGATTTACCATTCTAGAGGCCATTAAGAACATTTATAATTTATCAGAGAAGGTCAAAATGTCAACATTAGCAGAAGTTTGGGATAAGTTAATTCCAACCCTTGTGGATGACTTTAAGGGCTTCAAGACTTCCACTACTTTCTTCAGTGGAGAAAGTAACTGCAGGTATGGTAGAAATACCAAGAGAACTCAAGTTAAAAATAAAGCCTGAAGATGTGACTGAATTGCTACAACCTCATGATAAAAATGTAATAGATGAGAAGTTGCTTCTTATGGATGAGGAAAAAAAAGTGTTTTCTTTAGAGGAAATCCACTCCTAATGAAGATGTCATAAACACTGTTGAAATGACAAAGGATTTAGAATATTCCATAAACTTAGTTGATCAAGCAGTGGCAGGATGTGAAAGGATTGACTCCAATTTTGAAAGCTCTACTTTGGGTAAAATACTGTCAAACAGCATCACATGGTACAGAGAAATCTTTCATGAAAGGAAGAGTCAATCAATACAGTACATTTCATTATTGTCTAATTCAAGAAATTTCCACAGCCACCCCAACCTTCAGCAACCACCACTCTAATCAATCAGCAGCCATCATTACTGAGACAAGAACTTCCACCTGCAAACATTATGACTGCTGAAGGTTCAGATGATCTTTTGTATTTTTAGCAACAAAGTACAGCATTTTTAAATTAAAATTAATATCTTTTTAGACATAATGCTATTACACACTTAATAATCTGCAGCGTAGTCAATACATATGTGCACCGTAAAATTGTAAGAAATTTGTGTAACTCACTTTATTTTGGTGGTCTGGAACCAAAATCAGAATATATCTGAGGTATGCCTGTACTCAATTCTGCCAATGTAGCATATGAACTGTCAATATCTAAATGAATGTACCCATGCTCCAATAAAACTTATAAACATAGATGCCTAGCTGAATTTAATCCACTGGCCATAACTGCCAATCCCAGATATGAGCTATTATTTGTGAATGAGAAATCACAGTACCTACAACATAAATAACAAATAGAAGTATCTCTAAAGAAAAACAATAGAAGTATATATAAGCATACCTCCATAGTAGTAGATAACATGGAAAGTACAAGCAAATATATGTGCATCTCATATACTATAATTTAAATATTCATGTTATAGAATTGGAAAATGCCAGTGTCAAACGGAGATAATTCAACTCTTTCATGCAGTCATAGTCAATATTTGGATATGTTTCAACTTTAAATACACATTGTATATGTTAAAAACATGGTATTCAAGGATGTTTGCTAGTACTTCAGATTGCTAAAGTTCAAATATCACTTTTGGCATTTCCTGTTTATGTAACAATAAGGAATAACTAACCCCAAGATTTTCAATCTATAAAATGACTGTAGTGAGAGTGTGTAGGGTTGAGCATTATCCAGGACAGTATTTACCACACATAAGAGACATTCAAAGTAATCTAAATTTAGCACAAATTGATCAATGTTCCTGAGGAGTCCCAAGGTAATCTTGCTTTAGGAATAGCTGGATAATAGAATTCCAACCACGTTGTCAAATACCTGTCTCTCTGCCCTACCTCCACTGCCCTCCACAAACTCCTATCTTTTTCATCCCATGTTAGCCTCTTTTTCAGGCAAGGTCTCTCCTCAGGGGTGACAAATAGAAATCTCAGCACTTACTTGCTTCAAGATTATCTATTTATAATCCCAGTGAAAAAGAGTAAACTACGTCCCTAGAAATCTCTGAAAAGTTCTTAGTGTAATTCCACTTGACCTGCAACAATTATCTAACCCGACAATTGGCATGACTTTTTCATTTATTTCACAAATATTAACTGAGTGCCTATATTTTATCTAAATAGCAGTTGTATAGTGCTCACATGCTGGGCATTGTTCTAGGTATTGGGGATGCATCAGTAAGAAAGGGTGTGGTCATGTACCTGGAGACAGAGGCAGAATTGGTACAGATAAATCAGATATATTGAAAGTGGGGCAGATGCGAGTCCAAAAAGGAAAACCAAGCTGCCATTCCAAATACAGCAGGAAGATAAAGCAAAATCAAGAGATGTGAGGCATCAGACTTGAATGGGTTAAGGGTACGAATGTCCAGTTCAAGTCCCAGCTACTCTACTTTCTGTGTGACACTTGGCAAATTACTTGCTCACTCTATTCCTAATGTCTGCTTTAAAAATGGAGATAATACTATTTAGCCAAGGGTGTTACTGTGAGAGTTAGGTAAGTAAATTACCTGGTACATAACACATACTATTTGTTTGTTAAATAAGTAAAATATGCACTGGCTGCAATGATGATCAAAGAACTGAAGCTTCTAACATGCTCCTTAGCAGTAATTGACACATGATTACTTAAGTGTTATTTCTCTCATTTTCTATTGGCTCTCTCTCTAATGATCCATTTTATTCAGGATAGTTAATAGAATTTCAAGTGTTTTGGTTTCAGAAAAGAGAACTGGGTTGGTTGTCTTAGTTACACAGCAGTTACCTAACCAGGTAGCTCCTATTTTAGTCGGATATTTTCATCAACACCAACAACTAGGTGAAGGATTGTAGTGTTATTTTAAATAAGATGTTTCCTTTAAGTTTGATTTTATCCCAGTTAATATAAAATCTCTCCATCAAAGCAGGGGAGATGTGTAGCAAAAAGCTGGTAAAAGAAACACATGTTTTCTTTAAATCCCACATTTTGTCTCACATTTCTTCTACTATAAAATTGTCCAAAAAGTTAGAGAGTAGTCAATATTACATTATATAAGATCAACTATCAATTAAAAAACACAGTGTTAATAAGTGAATGTGAATCCTAGAGAAGACTGCCATTTGTAAAAATACCAGCCACTCTTACATATTTCATGATGCCAGAAAACTCAAGAGCATAAGTGAACTCAAAGATATCATTCGTCATCCTGGTTACAGGACACCCATTTCCTAGAGACAGCTCATTATGCTTAGGTTGCAGGTTTTCCACAAGAGGTGCTCCTCTAATTTCAACCAGAAGCCAAGATTCAGTACACTCTACAAACACTGATGGAAGAAAGAGAAGAGAAAATGTCAGATAGCATGTCTGTCTCTAACCAATAGTTCAGAAAACATTAAACCTCTTAGTCAATCTGAATGCCCAGCTCTAGAGTAGAAATGCCTTGGTTCTATTTTTATATTTTCTACTGAGATCTTGGATGATTTACTTAATCTTTTCATGGCTTAATTTCCTCATTAGAATGTGAGGAAGTCATAGGAGCTCCTTCCTGGGACTCACTGAGTGTTAAATTACAAAGGCTCCAATATAGGACCTAGGGTATATTAAATTATTGATATTACTAATGAGAAAGTTTGCCCCTTATCTGATAACAGAAGGCTTTTTATATGCTAAACTTGTTCTCCAACATGTATACATTGTCCAAAGTGAAGCTAATGAATACCCACCTTTCTTGTCAGAAATGATCTGTTAGAGCATTTATAACATGAAACAGGACGCTTACGTTGCCTACTTCAAAACAATTATATAGTCTCTTTACATTTTCAAACAGTATTTCATTGTTTAATATGATCTTATGTATGCATATTCACAGTTCTGCAATTTGCCAAGGTTATATTGATTTGATGATTAGTATGACTTATAATACTTCTAGTAAAGAAAGTTTTATCCACACTCACATTTTATATCAGGTTAATTCTGTTTCCTAATCTGTAAGATGATATAGTATTATTAAGGCTATATGACAGTTTAAAAATAAACTAGACATGAGGCTTAGCTATCATTTCTTATTCTAGTAAGAGACTTGTCCTGTTTCATAATGGAAGCAATCACAGGTATATTACTACAGCCACATGAGAATATCCCTATTTATGGGTATAGAACAGTTATAAAGTTTAGACATAGGCGTGATCACAAAAAATGCCTTAATCAACTATTACTAAGTTGTATAGGCCAATTTGGCCATTGTCCAATAATGTTAAAAATAAAGTAACATAATACTTTGGATCAAAGAAAAATTTACTAAAAAATATTTTAAATCCTATGGAACTTGTTAATCAGAAGAATATACCTGTGATTGCTTCCTTTATCAACCCCAGGGCAATCAGGCAGGAGAAGGAAATAAAGGGCATTCAATTATGAAAAGAGGAAGTCAAATTGTCCCTGTCTGCAGATGACATGATCGTATATCTAGAAAACCCCATCGTCTCAGCCCAAAATCTCCTTAAGCTGATACGCAACTTCAGCAGTGTCTCAGGATACAAAATCAAGGTGCAAAAATCACAAGCATTCTTATACACCAATAACAGGCAAACACAGAGCCAAATCGTGAGTGAACTCCCATTCACAATTGCTTCAAAGAGAATAAAATACCTAGGAATCCAACTTACAAGGGATGTGAAGGACCTCTTCAAGGAGAACTACAAACCACTGCTCAATGAAATAAAAGAGGATACAAATGGAAGAACACTCCATGCTCATGGGTAGGAAGAACCCAGAGGGAATCAAGGAAACTTTTCTCACTGCTTCCATCCCCATTCTATAACACTTTTAAAATTCCTTTACATTTTACTTTGTTCTCTTCCCACCCAATGTGACCTTTGAAATGTACTTGCTTACTTGTATCTCCTACCACCTAGGTTTCACTAAGATAACTTTGTACTAATTTGAATTTCTTGAAACAAAGAGGCCACACTGTGAATCAGTGGTTCTCAAAGTTTAATCCTTGTACCAATAGAGTTGACATCCTAAGGAACTTCTTAGAAATACAAATTCCTAAGCTCTACTCAGACCTGTGTCAGACACCAGGTTGGGCCCCAGCAATCTGTCCTAACAAGCTTTCCAGGTGAGACATGCAACAGTTTGACAACCACCATTTTAAACAATTTTTTAAATCTCATGTTTTGTCATAAGCATTGTATTTGAATATATGATGAGTGATATATTTTGAATATGTTTTTGAATATGTGCCATCATTGTATCATATATTCAAATACAACTATATTTAGCCTGAAATAGTCTAGTTATCTAGACACTGTTCTCTCTTCTTTCCTCTTTATTTACCCCTGTCTTGAGTCTCTGCTGACTCACGCTGTCAAGTATTTTTCTGTTTCTTGCACTACAGATAGAAGAGGCAACAGGTTTAGTTAACAGGGATGAAGGAGCGTTCTAACGACGGCATTCAGATGAAAGACAGTATAGTACTGACACCACAAAAGGTATTATTATTGCTCCTTCTCAGTTATCCCAAGATTGTCCAAAATTCTCCAAGTGCTTGATTTTCCATCCCAACCCCCATCCATTATGTGAAGTGATAATGGAAAAATTAGAGGACATTAAAATATGGATATATCAAGCAAGCTCTATTGCCCATTGAGCTTCTATTCTAATGGTTGGGTAAGAGAAACTAAAGAACTATTTTAGATAGTAACAATTTTGAGGAAAAATAAGACATGAAAGGGACACAAAATGAGGAGAGAGTTGAAATTTTAAATACAATGATCTGAGAAGGTCTCAATAAGGACACATTTGAACAAAGTCCTCCAGAAGATGAGTAGAAGAGCTATGCAAATAACTAAGGGAAGAACATCCCAGGCAATGAGAAGAGAAAATACAAATGACAGGCACGAGAGTTTGCCTGGAGAACCTGGGCAGTGAAGAGTCCAATATTGCGGAAAAAGAGACAGCAAGTGGGGAAGAAACAGGCCATGAGATCAGAGAACTATCAAGGAACAAATTACGTGTAGTCCTGGAGGCCATTCAACAGGCACTTGACCCTCGGGGGATAAAAAGCCGTTGGAAGATTTTGACCAGATGAATGATGCATTCCTGCTTACATTTTGTTGAGAGCTCTCTGTTTGCTATGTGGAAAACATAATTTAAGGGGATGGGGTGACACATAAAACAAGTTACAAGGACAGTGCAATAATTCAAGCCAAAGATACTTAACGGTTTGGACAGCATAATAACATTAGAGTTTATCAGAAATGGTCCAGTTCTTCAAATATTTTGAAGGTAGAATCAATGGTTTGCTGATGTATACAGTAAGAGAAAAAGGTAGCCAGGATAGCATCACAGTTTTCAGCTTTAGCAACCTGTAAGGTGCAGTTGTAAATACAAATTGAAGACAAGAGGCTTAATTCTTCCCATTAAAATTAAGGAAAGCTTTCCCTCCTCTCCTTTTGCTTAGAGCATTTACCTCAGAAAACTTGTAAGTACTTTCTCCTCTTTTTTAAAAAAAAAATGTATATACAGCCATTTGAAGAATTAATTGACCTTTTGTCAGCTTTAAGACCTGAGACTGTCTTTCTCAATGACCTGGGGGCCATCTCTTTGGAATGTAAACATCAAGGAAGAAGGTGTTCCTATCTCAGTTTCTAGGAGAGAATGACAGCCTAACTCCTGTAGATGCCTCGTTCTAA
This sequence comes from Homo sapiens, assembly GCF_000001405.40. Classification (NCBI taxonomy): domain Eukaryota; kingdom Metazoa; phylum Chordata; class Mammalia; order Primates; family Hominidae; genus Homo; species Homo sapiens. Next base: position 59,979,963 of record NC_000011.10, on the reverse strand, counting down.
TTTGCAGAACTATGTCCTATCATAAAGATATGAAGTTTTTTTTGTAGATAAAGCCAATTACCTAAAAGAAGTTATGTCCATTACCAGGTAAAAGATAGGACAAGTTACATGTGACAAATGGTACCATCAAGTCAAGTCCTCTTTCCTAAGGACTAATTTTTTAACTTGAGAACACATATAGGGAATTCTATCTGCATAGCTATATGAAAGAGTGAGATTTTCTTTCTTTGCAATCTCTTAGCAGATTGACTGTGATGTCTATCACATTCTTATTCAATAATAGAACAGTTTTATTTCTCTTCTACCACTGTGGAGTGTTTTCCTTGGCTGGGAGAAGATTTTGT